>NC_000005.10:167579505-167882536 GCF_000001405.40 Homo sapiens | reverse complement strand
TTCTTCCCTTTATAAATTACCCAGTGTCGGGTGTTTCTTCATAGCAGTGTGAGAACAGACTAATACAATGATTGAATGACTTGACAAAAATCATGCTGTGAATCAGGAGCAGTGTGAAGAAAACTCAAGTTTTCCAACTTTCACTTTAGAGCTTCCCACTACATTAATGGTTCCAAGACTTGTCAGAGCACATGCTTCACCTGAAGGGAATGGTAAATGCAGAGTTCCTTAGCCCCTCCTGAGCTTAGGGAATCAGAATCTCCAGGGGAAGTGTCTGGGGATATGTGTGTTTGCCAAACAGTGGGCGTAAAGGGTATTTTGTGATGCTGTATTTCGTTTTAAGAAATCTTTAAAAAATTGTAACCCATGCCCTTTAATACAACGCTTTCACTGTCTGTTGTATATCTCAATCAGCCAAACAAATATTCTGAGGTTAACAGTTAACAGAGGAGTGAGGAGAAAAGTCTCTGCAATTAGGAAGGTTAAGGTTGAAGCCGAAATCCTTCACTTTCCAGCTTTGTGACTTTCGTACATTACTTAACCTCTTTGTGCCGTGGTTTTGTCATCTAGAAAATGGGTATGATGATAATCCTTCATGCATTGGGAGGTGGCAGGGACTAAATACAAGTACATGAAGAAAGTCATGTAAAGTACTTAGCATACTAACTAGAGTTGAGGGAGAAAAAGGGCCATGAGCTGATAGCCCAAGTCCTGTGTGGCTCTGCATTTGGGGCAAGAGGGATGGCTGTTTCTGTGACCTCCACAGCAAAGATAACATGCTGGACTTAGCCTGTACTACCCAGTGGGACAAGAACCTGTCCAGAAGAGAGGCAGCTGGAACCAAACCTCTGCCTGGATGCCAGGAAGGAGCCGCAGGTAGCTCTGAATGTCTGAACCAGACATCCAAGGGACTTGGGGAAGAACCTGGAGTCAAAGTGGCTTATGTGCGGTACAAATCCAACTTGGGAAAGTGAATGATGTTTGCACTTGATATCCTGACCCCAAAATCAAGAGTGAAAAATAAAGGTGGTTACTATAGACACTCATTCATTTATTTAACAAATACTTACGGAGTGTCTACTATGAATCTGTCACCAGAGAAACTGCAGTGGAGGTCCCTGAAGAACGGAGTGAAGCTGGGAGGAGGAAGAAAAGCTGATAAAGAGCACAATAAGAAGTTACAATGCAGAACATTAGGAGAAGTGGGATAAACAACCACAGGATGTACAATGGCTTTTGTAGAAAAGAGCAAGATAGTATTATCAGCACTGTACAATCATCAATGTGCATAATAACTGCTGTGAGCTATTCAGGGAATCCTAAATTAAATTAAATTACAATGTGCATAATCTGCTTAGGGAGGCAAGAAAATTTACAATATCTCAGAGAAAAATTTCTTTCTAAAACCTAAGATATATAAGGAGAAGAAGTTTCATTAAGTTAAAAATATTGACTTCTTCCTCATCCCAAATCCATCTCCATGGATGGATATTAGGGGCCAGATGAGTGAGGGAGGCTGTCCTGAAGTTTTCATGAGAGGATGTCAATTCTAACCTCTATGAGGCTGTCAGGACGAATCTGTAACACAGAACATCTGCTTTTCAGGTCCTGAATGGTGACTTTAACCTCAAAGTCTGCTAATTCCCATAAAAATTCAGTTATGAGCAATGACATTTGAGGTCTATTGCCTATAGGGCATGCAATTTACATGGTCCTTTATAAGAACTAAGGTTTTTCTATTGATCAAGTCAAGTTTTGCCCTTGGACTGTGCAAATATTGGACATTTGTAGAATTGTTTTTACATGGAAAGTGCGCTCTATGTCTTATTTAAGGGAGGTTACAAGGAATTTTGACAGGAAATTAGCATATGTATTATATGATGTTACTAAGAATCCAGTCATCTGGATACACACATGAGCTCCTTTATGACAAACTTCTTTCTGGCCTCATTGTGAGGATTCCCAGAATTTCCCTGAAATGACTGATTTGCTTTTATCTCATGGGGTATTATGCATCTTCTTTTCCCTATGTTTCCCTTTTTGCTTTGGTTGCTAGGAAGCTTAAAATCAAGTTCTCTATCTTAAATAATGGAATAGGACTTTATACATTTGAGCATATATGTATACTTTCTCCCTTAAATTTTTCCTTTACCTTTATTGTATCATCTAATTATAGCTGAAAAAAATTTTTTTTAACAACTGTTGGCCAGGGGTGATGGCTCATACTTATAATCCTACCACTTTGGGAGGCTGAGGCGGGTGGGTCATTTGAGGCCAGGAGTTCGAGACCAGCCTGGCCAACATGGTGAAACCCCATTTCTACTAAAAATACAAAAATTAGCCAAGTATGGTGGTGTGCACCTGTAATCCCAGCTACTAGGGAGGCTGAGGCATGAGAATCACTTGAACCTGGGGGGCGGAGGTTGCAGTGAGCCAAGATCACGCCACTCCAGCCTGGATCAGCAAGACTTTGTCTCAAAAATAAAAAAAGTAACGATTTTTATAAGCTGTTACATATTATGAGGGAGGTGCAAAAAAGGAATGAATGAATGAATCTCATTTGTTTTATGATGCCAGATAAATTAGACAGGCAACTTATTGATCCTAGGCAACCCCAAAGCCTGCTGATTTTGATATACTATTTTCATTTAGAATTAACTAAGGCATTGCTCTTTAAAAAGGGTTAGGGCACCCTTCATGTGCTCAGTTACAAACAGAGACTCTCTGACTGGGACAGCTCTTTTGCCACATAAGATCTACCAAGATGTCCTAGCTAGGGCATCTTGGTTACTACATTTCTTATGTGTATAGTTTGATGCTACTAATGAGTGTTCAAAGCCCCTTTATTTAAACTTTAAAAAAAACCTCAATGTTTCACAGGTAGAGGAAAGCCAGTGCTTTTAGAAGATAATGTGGTTGCCTGTATATTTTCTGCATCATATGCTGAGAGCAAACTGCAAACCCTATTCTGATTTGGAAGGTAGTCTCATTCTTCCATCTGCAGGGGCCTCCATTATGCTGCTGCTGGGATCTAGATTTTTTTTCCAGATGAGTTATTCCATAGGATTTGAAATTATGCTTCTGTATACAAGAAACATATCTGGAGCAACCCGCTCTGGCAGAAGGTCAGAACACAGAATGAGCCACTCGCTGGAGCTCAGCTATTTGAAAGAAAATGCTTAAGGGGGAGAGAAACACCACTCCCGTAAACATCTCACTAACTGTACCTGGGTATCTACTTGATTGGCATAGATTGAGGGTTAGAGCAATTTGACTCCAAAGGTGGCAAGGTTTTAGTACCATTCACTAAAGAATGCACCACTGTCATAGAAAATAATGACACTCAAGCCATAAAGGTGAAGCTTTGTTGTTGCTTTGAGGAGTTTTTCATGTTGGGGAAAAACATTTTCGTTCCTGTAGTTTATGTCCCATTTGTTTCTATAGAACAGGTGCTCCTCGGGAAGGAATTGTGTACTGTGACCCTCCTAATGATGGGCTTCACCAACATCAAATAATAACAGCAACTATAAGAGGAGAGCAGGAAATAATGTTTTACTGTCGTGTATGGGCTGATGTGTTGGAAAGTGTTTTATTTCACCTAAGAAAGAGACAAAGACCAAAGTAGTACCAGATTCTCAGAACACAGGGTTATTGCCAAGAGACAAATTTAAAAAATTCTGTGTAATTAACCAACTAAACACAACACACCCAAACACAAGGCCACTTTGTTTGTGCTGTGACACCTCCTGAAAAATTCAGCCCCTTTTATCAGACTCAGTTCAAAACACTCAGACATAGCTCTGCACTTTGCATCTTCCGTGTCAAACTCAATTTTCAATCCTTTATGTCAAATTTAAATTCATGACAACTGCATTCAAATCTTGATAGAATCCCCAATTTGCCCTGGACCTTAAACCCATTCCACAAGAAACACACACACACACACACACACACACACACACAGACGTGAGCACACGCATACTCGAACTCGATTTGCTCTCATTTTAGCTAAGCCAGAGTCCAGAATTTCTAATGACTGCCTGTTGACCGGAGCTTTAACAAACTCTCTGATAATAAGTACCTGCTGAAAACAAGGGTATTGCACAATTGGGCCTTCACTCCCTCAGTTGAAGAAATCATATCAGCACAGCTCCTGTTTGGGATGAAAATGGACCCTTAAATTTTCTGTGGCATTTTCTCCTGTTACTAAAGCTTAAATTGCTATCAGTCTTAAGTGAGCTGAACAAATTGGTGTGAGTGACGAAAAATGGACAAGTTTGACTCTGAACACACAGATCTGTTGTGTCCACCAAAATGAGGTCTTGATTAGGCATAAAGCTGACATAAATACCCTATCAACAAGTTTCAATCTGATACACTGTCCAAAAGAAAGGAAATCACTTACTGCATTATTGCTAAGAAAACATTCCAGATGGCCTCAAGATATGAACTGACCTCTCTTATGGAAATCATCATTGCCTGGGTATCCATATATGCATAAAAGGATATAGTTTTTAAAAGCTCATTTTATCCCTAATAATTGTCTGTTTTTAAAAAGCTATCAGCAGGTGCACCTCATTTCAAAAGCCTCTTGTCCTTCATAATACAATATTCATCACGATTACATAGTATGAAATAAAAAGCAGCAAAACATAAGCGAAGGTAGTTCAATTAAATGCAACATAATCTCTGCAGCAAAAAAAGGGCTCTGTAGCTAAAATCAGGTTCTGATGAAAGTAAAAAGGGAATATATTTCCACATATTTTTAATTATATAGAATTTCCTCAAACATGATTTTTCATAATATATTCCATTAAGTTAACATCATATTTGAAGAAAGAGCATTTTCCGATTTCATTTTAAGCCTGATTTTGAGCAATTACAGTGTCATTGTTCCGCGGTAGAAAGGTTGAATTCATTTACTGTGTGGTTATGCTAGTTATGATTGATGTCTCTTCTCCAAATGATAAACCAATCACCCCAATGATGTAATGTCATTTTAAGAGTGCCATAATCACATTTCTCTCAAACTAGAAGCTCTGATGAGTTCTAATAAAGATTTATGGTAGATTAAAGGCCTTCATAATATCAACAATGGATTGCTCATCTGATGAGAGATTTGATTAGGTAATTTTTTTTGAAAAAGAATATGAGTTTACTAAATATATCAGGCCTGGCTATGAAGAAGGGCATGGGCCATCCTAAGTAGCAGTCCATCATTCCATTTCCAGAATGAGTCATCTTAAATGTATTTGGGAGGTCCTCTCTAATTGTAGAGGTTGAGGCCAGTGGTGGGTGGCATATACTCCTGGATGGAGCCTAAACACAATCGCATCAAGACCCACTCTCGGCATGGAAAGCTCTGTATTGCTTTGGATGGGATATGCTAATTAACCTCATGACTGACCAGTTCAGAAGATAACTCCCAAGCCTTTAGGTCAGGAGTAATTAATTTTTGCAAATGTCTCTCCCTGGGCCATGGACACTTATACTCTAGTTATTGCCCGTTCCTACGTTCAGATGTTCACAGGAACATAACACCAACAGGAGAAATCAAAATAAGGCATGATTATCGCTGGGCCCAGGGCAATTCCACCCAAGATTCAGAGATTGGGAGCTAAGACAGTGGCCACAAAATCTTCAAAAGTGGGACAGGATCTTGGGTCCAGTTTCCCTGTTCCATGAATGAGAAAACCAAAATAAGAACTATGGATTTAGAGGCAGTATTTACCATAGTACCACACCACCAACTTGTCAAATTCTAGTGAGGTCACAAGCAAAGGGTTACAGGAGAGGTCACCCCCCAAACACTTCAGACTTGGCAAGACATTCAGTACTGATGTCAACGGAACACATTGTAATTTCAAAATCATCTAAACAAGCAAGGAATAGAAGTTAAAAGCCAAAACAAACAAACAAACAAACAACAACAAGAAAACAAAAAACAAACCAGGGATCTGAGATACACACAAATTGGGCCTGTGAGGGTGTCCAGGGTCACTCAGCTATGACCAGAACCATAGTAATACAAAATTCAATATGCCGGTGTCTCTCTGCACTTCACCTTTGAGACCAGCATGCTCACACATGTAGCAATGGGCAAATGCCTTCCACTGAAGGAGGCCCAAATCCTGTTAAGATAAGCAAAACCTCTTAAGTAACTTCAACCTTCTACAGATGTATCTTGAAAATACCATGCCACAAAATGACAAATGCATTTCACCCTGATGCTCCCCACACCACCTTCCCCCAGCCCTTGTTTCAGCATTGTCATTTTGGTGGAGAATCAAGAATGTCACTCACGAAACACCACACATTCAGACACCACGGAGTTTCCTTACCACTGCTGGAGGCTTGCTGGGGCCCTGAGCATGCTCTGAGCAGGTATGAATTGGGGGAGAATTCCTCATCAGGGTTGGTGTCCATGATTTGATGGGAGGTGTTGCTGTCTAGCAATGGCATCTGGCAGCTAACTGGTGGAGGATTATGGGAGCTAGGCAGCTGAGCAGATGGGAGGAGACTAGGCGAGGATGTAGGTGGAATGGGACGACCTGGGAAAGAGGACAGAGGGGTCAAAGGTCAGCAATGAGTGTCACGAGAGCACCCCAAGAAAGTTACATTGAAACCAGCTCACAATATAAATATTAAAAAAAAAAAAAAAGAAATGAACTGCTCCAGATGTGCTTTTTTAAAAGAGTGGTTTGATGTTTCTCCAAAAGTCTAAATTCATATTTTAGGTAGTTGCATATTTCAGAAAAAGGACATGAGCAGAAATATCCATGTACACAGCTCAAATGGAATCAGTCTAGCAACCATCCAGTTTCTTTTACCTCCTCTGCTACAGTCCTAATCTAAGTCCTCATTATCTCTCTCTGAGCTACCTCCTTGCTGGTCTCACTGCTTCCATTCTTGCCACATAATCCATCTACTCCCCATTGTCCCAGTCCTACCTCCACAGCAGCCAGAATGAAATTTTAAGGTGAGGAATCAGATTGTATCATTCGCCCGCTTAGCACACTCCAGTGACTTCCCAATGCTTGCAGAAGGAAACCCAAACTCCTTATGATGACCTACCTGTCTTGAGTACTCCAGCCCATAGCTGCCTCTCCTACCTCACTCTCATAGTAACACTTACGACTTTCCACGTGGCCCCTTATTCTCTAGCCAATATGGTCATCTTTATTTCTGTTGTTTGAACACACCAAGCCATTCCACCTTCAGAGTCTTCACACTTCCTGTCCCCTCCATGCAGGACACCACCCCCAACCCCCAACTACAACACCTTGCCAACATTCACAATCTCACTTCTTCTCTTCAATCAACCCTTCCATGTTTGTCTTCTTGAAATTTGCCCATCTGCCTGCTCTAGGCAACTACTCTGCTTACATTTCTTCATGGCCCTTACTACTCTTTGAATGCAGGCATCTTGTTTATTTTATTCACCCCCTGCATCACCAATGCCTTCCTAAAGAATCGCATCTGCTGAATGAATGACCAAAAATAAGGTACTCTAAAACTAGACTCATTAGTTTGAGGTAGAAGTGGAAGAGTGATGGAAAGGGTGATGCATTGGCATCCCAAAGAGTTGGCCAATGTCCCCACCCTCTTCATTATGTGGTTTTTGGGACACCATAACTGTGGTTTTCGGACAAAGAAAAGCACAGACTCTCTAGCCTTGAGGAGGAGCAGCCAGTCCGGCAGAAGGTGCTCAGTGACATGGAGCGGCCCTTGGGTCAAGAAGTTGTCCTCCCACACAGAGGCTGCTGCATCCTCTCCTTCACATGGCAGGGAGCTCCTGGCAGCCAAATTGCTGGGTGAGGACAATCACCACCTATACTTTTGCCTGCTTCATCCTTCCATCTTGGGGCCTTTGCAGTTGCTTGCCTGCTGGTTTGCTCATTTGGGAAGTTCAGGAAAATGAGCCAAGAGAAGCAACCCATGGCACATGTCCTAAATCTGGGGGTGTGGAAGGAAGGACAGAACATTGAGAAAGCAAACTTGAGGACAAGGTGAGTGTTGCAATGCAAGTAAGAAGTACCTGAGACAGAAGAAATGTGTGTTCCTGCTTTTAGATGTACTGCTGATGTAGAGACATCAGCAGACACCTCAAATCAATGTCCATTTTTATTGTTGCTTTTATAATTGTATTTTCTGATTCATTATTCAGTGAATTTAATGCTATTTATGGGTTCATTTGGTTCAATAAAATGTATCTGCACTTCGCTAGACATTGAGGATACAAAAATAAGTAAGACACCACCCCTGCCCTCAGAGAGCTTATAGTCTAGTGGGAGACAGACAGGTAAATGTGTCATTTCAGTGCCACATGATAAAAAGCAGAATAGCGGCATGTAATGACGTGGTGCTGTGGGGACAGAGAAAAGAGACACTTGTTTCAGCCTGGCCAGGTAGGAGTTGGGGTTTAGAGTCAAATAAGGATTCCTGGGAAAGGTGATACCTGAGCAAACGTCCAAAGAGGAAGAAAGTGACTTCTGGAGAGAGAAAACAGGATGAACAGCAGCAGAGGCATCAAACCACTGGCCCATTACCCTTTGAGGATGGGGGTGGCAGAGATAGGAGATGAGATACTCTTAAAGCTTAAATGTTAGGGGCTCCTGTACAGTAACAGAATAGAAATGGAGACAAATCATTCCTGAAATTGACCAGTTGATAAATGGAGTTTGACTTGAAAAACTCCATTCATTCATGGCTGTTTGGGATTCATATAAGGCATGACTTTCTTGCTGGGTGTTCTGGAAAAGGTACACTGAACACGATGGAGTTTGATCAGAATCAGTGCTAATGTTTAATCAATACCTCCCTCATCCCAGGTCTCCTTCTAACAAAAATAACTATCATTATAATTAGTAATTTAACTGCTGATGTTTCTTACACAATAACTATCTGCCACTCGCTGTGCTAGTTCCTTTATATGTATTATCTAATTTAATCCTCAAAACAGTCCCTTGAGGTTAGAATTATCATATATTCCCATAAAATGAAATAACACATTCCCATTTCATACATGAGGAAACTGAGACCCAGAGAGGTTAAACCGCACAGATAGTTAAGCAGCAGAGGCCAGGATTCAAACTTGGGTTTAACTATTTCAAAGTTCACCCTCTAACCATTTACATGATGCTTGCCTAAACAGAATGGTGAGAAAAAAAGGGAAGAAGTGACATAAAAGAAGGAGAGTGATCTACAGCAGATCACGTTTCTGCGTTCCCATCTCCCAATCCCAAGGGACTCCAGATTTCAAATAAGAAACATTTCTTTGAATAACCATTTACAGCCGCTATCATCCGACAGAGTTCAAAGTTTTTCTTGTAATTTTGTTATAAAGTTCAAAGTGGCTCCTTCATAGCAGTGTTACCCTCTGCCTTCTTCAAGGCTCCTGAACTCAGAGGAATCCTGACCAAGGCACTGTGAAGTCAGTGTTGACGTCCACTTAGCAGCGAGGCTCTGGTAGGAACAGATTTTAACTCACAATCAATAGGCTTTAAAGTTTGTGTTATTGAGGCATATCTGAAACTGCATGTTGAAGAACAAGGATGGCTGGAAGCCAATTTTTAAATTCCTTTGAGTGACTGAGGTGGAACTGAAGTTCAAGTGCAATTTTCCAGGAGCCTGATATGATAGTTGCTGTGAAATTATTCTTTACATGAACTTTTTGAAATTTTGTTCAGCATGAATTCATTTCATATAGTACAGAGAGAGCTGCTGTTTAATTTATACAAATACAGACAATAGAAGAGCAGTCATAACACAATGAAAGCATTGGGGTTACTACAGTGTATTGAGAATACGCATCACAGAATTGTCTGATTCCTGTTATTTTTCTGCCCACGTTAAGCCCATGTTTTGGGAGCTCCTTCAACTCTGCTTACTGGTACCTACCATTACTTCGGAAATTTCTCAGTCCCTAGATCTGCCCCCAGCAAATGGTATACTCTTTCTTTCTTTCTTTCTTTCTTTCTTTCTTTCTCTTTCTTTCTTTCTTTCTTTCTTTCTTTCTTTCTTTCTTTCTTTCTTTCTTTCTTTCTTTCTTTTTCTTTCTTTCTTTCTTTCTTTCGTGCTTTCTTTCTTTCGTGCTTGTTTGCTTTCTTTCTGTCTCTCTCTTTCTCTTTTTTTCTTCCTTTCTTTCCTTCTTTCTTTTCCTTCCTTCCTTCCTTCTCTTTCCTTTCTTTCTTTCTTTCTTTCTTTCTTTCTTTCTTTCTTTCTTTCTTTCTTTCTTTCTATCTTTCTCTTTCTTTTTTTCTTTTTTGACATGGTCTTGCTTGTTGCTCACGCTGGAGCACAGTGGCATGATCTCGGCTCACTGCAACCTCCACCTCACCTCAGTCCCCACAAGTAGCTGGGATTACAGATGCAAGCCACTATGCCTGGTTAATTTTTGTATTTTTTGTATAGAAGGAGTTTCACTATGTTGCCCAGGCTGGTCTCGAACTCCTGAGCTCAAGCCTCCACCTGCCTCAGCCTCCCAAAGTGCTGGAATTACAGGCATGAACCATCATGCCAGCCCTGGTATGCTGTTTTCTGTTTGCTATGTCATTTGCTAATTTTGTTCACTTATGCTACATTTTCCCCCCTGACTATTCCAACTGACAGAGACCATCTGTACAGACACAAACAGGTTCCAAAGTACAGGGGAGAAAACTGAAACTTCTACAGGCTCACTTTATAAATTTTGATTTCTTACAGAAATGCTCAGTGTGGCATGGGCAGGTAACCAGGTGATAGACATTCACCTTGTTCCCACTTTATGTACTGCTGAAGCCCCTTGACTCTCCAACTATGTTGAAAGTTCCATTTTGAATGAGTATAGAGTCTCCAGCAAATGGACAGAAAACCAGGTTCAACTGATCTGTTAAAAAACGAAAGGAAACAGGCAAAGGCAGCAATATGTCTTTTTCATTAAACTCATATGGTCTTGTGTATGTGTGGGTGTGTGTGTAAGTGTTTTCAAGATCCCCATGTAAATCAAAGTCAAACTAATTATCTGTGTGATTGGATTAACCATGACCTTAAATATGGGGACTAATCCAACTTTTTCTAATTTATCTGTCTCCTAATGAATACAATTTAGTGATAGTTTGAACTCATGAATTTTTTTTTTCCTGATTAAAGTACCGATAGCCAGTTTTGTGCTAACTCTGATAGATTGGTAGTGGCTGTGTGGAATGCTGTGTTGAGAAGGACTGTGAGGAAGCCCTGGATTTGGCAGGAAACAGTGACATAATCAATTAGAAATTTCATGGACGTGGAGTGGGGAGAGGTAGCAGATCACAGTGCTTATTTGACAGCCATGCTCCAGGTCCTCACTCATCATCCATTTCAGTCATACCTGAAAACCTTATCCTACACCATCTGTGGTTGAAACCATAGTGCTCTCACTCCCATTGTCTTAATTACAGAACCATTTTGCTCTTTAAGTTGATTTGGATCCTGACTTAATTCCCCAAGACCAAAGGACTACAATCTCCTCTCCATCCCCAAAGCAGTAAATATTATTAGTGAAATTGCTGCTCTGCCCAACCCTTTTTAATATATTCACGAATTTATGACAGAGGGCATGTTGCAGATCAATTCCCAAAATTCACTTAAAACAACGGGTTCTTTTTTATTCAACAGATTAATGGCAAGCAGATATTAGAATGTTCTGTGTAGGCAATGCATAAGTGATTTATGTAGCAATGAGATGTCAGGATATTTGATGAAGCAAAGAGACATGCTCAGATAACAGTAACAAAAAAAGTACTAGGAATAATTGTATTCAAAATAATAAGTTCAATGACCTCATTATCACACATATATATATATATATATAGATCTTGCTTTATTTCAAGAACTGAGCTAAGTACTAAGTATTCTAGTAATATATATATTACTATATATGTGTGTGTGTATATATATACATATATATACATATATACACATATATATACATATATATATACACACACATATATATATATATATGTATACACATTCTTTTAACATTCAGTACTTTTCTCTGAACTTAGTAAGACTGTCTTCCCCATTTACAGGTAAGGAAACTGAGGCTTAGTTGAACTGACTTTCCTAACATCATGCTGTTAGCAGGGAGCACAGCTGGGATTTGAACCCAAGTCATCTGACTCCAAAGCCCAAGCCTTGAGTATTTCATTTTACTATGTTCCACATTAGACAAAAGTGCTAACAAATGAATAAGATGTGAATCCCAAACTCATGAGTCCTTTTCTGGAATGCACAATAGAAGTCATCCCAGAGGAGGTAATTAATCCTGGGCAGAAACAAGGTTCTTCCTGGAAATAACCATGGTGCCCCACTCACACAGAAAAAAATAATTTGTAAGGAGAGAAAAAAGAACTTGAGTCAAAACTTTAAAATCCTATGTGACTTCAAGAACTTAATAAAAACATGGCTTTTGTGTTAAAGTTAAGTATTGCAAAAGGACTTACATTTAAGCAAGAGGATTTAAACAGTTGTCCTAATGATGTTTCCTAATACCTGCTATTTATTCAGATGCTTGACTAAAGTATCTACTTTTCTCTAAATCTTTGGGGTTTGTGAAGCCCCTATTTTTGAAGGGGTCAAAAAGTGAGAAAAATTTACATTATTTCTATGCAAATAAAAATATTTTCAATACCTGGGATATTGCTCTCCTTTTGTTTGCATTTAATGATTTTTTTTTTTAACGTGGTTCTCCTTGCCATTAAGACCATAAGAATATTTTGCAGGAAAGTGCATCGGGTTTTTCAAGGTCTGTGTAGTTCTGCATGTGCAGCTTTTAGAGGGCTGTGTGACAAGATATTCTTCATCAAGCCTTCACCACGGGCTTTGAGGGAGCACTGGGTCATGGCAGCCAGGCCTGCTAGTGCAGAAGCTGCGAGGTGCCCTGATAACAATGCCAGCTAGACTCTCTGTCTCCATCTCATCGCATTCACCACCACTGGAAAAGTGGGTTAAGCCAAAGCATATCTATCTGTTTAGCCTATTTGATGTGCTGAACACCAGCCTCAGTGATTTTGCTTATACCCCTTCCACACTTATCACCCACACTGTCAGTTGTTCAACAAGTATAGAGACTCTGGGACGTGAATAACATACCCAAAGGTAAGAATCAAGATTTGAACTCAGGTTTGCATATTGCCATAAACTTCAATGGGCTATTCCTCAACCTAGAGTCGCCTTACACTCAAATTCACCTATGAGTTGGTTTCATTAAGGAAACCCAACCCATTCTCATTTTCTACCCTGCTCCAAATAAAACCCTGGGCTCCAACAGATGTAATACGTAATTGTCTTTTACAAATGTTTATTTCTTCCTTCATACCTGCCTTATTTCTATCTCTGTGCTGTGTAATTCATCCCCAACTTTGTAACTCATCCAGTTTTATCTTCCTCCAAAGCCCAAGGGAGGAATGGAGAGAACACAGAATTCAGAGTCCAGCAGACTGAGCCCTTCCACTTACTCTACTATTTGGGAGTTTGAGCAACTCAGTTCACCTCTCTGAGCCTCTCTGATGATATTAACAGCTACTCTACATGTTGTTGTGAAGAGTGGAGATGTTATATGTAGAGCCCATAGAACAGTGTTTGACAGACAGTAGGGACAAGGGACCCAGATGGAAATAATGAGACTTTCAGCTTACTGGTTCCAGCTGGTTCACAAGCACCTGCTGTGTATACATGACTGTACCATAGGTAGGGAGACTGTAGTATCAATCATTATTGCAGAATGCAAAATGACCCCTAACAAATAAAGCATCTGATTTTTTTTTTTTTTTTTTTTTTAGACAGAATCTCACTATCTGTCACTCAGGCTGGAGTACAGTGGTACAGTCTTGGCTACTGCAACCTCTGCCTCGTAGGTTCAAGTGATTCTCATGCCTCAGCCTCCTGAGTAGCTGGGATTACAGGCACGCACCATCACGCCAGGCTAATATTTGGATTTTTAGTAGAGACGGGGTTTCACCATGTTGCAGGCTGGTCTAGAACTCCTGACCTCAGGTGATCCGCCCACCTCAGCCTCTCAAAGTGCTGGGATTACAGGCGTGAGCCACTGCACCCGGTCAGCATCTTAAAATTTAAATACAGATATATATTATGTATTTATATTTTACTTCTAATATTTATATTTTGTATTTATATCATATTATGTATTTATATAAAGCTATTAACCTACCTTCTATATTTCTGATAGCAGGCTATATTTAGTGCTAATGTCAGACTAGCTCAGTCATTCTCCACTGGGGCAATCCTGCTCCCTAGGGGAGATTTGGCAATGTGTGGGAACTTTTTGGTTGGGGTGCTACTGGCTTCTGGTGGGTAGGGACAGGGGTGCTGCTAAACATCCTATAATGCACAGGACAACTTCCCACAACACAGAATTATTCAGCCCCAAATATCGATAGTATTGAGGTTGAGAAATCCTGTATTACTACGTGTGATGGCTTTAGATAAGTATACTTTATGTTACGTGATCAATTTTTAAGTTGCTCTTTTTTCCAGTTTATAAGCATTGGGCAGATATTAGAAGTAAAACATTTGATTCAGTCAGCCTTCTTCCCCTACCCAAGAAAACAGCAAGAAAACAAACTTAACCTACCATTGGGGAATTTAAGTCAGAAAGAGGCAAAATTTCCTCAAAGCAAGTCTAATTGTCACTGGGGGAAGTTTCAGCATGCTTTTCCCCAGAGGCGAGAGAGATCTGTTTGACAAGAGAGGGTTGGGTGGCCTTTATGGAGGCAGGAGATTCAGAGAATGTTCCACCTCAGTTTTAGGTTATTCAACCTCACCTGAGGAATTTTCATTATGACCTCTTATGTCTTCTCAATGAGACGATATCAGCCTGACTGGGTTTGTTCTATTCCACATCATCTCGCTTTAAGTTTTTATTTTTACTGTGGAAGACCTAATTGCCCTCTTCACTCACACTTCACTGAACCCACGAAAGCCCAGTTAAGCATTTTCTTGAAAACAAATCGTTTTCAGATGGCCCTGGCAAAACTATCCCAATTGTGAACAAGCTCTTATGCATAATTTATTGGAAGGGTGGCATGCTGTTGGACCGGCCCCAGTTAAAGGGCCTCTTGCAGGAGGAGCTCAAGCATGAACTATCTTCACAGTTTGAGACCCTATGCATTTGGGTGTCGTTTCTATATCTCACCAACAACATGCATATTTATATATCACATCTCCCTGGCAGCATTGCACTTCAGAAGGTGTCAAATATAGATGAGGCTATAGATGGAGAGTAGGGTCTGTTTTTAAAATAATTTCTGTAATTTTCTAATGCTAGCCCTTTCATCTTCATGAGGTGAAATGCAGTGCTTCTTTGCAGCTTCCTCTTGCAAAGACACAAACCCACCTTACCTGCAGTGACACACCTGTTTTCCAAAAGGCAATGGATCCTCAAATACCTTCTCACCAGAAAGTTCTAATTGCTTGACACATGCAGCTTAATTACACCTCCCAGATCCTCTCAAAGGGAAAAACATTATGTTGGTCATGTGTAGTTGTCCAGATTGACGCTGTCCAGCAGAACTTATTGTGATGATGGGCGTGTTCTACATCCCTAGTGTTTAAGACATGTGGCTATTGGACACTTGAGATGTGGCTAGCACAACTGAAAAACTGAATTTTTAATTGTATTAAGTTTTAGTGACATTTAGATAGCCACATCCGGCTAGTGGCTACCATGTTGGACAGCATAGCCTAGACTATTGTTCTACCTTTCCCTTTACTGGTTTCCTTCACTGTGTTCCTTCCCTTCATACAAAAGCTAACATCTTTCTGAATGCACACATTTGCTCAGGTCATGTTCCTTCTCTCAACTTTCCCAAGGCTTTCCATTGCCTATAGTATAGTTTAAACTCTATGTTATCTTGTGCCAGACTCCCTCCTTCCCTATGCTCTAAACACGCCGAAACAACTGTCCTTTTGAATATGAATCATTCTCTCCTCATATCTCTCTCCGTGCATGGAAGGTGCTCTCTCTTTGTTGGCAAATACTTTTTTTTTTTTTTTTTTTGAGATGGAGTCTCACTGTGTCACCCAGGCTGGAGTGCAGTGGTGCCATCTTGGCTCACTGCAGCCTCTGCTTCATGAGTTCAAGAGACTCTCCTGCCTCAGCCTCCTGAGTAGCTAGGATTATAGGCATGCACCACCACATTCAGATAATTTTTGTATTTTAGTAGAGATGAAGTTTCACTATGTTGGCCAGGCTGGTCTCGAACTCCTGACCTCAGGTGAGCCGCCTGCCTCGGTCTCCCAAAGTCCTGGGATTACAGGCGTGAGCCACCACGCCCAGCTGGCAAACACCTTCTAGAGACCTTTGGAAGACACTCTAAAGACTCATCTCAAGAACAACCTTCCTTAGAAGTCTTTTCTGATCACCACACTCACTGGTACCCAGGACATACTTTCATCATTGCTTTTGTTACATGTTAGCCTATGTACTTGCCTAAATGTCTGGCTGATTCTTGAGACTATGAGTGACTTTGGGTACAGGTTATACACTATACACATCTTTGTATCCTAGCACCCAGTACAGAGCCTGTACATAATAAATAGCACCATGATTGGTTGATTATAACAATTTACTCCACCAACATGTATGGATGTATATCAACTACTCATGGCATTCACTTCACTGTTGGCTGCTATGGCTGTTGTCTTAGGTTTTGGGTGTCTCTCTCAGTGTGTAAGTATCTTGCTAAGAAGAGTTGATTCTGAATTTAAATGTATGTTTTTTTCCTTAACCAAGTGGCCTAGAATATTAAGCCACTACTTCACTTGGTGCTCCTTGGAGGAAAAACTGGCTGTTAGATTTATTAAGTGACAACATGTCAGTCTCCAAGAGAAGCAAGGGATTTTCAGGCATGGTAGCGCGACCACATTTTTTTGGTTAATTTTCAGACTTTAGAACGCAACCGTTGTATAAAATTTGATTCCAGGCTGGGCATGCTGGCTCACGACTGTAATCCCAGCACTTTGGGAGGCCAAGGCAGGAGGATCACTTGAGTCTAGGAGTTTGAAACTGGCCTGGGCAACATGGCAAAATCCCATCTCTATAAAAAATGCAAAAATTAGCCAGGCTCGGTGGTGTGCGCCTGTGCTCCCAATTACTTGGGGGGCTGAGGTGGGAAGACTGCTTGAGCCCAGGAGGTCGAGGCTGCAGTGAGCCCTGAATGTGCCACTCTGGCCTGGACTGCAGAGCAACACTCTACAAAAAAATAAATAAATAAAAGAGAGAGAGAGAAATTCAATTCCACTCTTGACTCTAATTATGAAAGCTTCTCACCTTCAGGAGCTACTGGGGAAATGTAACCCAAGACAATCCAACAATTTCAGATGAAGGCGTTAAACTATGTGGGCAATGCTGTCACTTACTGAGTTGTCTGTCTGTGCTGAGTAATATGCAGAAGATACATTGAGCTGTTTTCTTGCCGTCCTAGAATCTATTTTGTAAGAGCTTAGTTGGGGGGAAAACTGCTAGAGAAAGATTAAAAGGAACTGTATGCCGATGCCGAAACAATTTTCAAAAGGCTCCCTTAGAGAACATATGTTCCACGATGCAAAGGAATTCATCTTACTCATTTTTATGTTCACTTCTTGCGGTTCCTGGTATATAGAAACAATAATATTGCCAATTGCTCAGACTGACTGAGCTCTTATGAGGTACCAGGTATTATTTCCAAGCCCTTTACATATATTATTGTATTTAATCTGACACAAACCCTTTGGGAGTAGGTTGTACAATCTTTTTCCCATTTTAAACATGAAGAAAGTGAACTGCAGAGGGGATAAGTTCGTTGGGAAGAAGAGTTGGAACCGAGGTTTTCTGATTTTAGACCTCATGCCACAGTGCACAGAGAATTTAATTAGGTTTTATAATAACAAAGTACCAAGTGCTGATGTAACAATGTGATTGGCATTGAAACAGATTGAATGTCAAATATTGATTCTGCCACTGATTCTCTGGGAGACCTTGGGCAAGTCATCTAACTTTTCTGTGTTCAACTACTAGGTAAGTGAAATGTGTGGAAACGTACTTCACTAGTTTTAAATGTACTAAATGAGACAATTCTGTAAACTTTATGAATTAAATGGTATGTGTTATTATCATGCATAAAAAAGGTAAGAGATAGGTGTTCTATTCCCCTTACAGGACTTTCTGAGGATTAAATAATAACATAGATGAAAGTGCATTGCAAATGGTGAAGTACTCTGCAAATGGTAATTGTTTTCATTCTCATTATTGGAAGCTTTCCTTTTCAAAGGCTTTGTCTGCAGATAGCAAACAGTTCTCAACTGTAAATCTGTGTTTTGCTATGTGCTTTAGGGACCACAAAGATAAAACATGCACTCTAGGCAGCAGATGCTCAAACTGTTTTATCTCTATGCTGCCCACGCTCACAGTACCCCACCCGTTCCTCATTGAATGGTCCTTGATAAGATGCTAAAGATTATATGCCTTGGGAGTCTACCCACCAGTAGCCAATATAAAGCATGAAAAGCTCCCCCTCAAAGACCTATAAATATTGTGAAATTAGAATTGAAAATGTAAATGAGAGTAGGACTAGGTCTAGGTTGTTAGGAAGATGTTAGGACATGGATAACATATGCATTGATTTATACCCTCCCTGAACAATTGTTCGAACATCATTGCCTTGTATCTGAAAAATCTCCACTAGCGTACAGTTAGGAAGAGTACTGGGCTAGGAGTTAGGAGATCAGGGTTCTTTATTGTGGCTACCTAGCTGCTAGCTTCTTGTCACAACAAACTTCTTACATTCTGTAGGCCTCAGTCAACACATGCCATCCATCTTATTGTACTATGACATAACAGCACCAGTATTTTTTAATATTTATTTATTTATTGAGACACAGAGTCTCACTCTGTCACCCAGGCTGGAGTACAGTGGCACAATCTCAGCTCACTGCAACCTCCACCTCCCAGGTTCAAGCAATTCCCCTGCCTCAGCCTCCCAATTAGCTGGGATTACAGGCACATGCCACCACGCCTGGCTAATTTTGTGTGTGTGTGTGTGTGTGTGTGTGTGTGTGTATTTTTAGTAGAGACAGGATTTCACCATGTTGGCCAGACTGGTCTCAAACTCCCGACCCCAGGCAATTCTCCTGCCTCAGCCTCCCAGAGTGCTGGGATTACAGGTGTGAGCCACTGTGCCTGGCCAGCATCAGTACTTTAAAGAAATGTGATGACATTGTCTCAGTCACAAGAGGGCCCATATTGCCATGGAAGAGACTAATATTTACTAACATTTCTGGAGCACTCACAAATGTTTTAGGCAGTATGTTTAGCACGTCATGGTTTGTAATTTACGAAATCCTTCCAACAATACCATCTAGCAGTTACTATTATTCTCCCTATTTTACAGATGAGCAAACCGTCTTGAAGAGATCACGGGACTTGACAAAGGTTATACAGTAAGTAATGCGCAAAGCCAAGATATGAACTCAGAGCTCTCTAATTAAGCATTGTATGGCTACATAGAGTCATTGCAATGTTGGAGATGCAAACAGAGAAGAGTAATTTTAACTAGGGTAGGGCAGGAGGGCTGACTGGAAATGGTAGTAGTGTCAAGATGACTAGACAGTCTGCAGCGAGCTCTCTTCTTCAGCTTTGAATGTCTAAATATTATTCTATTCTCATGACAAGTATGGAGATCAACAATTGGGTCGAGATTCCATGTGAGGTTGTGCCCTAGCAGAAATTCACAACCCGAATTGCATCTTCCTCACCTTCTCCAAGCCTGGCTTACTTTCTTCGTCAAGGTCAGAATGAACCTCCAAATGTCTCTCTTCAGGCCCCGCAGAGGCAGGTGCTTTCAAGGTACTCTTCTCTGAAGGCTCACTTAGGACACTCTCCGGGGAAAACTATGCATCAAGGCAGACAGCTGAAGACATAAGAAAAATGGCCTTGGGGCACAAAGAAGCATGAAGGGAGAAAACAAGGAGGAGGATTTAACTTTACACTGGGAGAGTGATAATCATGCTGCCTATATACATGAGCCACATGGCTACTCATCCTCAGGATTGGGTGCAAAGTGACTGATTTTTGTCTGAAATAGCACATTGCTTAGTTATGGCTAAAAAGATGTGGATGGAGAGATGTTTTGGGAGTTTCCATGATACTCACGGAGCCTAGTGGTATGCTGGATAATGAAGATGTTTTAGTTCGGCTCCCAACAAGTTGCTGTTATATGTGTGTGTGTGCACAAATGCATGTACATATGCACACACACACACACACACACACACACATACTCTAAATTGACTAGAGTCAGCAAAATTAATACACATCCACAGGGCACTGTTGGCCAAGTCTCTATTTTCATAAATAATGCCTTCCTCACTTTTTACAAGCCTATTTGAAGACCTGCAGTGCATCCTGCCTAAAATTCAAAGCCCATCTAATGAAAATACCTCCACTGTCAGCAATGTTAATGTCACTTTAAAGAGTGTGAAATGTTGCTAAATGTGTCAGGAAACAATTAGATAACATAAGAGGCATGTTTTCTCAGTGCACAGAGAAATATATTATGCAGGCAGGAGATAAACACAAAGTTTTCTGAGCTCCAGCATATTCAGCACTCTCCCTTGCTCTCTCTTTTTAATCCAACAGAGAAATTGTTTGGCAAGAGTAAGCCCTGTTTCAAATACTTGGAGAAGGCAGAAAGGCCTGCTTTGCTTCTGACTGCTGTCGCTTGAGCCCTGTGCTATCAGGCTCAGCGAGATACAAATAGTCTTCCACTCAAATTAAATGTGTGCCCTTCTAATTAGCATTATAAATATAGGTTTCTCTGAGCCAGAGTTGATAAAATTACAGTGTTGAGCTGGAAAGGAACCGGCAGCTCTTCCATGCTGACACAATGGCCACAGCGTTTGCATGGCTAGAACAATGCCCCCAGAGCCTGCCCCATCTTCATAGGTCAGCCTGGGAAAGGAAGGTAAATGCCAAGCAGGCTGACATTAGGACGGGCACCCGGGCCCAGATGCAATCTGTTCTTCGCATGTGACGATGTAAGGCTTGGCTCTTAGGCTCTGGGGAGAGTGGTTCTTACTGCAAAGCTTCTTTGTAGACGTTTGTCATTTCCACTACCTGTGGGGCTCCAAATGGTGCCTGAAAACCACCCGCAAGGCTGACAGATTTTTCCCTGGTCTCCACGCCCGGCACCGCTCTCCGTGGTACTGAAACATTATCGTGCACTAGGAAATGGTTGGTTCTTTCTCCTTCCACCCCCTACAACCCTGAGAGGCCTTTGCCCACCTTCTTGAGGACATTTTGCATTAGATGAGAAAATCTATGGAGAAGAGAGAGAAAGGAGAGAAGGAGTAAATAAAGAGAGATGTGGGCAGACACCCTGAAATAGACATAGCCAAGTGAGCGATTGCTAGGGGTGAAAATGAGAAAGGATTTATTTTGACGTTGTTTTCTTTTTTTTTTTTTTTTAATTTTTTTTTTTATTGATAATTCTTGGGTGTTTCTCACAGAGGGGGATTTGGCAGGGTCATGGGACAATAGTGGAGGGAAGGTCAGCAGATAAACAAGTGAACAAAGGTCTCTGGTTTTCCTAGGCAGAGGACCCTGCGGCCTTCCGCAGTGTTTGTGTCCCTGATTACTTGAGATTAGGGATTGGTGATGACTCTTAACGAGCATGCTGCCTTCAAGCATCTGTTTAACAAAGCACATCTTGCACCGCCCTTAATCCATTTAACCCTGAGTGGACACAGCACATGTTTCAGAGAGCACAGGGTTGGGGGTAAGGTCACAGATCAACAGGATCCCAAGGCAGAGGAATTTTTCTTAGTGCAGAACAAAATGAAAAGTCTCCCATGTCTACTTCTTTCTACACAGACACGGCAACCATCCGATTTCTCAATCTTTTCCCCACCTTTCCCGCCTTTCTATTCCACAAAGCCGCCATTGTCATCCTGGCCCGTTCTCAATGAGCTGTTGGGCACACCTCCCAGAAGGGGTGGTGGCCGGGCAGAGGGGCTCCTCACTTCCCAGTAGGGGCGGCCGGGCAGAGGCGCCCCTCACCTCCCGGACGGGGCGGCTGGCCGGGCAGGGGGGCTGACCCCCCCCCACCTCCCTCCCGGACGGGGCGGCTGGCCGGGCGGGGGGCTGACCCCCCAACCTCCCTCCCGGACGGGGCGGCTGGCCGGGCAGAGGGGCTCCTCACTTCCCAGTAGGGGCGGCCGGGCAGAGGCGCCCCTCACCTCCCGGACGGGGCGGCTGGCCGGGCGGGGGGGCTGACCCCCCCCCACCTCCCTCCCGGACGGGGCGGCTGGCCGGGCGGGGGGCTGACCCCCCCACCTCCCTCCCGGACGGGGCGGCTGGCCGGGCAGAGGGGCTCCTCACTTCCCAGTAGGGGCGGCCAGGCAGAGGCGCCCCTCACCTCCCGGACGGGGCGGCTGGCCGGGCAGGGGGGCTGACCCCCCCCCACCTCCCTCCCGGACGGGGCGGCTGGCCGGGCAGGGGGGCCGACCCCCCCCACCTCCCTCCCGGACGGGGCGGCTGGCCGGGCGGGGGGCCGACCCCCCCACCTCCCTCCCGGACGGGGCGACTGGCCGGGCGGGGGGCCGACCCCCCCACCTCCCTCCCGGACGGGGCGGCTGGCCGGGCAGAGGGGCTCCTCACTTCCCAGTAGGGGCGGCCGGGCAGAGGCGCCCCTCACCTCCCAGACGGGGCGGCTGGCCGGGCGGAGGGCTGACCCCCCCACCTCCCTCCCGGACAGGGCGGCTGGCCGGGCGGGGGGCTGATCCCCCCACCTCCCTCCCGGACGGGGCGGCTGGCCGGGCAGAGGGGCTCCTCACTTCCCAGTAGGGGCGGCTGGGCAGAGGCACCCCTCACCTCCCAGACGGGGCGGCTGGCCGGGCGGAGGGCTGACCCCCCCACCTCCCTCCCGGACGGGGCGGCTGGCCAGGCGGGGGGCTGACCCCCCCACCTCCCTCCCGGACGGGGCGGCTGGCCGGGTGGGGGGGCTGACCCCCCCATCTCCCTCCCGGACGGGGTGGCTGGCCAGGCTGAGGGGCTCCTCACTTCCCAGTAGGGGCGGCCGGGCAGAGGCGCCCCTCACCTCCCGGACGGGGCGGCTGGCCGGGCGGGGGGCTGACCCCCCCCACCTCCCTCCCGGACGGGGTGGCTGCCGGGCGGAGACGCTCCTCACTTCCCAGATGGGGTGGCTGCCGGGCGGAGAGGCTCCTCACTTCTCAGACGGGGCAGCTGCCGGGCGGAGGGGCTCCTCACTTCTCAGACGGGGTGGTTGCCAGGCAGAGGGTCTCCTCACTTCTCAGACGGGGCGGCCGGGCAGAGACGCTCCTCACCTCCCAGACGGGGTCTCGGCCGGGCAGAGGCGCTCCTCACATCCCAGATGGGGCGGCGGGGCAGAGGCGCTCCCCACATCTCAGACGATGGGCGGCCGGGCAGAGACGCTCCTCACTTCCTAGATGTGATGGCGGCCGGGCGGAGACGCTCCTCACTTTCCAGACTGGGCAGCCAGGCAGAGGGGCTCCTCACATCCCA
Organism: Homo sapiens; assembly: GCF_000001405.40. Taxonomy (NCBI): domain Eukaryota; kingdom Metazoa; phylum Chordata; class Mammalia; order Primates; family Hominidae; genus Homo; species Homo sapiens. The sequence goes on along the minus strand of NC_000005.10, from coordinate 167,858,976 downwards.
GACGATGGGCGGCCAGGCAGAGACACTCCTCACTTCCCAGACGGGGTGGCAGCCGGGCAGAGGCTGCAATCTCGGCACTTTGGGAGGCCAAGGCAGGCAGCTGCTCCTTGCCCTCGGGCCCCGCGGGGCCCGTCCGCTCCTCCAGCCGCTGCCTCCCGGGCGGCGCTCGCCGGCGCGGCGGCAAAGACTGAGACAGCTCCGCTGCCCGCTGAACTCCATCCTCCCGGCGGTCGGGCGGCGGCGGCTGCGGTCGGTCGCGGCAGCGGCTCTGCTTCATATCTGCAGCTGGTGCCCGCGGGCGTCAGCGCCGCGACTGTCCCGGCTCCGCACTGCCCCGGGCCGCAGCGCAGCCGCGCCAACCACCACCCGCGGCCACCATGGCCGGACGGGCTCCCTAAGCCACCGACCCCAGCCCGCGGCGCCTTCGAGCCTTCTCTTGACGTTGTTTTCAAATAATCATAGTTGCCAGGAAAGAAGCCACTACCAACCAGGGTAGAAATGCTGAAAGACTTAAAGTGAGTGAGGAGTTTGCATGTGAGGTGATACAATGATGTGCCATTTCAGACATGAACAAACATGTTCATGTGGGCAACTTGTAAAACCCATCATGGTAGAAGTGATGTGACAGAAATGTCAGCATTGGTTTGCACATGCAAAAATGCCCAGCTTCTTCCTCTTCTTATGAAGACTTGCAGACTTCCTCGTCTTATGAAGACATGGTACAGATGCAGAACAAAGGCTGTTGTGGCTCTTAGCTCACATTTTCTTCCCAGTCTCTGCAGTTCTGACATGCTAAATAAGCCTTAGAAGATGGGGCTCAGGTTGACCTGCTGTGTCTTGCTTTTGCTATGCTTCTGTTTAGAACTGCTTTCTAGTTGATAGCTCTGTCCCTGAGATTAGCAAAAGTCATAGAATGATCTAGATGAAGTCAAAGAAAGCTACGGAGAAAGTCCATTGAATGTTAGCTTTAGAGGGAACCTTAGATAATATCCCTGATCAACCACTTCACTTTGCTGATGAAAAAAATGTAATTCAGAAAGAGAATGCAGCTTTTTCTGGACCACACAGTAAGTTAGTGACCTGAGTCTAAGGCTCTATTTATTAGATAACACTCCTCTCCAGTACTTAAGTTTGGGGATGAGCAGAAAACCCAAAATTCAAATAAGGATGAAGAAAATCTGCCTTCATAGAAAATGATATAAATGGACTATAAATCTATAATTTTAATGCAGTATGTGTAAAATAATTACTCTGCTCCCCTCCCCCCTAATAAAACCAACCCACATATGACATTAGACTCTTATCTTCCAAACTATGGTCTTTGAAATATTGGGTTTTCTCAAGATAAAACATGTCCCAGGAAACAAGGGTTCCATGAACAAATAGTATATGCAGTATGAGATGGTATGGGAAGCATGTCCAGATCATAGGAAAGAGAGACCCAATGTACTGTAGGCCTGTATGAACACGTCTGAATTGGTTGGTGTATTCCATTCTAGGCTGACCTCTTAAGAGCCTAGTTGAGGCACTGAGCTGCCTAGGGGAAGAAATTCAGATTGATGTGTGTACTAGAAATAATTTAATACACTCGAGGCCCTGCAGTTCTTAACCCTGGAAGAGAGGTAAAGGACGTTGTAGCAATTCTCAAATAATTTAGCCATGTCCTATGAAAAACAGAATGGACATTTATAAGCTGGTTTGGAAAAAGAGCGAAATTCAAGCTGAATTTGGCTACGAAAAAGAGCCACATTCAGCTTGATAAATCTTGCATGTATCTATACCTCTCCTTTATACATGTTCCACTTGGTATCATGGCTTCTTTGGCATGTGCTGTATCATTCTTGCTAGAATGTAATCCACTCTGTAGTTCATTCAATGAACACATATGTATTGAATAACTACCACCTTTCAGGTTCTCTCCTAGGCCAGGGCATTGCTCTAGGTGGTTGCGGAATCTGCACTGTTTTAATCTTTCCATATCCCAAAGCTCCTAACAAAGTACATGTGCACAGAAAGTGATTAATAAATATTTGTTGACAAAAATGGATAAACATGTAAAGAGCTTTCTAACAACAGTTGTTGAACAACATCAGAATCAGCACCCTTGCAAAGTAACAAGCTCCTCATCCCAGAAATTATTTCAGCAGTCCTGAGCGGCTCTTGTCAGCAAGGCTGTAGACAATGTTTTGGCATTCAGTGGGAAGTAGGATTGTAGGCCCTTTAAATTCAGTTCCAGTCCTAAATCCCCATAATTTTGTGAACACTGCTCTCACAGCCCCGTGGGGAAAAGGAGACAGAAGATTATTTATGTCTCAAAAATAAGCAGTCTGCCCAGATATTCACCCTGCCCCACCAGAAGTCAGAGACACATTTGCTTTTCTGCATTCTGCATATCTGAAAAATTTCAGTTCCCAGCTGAAAATCGAGATCCATATAGATTCATGCATCCTTAGAGGACTTAACTTTATTTAAAGGAAACATGTCACTGTGTTGAAGCTTAAGCTCAAATTAATTATAACAAGTGTAATATTTGGCCAACCCTAGTTTCATGATTCAACATTCCTGCTTGATGGGTTTCCAGAGCTAAATGAGTCTATAACCATTCCCAACATAATAACCCATTTTGCTTTTACAACTGCTTTCATCTGTGGATCTCAAAGCGTGGTGCAAACAGTAATTAATGTTTGCTTGGGAGGTAAGGATGCATTTCCTCAGCTCATTTGGCAAAGTGGGGGCAGGAGGGGTGACTGGTCAATGTCCAAGCAGAGACGGGAATGGTGGCCTCTGTGTTCCCACTTATTTCTCCTATGATCCCAGAAAACGGGTCACATTGTTTGTTTAAGCAAAGAGGTGGCATATGTGTACCAAACTAAAATAGTTTGTACCCAGCCTAAGTGAAGTCGAAATAAGTGACTGTGTGGAAGATAAAAGGACTAACAGGGAATTTCCATCAGAGTTCCTAGACCAGCCATGAAAAGAGATTCTTGAACAATCCCTCCCTTCTTCCCTCCCTTCCCTCCTTCCTCCATCCCTTCTTTCTTTCCTCCCTTCCTTCCTCCCTCCCTCATTCCCTCCCTCCCTCCCTCCTTCCCTTCCTTCCTCCCTTCCTTCCTCCCTCCCTCATTCCTTCCCTCCCTCCCTCTCTCCCTCCCTTCCTTCCTTCTTCCCTCCCTCCTTTCCTCCCTTCCTTCCTCCTTCCCTCATTCCCTCCCTCCCTTCCTTCCTTCTTTCCTTCTTCCCTCCCTCCCTCCCTTCTTTCCTTTCTCCTTCCCTTCCCTCCCACCCTCCCTCCTTCCTTCCTTCCTTCCTCTCTTTCTTCCTTCCTCCTTCCATATTTTTGACACATATTCTTCGAGTGTCTAGTACATATCAGGCTCTATTATATAAACTGGGGTTATGAAGTAAAAAGCAAACAGTCCTTTCCTTCTGGGAGCTTATATTCTGGAGGGTAGAGAAGGGGCAATCAACACATAAATAACGGCAAAAACAACAGCAAATTAAACATAAATAAATATATTTACAGACACATGTATACGAACATATATATATGTATGCATATAAGCATATGTAAACACAACATATGTGTGTGTGTTTTCAAGGGAAAAGTAGAGAAAGGTAAGGAGAGTAGGGAATGGCAGAGTAGAGGTCAAGAGGTGGGTGCCATTTAATATAAGGTCATCAGGGAAGACCTCCCAGTTAAGATAACATTTGAACGGGACCTGGTGGAAGTGAGAGAGGGAGCCATGCTGATGTCTAGGGGAAGCACAAGAAATAGCACCAACACAGGCTCTGAGCTGGCTGCACATTTGGTATATTCTAGGAACAGCAAGCAGGTGAGTGCACCTGGAGTGGAATGAGAGATGGAGAAGAGGGAGGCCTCAGAAGCCACTGCAAGGTCTTTGACTTTTACTCTGGGTGAGACGGAAAGCTGATAGAAGGTTCTGAGGGAGGAGTGACAAGATACTACATATGGTTTAGCAAAGCCACTTTTGTTATTGTGTTAAGAACAAACCCAAGGGATGCAGAAGCAGGGAGACCCATAAGAATAATCCATCCAGGTCAGGGATGAGTGGGGGTGAGTCTTGGATGAGGGTGATAGTGACAAAAGTGACAAAGATCAGAATCTGGATGCATTTTGAAGGTAATGGCAATATGTTTGACTGATGGGTTAATGTGGGTTTGAGAGAAAGGAACCCAAAATGGTTCATGAATATACATATTTAAAGGGGCATCCTTCCTACCGCATTTACATATATATGCAATGTGCTTGCTTTAACACATAGCATAAGATATACGACATAACTGGGTTGAAAACCATTCCAAATATTTGAAAATGATGCCAATTGTTGCTTAGAAAACTCTTCTCAGACAGATAGGCAAATTATGGTTGTGTTCACAATTTTACCTCCAGCAATAAAGAGGTACAAAAAGGGCTTTTAGATGTTTTGGAACAGAACTGACAAGGTAGGCAGCTCCTTTTAGCTGACTTAATGAGATTTAATAAAAATCTAAGCAGAGAGGGTTGAACTTTCACCTTCATCCAGGCAAGAAGACGCAGCACATATTTCAGAGTTAAAAGTGCTCAACATATACAGGGATAGAGATGGTCCAAAAAATAAGCCTTTTTTTCCCCCTACAAACTCATATTCACATGTGGTACAGAGTAGTAAATTAATTTTGGTCTTGTTCTCTGATTTCTCCTTTAGCTTGACCTGATTTTCTTGCAAGCCCCAGGCACAGTTAATTTAGGGAGGGGTAAGTGTATATATTACAGAATATGTTATTTGTGAGTATGTGAGTAGATGGAGATCTTTGCTGAAATATTAATACAGCATCTTTTTATCATTATTTATAGGAGAACTATATCTTCAGGGCTTTTAAAATAAAAAGAAATGGAAGATAGGTGATGTGAAATTATTTTTTGGTGTTCATACCCTTTGGTTGATATATAAATAATACAAATGAAATGGTAAACAGCACTAGGGGTACAATTACTGAATAAGTAGAAATGTAGATTCACAACAGTACAATGTTCCCAGTTGTTTTCATGATAGGGAAGCAGCTATTTATGTAAAGCTTAATAAGACTTTTTTTGTGGTCTTATTTGAATTTTGCTGTTGTTGAGTTATTTTATCACAAAACTGGAAGAAGTATTTGCATCTACAAAGTGGAAAATCTAAAACTTACATGGGAAATGTCCATGAATATACAACTTCAGTCTGCACAGAATAAGTGAAAAGCAAATTGCAATAGTCTATGGAATGAAATTGTTGCTTAATTGGTTCCGAGTGACCATTCTAGAAAGGCATGCCATATTAAGGGTGGAGAAATTACTTCAACCTTTCCAGTAAAATATGCCAAGTCTTGTAAAGAAACATAAACATTTGCCTTAAAATAGCAACAAAGGAAACATCGCCAGAAAATCACATTGCAGCCAATCCACTTGAAAGTATGTTATGAGTGAAATTTCCTCTTCTCAAACTGAGCCTCGATTAAAATGGATGTCTCACCCCTGTAAGCTCCCACGGGGTCACAGAACCTTATTTATTTAAATTAGCTGGTTGTCTCACGAGAGTTCTACCCATGGAGCGATTTGAAAACTCATTAGTGCCATGTTATTTTTAAATTCCACAGAACATTCTCAAATAGAGCCCGATCACTTTCTTTTTTTTTTTTTTTTTTTTTTTGAGACGGAGTCTCGCTCTGTCTCCCAGGCTGGAGTGCAGTGGGGCGATCTCGGCTCACTGCAAGCTCCACCTCCCGGGTTCACGCCATTCTCCTGCCTCAGCCTCCTGAGTAGCTGGAACTACAGGCGCCCGCCACCACGCCCGGCTAATTTTTTTTGTATTTTTTTAGTAGAGACGGGGTTTCACCGTGTTAGCCAGGATGGTCTCGATCTCCTGTCCTCCTGATGCGCCCGCCTCGGCCTCCCAAAGTGCTGGGATTACAGGAGTGAGCCACCGCGCCTGGCAGAGCCCGATCACTTTCTTAAGAACAAAAAATTGTGTCCCACTGAAGAGCCTCCTTTGTGATGGGATGCACACCAGTAAATCATAATACCAATAAACAGAGGTTTCCATCTTCCGACTTTCTTCTATCACTTTGTGGGTAACAAATTCAGCTCATAATGACACCCACTATTAAAATTGGACTCACATTAGGATGGCTGTATTCCTTTTTGTCTAATTCTGCAATTTCTTGAATTCTACGAGTACACACAACTTCAAATCCCATGTTAAAGAGAAATATAAAAGAGCCGATCATGCAGATTTGGTTCCTAGAAGACTCATACTCAGCTTATACAGTACATAGAGACACGAAAGCAAAAATACACCAATTACCATTAAGCCAAGATCTAAAGAGATCAATGCATGGGCTAACAATTGGGTGCTGTCAAATGTTAAAACTACTAAATTCTTGTCTTGTTAAATCATCTGATGGCCGTTTCTTCTTTAGTTAAATAGGGATAAATAATAAAAAACAATTTACAGCTAAAAGATGCTACCGTTTTGCAGCTGCTGAATGTCTTTTGGGGAGATTAGATTCCATAATGAGGAGATATAACCATCATTTTATAAAAGCTGTTGCTGTCTTGGGAAAAACACCACTGAAAACGATTAGAAAAAGCCTTTCCTTCATGAACCTATTACAGTCATGCGCTGATTGCTTGGCATATGCTTAATGATATCTTCATAGCTGAAAAACAATAATCGATTACTGTAAATCTTGACATAATATATTAAGTTCAATTGTGCTTTTATTAGTTCTACTTTTGACTTAAGTGGTTCAAGCTTGGAAAACCTTACAAACGTTGAAAAGCAAGTCAACTGCCTACAATTTTAACAAATATATATACACACATATTTCCCAATAGCTTAATTGGAAGCCTTTCTGAAATAATTTAAAAACCATTTCAAGCATCCTCTGCTACTGGTTCTCTATTGAGTTTATCAAAGATATGATAATGTGGGAGAGAATTAAGGAGTGTGACACATTTCATCTATAGTACAGACATAGGCAATAAAGAGCTGATATTATCTTTCTTCCTTTAAAAAAATTATAGGATAAATTAAGACAGTATCAATTGATATAACTCTAACAGTCTGAGGCATTCCTAAAAGAGACAATAATTCCTTGGCTACTTTATTTTTTACATGGGAGAAATGAAGGGAAGACGAAGGAACACAGCATTCCTATTTCCTTTTCTTCCTCCCCATCTTCCTCCCAAACAAGAGAGCTGCGGGAATCTCTGGCGGTCCTCAGCAGAAAAACCCAAGCAAGTCTTGGCTACAGGACTTCTTTTTTCTGTTGCTGTTTCCCACAAAGACAGGAATGTCCTCAATCAAAGCTTAAGCCCTGGAACTTTTTTATTCTTTATAGTCAAAAGTCTACCCTCGGGCTCTGGTATTGCTACATCCAAGGCCCAAACCAGAGGCTTTCAGGGAAAATTTTTATACCTTAAAACAAGAAGATGAATAACATCTAGAAAGGATATGGATAACAGCTCTTTCTCCCCTTACCAAATATTTCAATAGTGCATGAAACCGTGAAAAATCTTGCTTAAAATCCTTGGTGATTATGATAAATTTGGATATATAAATATACACTAAAATTATTCCTTGTAATCTGATTTTTTATAAAGTCAATGACTATGCACACAAGCATTAATCTAGCTTTTCTTGCAAGGCAAAAAACTCCATTGCAGGACTCAGAATTCATGAGTCAGAGGACAAACTGAGATAAAATTGGCTCTCTCTCACAGTTTATCCCCTCTGCCACCACCCCCAGATGATAACACACATCAACAACCCCCCAGTTAAGCTTCCACTTACTCCAATCAACATAATTTCCAAGTTGGGAAGTAAAAATCTCCAAGACGGCTGACACATTTCTTCATAAGTAGGTTTCAAGGCTTTGCTCTTTGCTGCTGGGTTCCTTGGAGAAATTTATCTCCTGGGATTAGGGCAATAATTAGTGATTCATGCACCCTAAGAGTGATAGTACTAGGTGGGAAAGATTACAGCTTCGTGAATGAACATGAGAAAATTCAGAGTTGTAATGATTTAGCATTTTTAATGCCAAACCTTATCTATGTCACACAAATCCCTGAATCCAGCACTACAGAGCTACTATTAACTCGTTGCAAGCTAATTGGGGAAAAAATGAAGCCAGCCCTTGGATACTGGTTGAGGGTCCAGGTTTCTTTCCTTCTTGTCACAGCCCAGGTGGTTTGGAGAGGAGCTTCCCTTAAAATATCAAGAAAGTATTAGCTTTGCAGCCCCCATCCTCCAGAGTAGTCCCCAGGAAGTTATTTACCAGCGTTTCCTGTTTCATATTTATTGCTTTGCTTACTCTCAGAAGCTGGGCTACATCATCTCTGGGGTAAATGTGGGAGAAAGAAAGGAATTTTCTCATTTAAAAATTTCTCATTTTAAATTTTGAACTCGGGAGGATTTAAATTTTGAACAATGTCTTCTCTCTCTGCCTTATATTCTAGTACAGTCCCGAGTCTGTTCTAGTACACCTAAGTCCTAGTGGAATCCCCTTCCTTAATGAATCCCCTAACTCCACTCTGCCACAGCCTCACAGGGCCTGTTAGAATGAAGGTTACAGAGTGGAGAGCTTCCTCTCTCAACCTGGCCTTGTGGTAGCTCAGAAAGTATGTGGTGTGCACAGTAATGGTCCCCAAATCATCCAGGTTCTAATTCCTGGACCCTGTGAACATGTTACTGTGATATTGTGAAATATCCTGGTTCCTGGCATACAATTCCTAAAATCCTTGGTATCTCTGGAGATATGAATGTCTTTTGTCTTCTAAAGTCTTTTGTCTTCTCATGAGACGACTGGTGGCTGGGGTCATCTTGATAGCTTTGGGATGTGGGGGCTGGTCACCAGAAGACCAAGGCATGATTAGAGTGTTGGGACTTTCAGCCCATCCTCCAGCGAGGAGAGAGGAGTTGAAGGTTGAGTTGATCACCCACGGACAATGATGCAATCAATCCTGCCTTTGCACTGAGGCCTCCATAAAAAACAAAACGAATAGGATTTGGGGAGCTTCTGGATAGCTCAATCTGTGGAAGTTCCTGGAGGGTGGCATACTTGGAGAGGCATGGAAGCTCCACACCCCTTCAATCTTACTTGCCGTATGCATCTCTTCTATCTGGCTGTTCATCTGTGTCCTTTGTAAAATTCTTTATAATAAATGGATAAATGTAGGTAAAAATGTAGGTAAAATATTTCCTTGAGTTCTGTGAATCCCTCTAGCAAATTAATAGAACCCAAGGAAGGGGTCATGGGTCCTCTGATTTATACCAGGTCATTTAGAAGCACAAGTCACAACATGGGACTTGTGATTAACATCTGAAGTGGGAGCAGTCTTGAGGGACTGGGCCCTTAACCTGTGGGATCTGATGCTACCTCCAGGTAGATAGTGTCAGAATTGAATTGAAGTAGTGGACACCCAGCTGGTGTCCACTGGAGAACTGATTGGTTGCTGGTGGGCAGAAACCCTTGAACATGATGGTAACCAGAAGTGAAGTGTTCTGTGTGTTGAGTGTGAGTGGAGAGAGAAAAAATGATTGGATTTTATTTTTTCATCAGAATAAAGTGTCAGAAGTGTGAGAGTGGGGAAAAACAATTTTTTTTCCTGTCTCTGGTAGTTGGTGCACATGGTAAAAAGGAATTTGCAGCTGTAATAAGTTAAAGATCTTGAGATAAGGAGATAAGAGGGGGCAGGAGGGTTAGCGGTCTAGGAGATATGACCACAGAAGCAGATGTTGGACTGATGTGAGGAAGGGGCTATGAACCAAAGAATGCAGGCAGCTTATAAAAGCTGGAAAAGGCAAGGAAGTAGATTCTCCCATGGTGTCCCCAGAAGAAATGCTGTCATGTTGACACCTTGATTTTATTCCATTGAGACTGCTTTTAGACTTCTCACTTAGAGAACTGTAAGATAGATCATCCATTTTCATTGTCTTAAACCACCAAGTCTGTGGTAATCTGTTACACCAGCAATAGGAAACTAACACAATATACAATGTGGCCAAAAAAACCCAAAAAACAAAAAGCAAACAAAAAACTAGCCTGCTTTAAGTGGTCCATCTAATCTAGTGTCAGGATCACCCGTAGCAGGGGGTTGGGAAAGGGGTAGAAGTGGGGAAGACGTTTAGCCTCCCAAATTTTTCATCAAGGAAACCAACCTCTCTGACAGTTTTTAAATCAACCATAAATGGAAATAACATTGATACTGTCAGCTCTGGAAAAAAGTCACCAGAGAGTGAACCAATGTCTCAACAACTACCCAAGGAGAAAAAGTGCTTAGAGCAGTAGCTTTTTAGCAATGACTGTCCGAGAAATCATTAAGAGGATGGCTCTACATAGTAGAAACATACAAGTCTATTCCTTGGTTCTAATGCTGCTCTCTGGAGCAGAGTTGGCCCTGTGGCAGCCCACTGGCCTCATTTGGCATATAGATATATGTGTGTGTATATATGAAGATATATACATACAAAATATATAATATGTTTTATATATATATATTTGCCAAAGCAGTAAAACAGTGTTTTTTTCTTTTAATTGAATTTTAGTGGCTTTGATTTACATATGCACTCTCCACTTTACCACAAACCCCACCATGCCCTCTTATTTCATTCATTCATATTGCCTAGCTGATCATTATGGACACTTGGGTTTTCAATTGAAGGGTAAGATCTATGGCAACTCTATTATGCATTCACTATTTAACACTTTGAAGAACTCTCATGACCTATTCAGTTCTCACGATCCACTCAGCTCTCATGACCTACTCAGCCATTCATTGTAGTCCACTGAAGTCTATTTCTCTACATGTTCCTAATGATGTACCACAGGGCTCTGTTATTGGGCATGCTCAGCAGGTATGTTGAGAAACACATAAGGAGAGAAACGGTCATCTTATCTGTAGGGAACATAAAGCTAGAAGAATGAACATATATTCTGGAAAATAATAAAGATCCAAATATGTCCAAATTACCCAAACTGAAATCTAAAGGGTAAGTGTAAAGTGTTGCACTTAGGTTAAAAGAAAAATAAAACTGTTAGTAGTAGATGGGAAAATATGACTGAACGGAAGCAAATATAAAAAAAGGCTTTGGAGTTTTATATCAGTATAATCTCTGCATGAGACACAGATTAATATGTTTGGCCCAAATAAACCACGAATAGAAGTCAAAGTTCTAATGAAAAGAAGCTGTACTTCTTCCAGTTTTGCTCTGAGATTTAGTCAGAACATACTCATAGATACAGAAACATTTCAAAATGAACATCTGTATTGAAGGTGTTCAGAAGTAAATGGGCAAATGGTGGAGATGCGCTAACTTTCAGTGAGGTGAAGGTATGAAGGAATCTAGGATTCTCAGGAGAACTGGAGACTTGGACAGACAGGGTCTTGTGTGTACAGGGGAAGGTTCAACTCAGGCTATGCAGTCCAGTCCTGTGCAAGGAGGTTGGCATTTGATTTGTTTATTTGCAGAGGGCATAACAGAGACCAAGGAATAGAAGTGATAGAAAAAATGAGTTTGGGTTAATAGAATAGTAGATTTTCTAGTGATTTGATCAGTACACAAATGAAATGGGCTTTCTTGTGTGGAAGTGAGTTCACTGTGGGTGGAGGCATTTAAGCAGATGTTAGATGGCCCTTAGAGAGGATGTTAGAAAAGACATTTATGTGGGATAAAGATAGGGTGAGGCTGGGCATGGCGGCTCATGCCTGTAATCCCAGCACTTTGGGAGTCTAAGGCAAGAGGATCGCTTAAGCCCAGGAGTTCAAGATCAACTTGGGCAACATAGTGAGACTCTATCTCTACAAAACATCTTTAAAAAGTAGCCAGGCATGGTGGTGCATACTCGTAGCCACTTGGGAAGCTGAGGTGGGAGGATGGCTTGAGCCCAGGAGGTTGAGACTGCAGTGAGCCTTGATCACACCACTACACTCCAGCCTGTGTGACAGAATGAGATCCCATTTCCAATCAATCAATCAATCAATCAATTGAAATGACTTCTGTGGTCCAATCCAAAAGGAAGATTCTCTGATGCTGTGCCCTTCCTGTCCTCAGGATAACGCACAACGATCTTTGGAATATGATTCTGCAGTTTCAATTCACACAACCTTCTTTCAGAGGAGGTAGAAGAGGGGAAGACAAGTTTATTTATGTGAACCAAAAGGTGCCACTTAAGGAGAATCCAAAGAGGCTTTCTTGTTCAATAAATTGGTCCTTGGTGAACCTCAGCCTTGGGAATGTTTATATACATATTTGGGGGTATTAATTTGTAAATCAAAGAAACCTAAAATATTCTAGCATTTAAATTTTTAATGTTATTGAAACATTGAAGCATTTTTCTCTGTGGCTTCATCTCAATCTTTTGGAAGATTCTTGGCATCACAGAAACAACACCTGAGCATTCTAAAAAAGACTCCCCAGCACTTCTAGGCTTCCTGGGGATAAACATTTTCTAGCAATCCGCATGCTGCTGATGGCCAGAGCTTCTCTTGCCTTCTCTTTTCTGATTCAGGATAATTCCGAAATGAAATGACTTGCCATTCAGGCACAGTGAATTCATGCAGATGGAGAAGAAATTTAGGATGGGAACTCTGGACTGAGCACTTTTCTAAGTTGTGTTGTAGTGTGTGTTTACTAACACTTCAAATTCATTCAACCAATATTCACTGGGGGCTGACTACGTGGCAGAAGCAGTGCCAGACACAAGGAAAGTGACATGGAACCAGACACAGTCTGTGTCCTTGAGGAATCCACACTTCAGTGAGGGAGATAGACATGTAAATAGGTGGCTGCATTGTCAACCTGGTAGCTACTATGAAAGGGACCTGCTTTCAGGGACATTGCAACCCAGAAGAGGGTGCAGTGAACTCTGCCTGGGGAAGGTGAGGTCAATGACAACTGGAGAGAGAAGGTGATTTTAGAGTTGGGCATTGCGAAGAAGATGGGGTGAAGGATGAGGCTGGAAGCAGCTGTTGAGTGACATCAAATGGATGAGAGAATGCTAAGTGGAAAGGTCACTGTAGGAGCAGTCGGGCCAGCTGTCCAGGTTCCTTTCCCTGCCTCCATCTAACAAGTTTAGTTGACTTTCTGATGCTTCTGTTTTCAATGTGAAATGGGGAAAATGGAGTCTCATGCACCTACTTTCCAGGGCTATTTTGAAGACAAAATGAGATAATCAGCGAAGAGTGTTTTTGAAAACAGGTTAAGAATGGTAAGTCTAGGCTAGGGATCACAAACCCTACAGCTCTAAAGCTTCCACAATATTCTGTCTATTTGTCTGTCTGTAGTTATGACACTGAATGCCTTCAGTGGGGTACATATTCCCCCCACTATTCCCATATTTTATTCCATATGCCAGCTGTTTTAAGCATCTATGTGACCTGCCCAACACTGGAACAAGTTAATGTTAAAGGGGTCTGTACAAAGTAATATGGAAATCATGAATATTTTTGAGTCTGGATCTTCCTCTTAGACAGTAGGAAAGTGATGCATTGTTCTGAGCTGCGACATTAATGAAGGTGATTAAGAACAGGTCTTGGAAGTTAAGATTTATTTTTCATACAGCCCATTTAAATGAAAATAAAGACCTTTCCATTCCTGCCCAAGCAAGACTGCAGTAATGGCCTGAAAAATTCAGAGAGAGAGAGTGGGGCCGTGTTGTGTGTGTGTGTGTGTGTGTGTGTGTGTGTGTGTGTGTGTGGCGCGGGAGGGGGGGACTCGGGGGAAGGGGTAATAATGATGGTGAGGGCTTCTACTTGTAAAACATTAAAACAAAAACGTCTGTGACAATGCTTTAATTTAAATTATACCCTAAATGAAAATGCATTTTTACCTAATTTGGAAAAAATGACAAACAAGACTGAACGTTGGCTTCTGGATGGGTCTCCTTGGCAGTCTGGTCCATAATACAGTGCATCTTACAGAGAGAGGTGTAAAGAGGTACCTGGGTGATAACAGACATTCACTAATTCAGCATAGAGGGAGAGAGGGAGGAGGATATTAGAGAAGTGTTAGGAGAAGACTAAAAGAGAAAGATAGAAATACTGAAGGGGCGAAGATAGAAAAGTCTACGAAGGATTTTTTTTTTTTTTTTGGCCACTACCAAACTCCTAAAATAAAATTTACATACCTGAAAACCCCCAAACTCAAACCTGCATTGAGATAAAGGCAATTAGATCCAGTACGGCAGAAGAGAATCATGGCAGACAGATGGAAGGAGAGCTTATGCACATGAGTTTGTCTGAAATCTATTGTTAAACGGAAAATGTCCACCAAGTAATTTGCTATATTTCAGTTGAAAATGCCATCTTATAGCAGGTGCACCACTTCCCCTTTTGTCCCCCAATTTAAAAGCCATTTACAAATGCATCCTGGTGATTCAGACCAAAGAATTACCAAACCCAATAACACAACAAGGCTGTGTAGGAAACTGAACTTTGTTTGCACAATTAGGAGACACTCACGTGCACATTCCATAAATGACAAGGTTCCTGCAGCAAATTAACAAGAACAATTTTCCCATCTCAAGAGCTGTCAAGATGGGCCCTGTTGGCCAATTTGTCTTACTCTAGCACATCTCTGGTGCTTGTCAATCAATATGTGAAACATTTGGTGCTGATTGCCATTTTTCTCTCCATTTCCTTTTGCCTCTTGTACCAGGCAATTTACTGCAAGTCAATCAAGGTCGAAGCCGACCTTGTTTAAATAAAACACTGTTGAGCTCTTTTCACATCAACGATTTCAAAGACAGAATGAGCTGTATCTTTTACATTTACATTTATACTACTTTTTTTTCCCACTGGTTCTCCTAAAATGCTATCCTTGAGTCATAAGTCATAACTAAAGCCACCTGGACACTGAGCAAACTAAGCTGTACAGGCAGTAAGGAAACATATACTTTCAATGTATATCTTCACTATAAAGATTAACTCAGCCAAAAGAGATGCCTCACCAGTGAAAGCATGCTTCTGACTGTTTTGCCTACCATTATCCAGCCTTAATTTGAAGTAGGGCCACACAGAAGAAACAATATACCCCAAATCATCAGAGCTTGATAACACAAAGTAGCAATTTCAAGTGTTTTCTCTGAAGATCATCTCCTATAGTTGAAAGAGAGTTTTAGAATACTTTGGTGATAGTCCCTATTGTTATAATGGGTCCAGCATAAACCTTTATCATCATTATTATTATATTCATGGAAAAGAAAAGTGGAGGAGAGGAAGCAGCTGAGCCTATTAAAGTACTTGAAAACAATCTGCTCACAGGTTTTGTTTTCAAACCTTCTTTTTCCTGCAAACCATCTATAATCTCTATTTTCCTGAATAAATCAGGCTCTATTTGTTTAGGAAAATATTATTTTGTACCCCCTCCCCCACCAACCCTACAAATATTAAGAATACAGAGTGAAATAAGTCCTGGTTAAATGTGACTCTCAAATAAACAAATACAGTTGGACAAGTATAGACTTTCTTGAAAATAGTAACAGACAGTTTAACTGCTAAGGTTGTGCTAAGCTCTCAAAATGATTAATTCGAAATGGATGCTTTTCAAGTGTCTACTATGTATATGTAAGACACAGTTTGGTGCTTTCAAAAGTGCGATTTCCCTCATTTAAATCTAAAACAAACACACAAGCAAACAAAAACGTCCTCAAATTCTCAGAGCAAGCATGATCCCTATCTTCTTATGCCAAATGTAATTTTATTGGGCTTAAACGTATTTCGAGTTAGCCCATGGTCTTATTGTGTTTCATCATTTGTCAGAAGTCACTACTGATGCAGTCACTCTTCCATTAAACAGTTATGTATTGAGTGTCTACTGTGCACTGGGCATTGAGGACACAATGGCAGGCAAAATTGTGGGAGTTTCACGGACCCTAGAGTTGGGTCATGGTACTAGATACCAATACAATCATCTCAAAAATCAAAGTGTTGTTGCGAATTGAGGTAAGTGCTATGTAGGAGGCATTTCATCGTGTCCTAAAACAGGCTGGTGAATGAGAAATGCTCCATGGGGATGCAAGCCTTCAGTTGAATTCTAACTGATAGGAGCCAACTGTGTTAGCCCAGCACGGCTAAGTGTGCGCCACTGGCCTCATCCAATCAGCGTTTGATGAGATAAATAAAGGAGATTAGAGCTAAGGGTTAGACACTTCTATAGTAGCTTGACACTGCCACAAGGAAGCAAAGCACTTGCTCAGTAGACTCAGCTCCTTGAGTGGTATAATGGCAACCTTGAATGGGGAGTCACATGGGGTGCAAACTCTACCTGGGTTTGTGCAGAAGAGCCATATATAAATGGTCTCTGAGGAACTGGGGGATAAAAGGGTTCTTTTTTTTTTTTTTTTTTTTTTTTTTTTTGACATGGAGTCTGGTCCATTTCCCAGTTCAATGGCATGATCTCGGCTGACTGCATCCTCCACCTTCCAGGCTCAAGCAATTCTCCTGCCTCAGCTTCCCAAGTAGCTGGGATCACAAGCATGTGCCACCATGCCTAGCTAATTTTTGTATTTTTAGTAGAGATAGTCTTTCACCAAGTTGGCCAGGCTGGTCTTGAACTCCTGACCTCAGGTGATCCAACCGCCTCAGCCTCCCAAAGTGCTGGGATTACAGGCATGAGCCACTGCACCTGGCCTAAAGTTTTTTTTGTTTTGTTTTGTTTTTTTGTTTTTGTTTTTGTTTTTAATCACAGGCAGCTTGTAAAGCTCTGCTCTGAGGAGACAAACAATATCATCCCACTATCTAGTGTCCATGAGGCCGAATGCTTCTTTTAGAGTACTACAGATGGCAATGACGCCAGCTTCTTGGTCTGAGATGGCAGCAAGATGTCTGGGCAGTAAGAGCAGTGAGCCTTAGGGCTATGGTTATGAGATGTGCTAGGATCACAGGGTTGAATTTGGTCAAAAAGAATTCACGGTTCTTTTGGCTATACAATGTGTAAAATACAAGTTAACTGCATGTATGTGTGTGTATATATAGAGAGAGACAAAAACATATAAATATACATACATATATACATATATGAATATACATATATAAAACATATTAATAAAAAGTTTTAAAAATGTAACAATCAAAAAAGACAAAGGCAAAAACAGAAGTGCAGGTAAAGGAACTGTTTCAGATAAAGGGGACGAAAGGGAAAAGATAACTAAATGCAATATGTGATCCTGAAATGAACCCTGGACTAGAAAAAAAGGTCTATGAAGGCTACTATTGGGGCAACTGATAAAAGTTGAATATAGACCAAGGACTAGACAATATAGGATATCAGCGCTAAATTTCTTGGTTTTGGTAATTTTACTGGGTTATGTAACAGAATGTCCTTCTTCTTAGGAAAGACACACTGAGTTGTCTGGAGGTAAAGAGGCACGATGTGCATGGGGATCTCACCCTTAATTAGTTAAAAAATAATATACACGCTTGTGTGGGGAAGCTGGGAGAGAATGATACTGCAAATGGCAAAGTGGCACATATATATACACAAGGGGTAAATCTGGGTAAAAGGCATAAGGGTGTTTTTTCCACCATTTATGTAATTTTGAAATTATATCAAAATGTTAAAGTTACAAAAATGAGAATGACGGCAGGGTGTGGTAGCTCATGCCTGTAATCCCAATACTTTGGGAAGCCAAGGCGGGCAGATCACCTGAGGTCAGGTTCGAGATCAGCCTGCTCCAACATGGTGAAACCCCATCACTACTAAAAATACAAAAAATTAGCTGGGCATGGTGGTGGGCGCCTGTAATCCCAGCTACTTGGGAGATTGAGGCAGGAGAATCACTTGAACCTGGGAGATGGAGGTTGCAGTGAGCTGAGATCATGCCACTGTACTCCATCCGGGTTGACAGAGCGAGACTCCCATCTCAAAAAAAAAAAATGAGGATGACAATTTTTACATAAAAATGACCTATTCTTCCAATGAATGGACAGCCTGCCTAGATGGCATGTGGTTGCTCCGACAAATTGGGTGTGTTGTGTGAAAAAAAGTGATGTTGCAAGGTCTCTGTCAGCAGCATTAAGAGTCACTGGCACAATTACCCCACAAACGGAGGGCTGGGAGTGCTGCACAGTTCCCTAGGCAGCTGTGATTTTCAACCCAGTCTGACATATTATTATAGACCACACATTGTTTTTTTGACATTAATTCATTTGTGATCTTTACTGCCACGCTGAGTATCTTATCTCGAGGTGGTCCTTAATGGTGCATGGTATATTTTATTGATGTTTCTTTTATTCTGGTGTTTTTCTTCCTCATGATTATGTCTGTTGTTGCTCCCTGTCTCCTTCAAAATGCTACTCTCTTGTGAGACTAGGCACTGCTTGGAGGTTTAATGAGGCTTCTAGACGGTTTGCTGATTTATCAGGTTCTCAGTTAACATTGTGGGGGGCTGGGGGAGGAAGGAGGGGAGACGCGGTTAGGTGCTCCAGGATGAACTTAGCGAATTCAGTTTGCATCGGGTTCATTTTTATGTCTGCAGAATTTGCCAAAGAGTGACATTCAGTTATAACAGGATCTGTATGGGAGAAATACATGTGTTCCTTGAATTTCTCCCATCATTTCTCTCTCATGATATTTTTTACAAGTATCATTATTAGATCCATGTGTCACACTGTAGAGTTGGATCCCAAAGCCATTTGTTTGCTTAGCATTAAAGTCAGGGGCCAAGCTCTGCTTTTTTGGCTCTGAAGTCTCTGTCAAAGTTAAAATTTTATTTCTCTATAATCAGACCCTCAGATCAAATGATTACTTGCTGCCACTTTTAGCCCTTCCTTATGGGCAAAGCATTTGCTGGGTTGGCCTTGAATAAGGAAAGTTTGGGTTGGGTGTGGTGGCTCACGCCTGTAATCCCAGCACTTTGGGAGGCCGAGGCGGGTGGATCACCTGAAGTCAGAAGTTTGAGACCAGCCTGGCTAACACGGTGAAACTCCGTCTCTACTAAAAATACAAAAAAATTTAGCAGGGCGTGGTGGCGCATGCCTGTAATCCCAGCTACTTGGGAGGCTGAAGCAGGAGAATTGCTTGAACCCGGGAGGCGGAGGTTGCAGTGAGCCAAGACCGTGCCACTGCACTCCAGCCTGTACAAAAAAAGCAAAATTCCATCTCAAAAAAGAGAGGAAAGCTTGTGAATTAGATAGGTAATTTAATTTTTTTCCTAACATTGGAAAATTTTCTGTCACTAAAAAATAAAACAAATAAGCAAAAACTGGTATTCCTTCCTTAGAGAAACTGCAAACACTGCATGTGCTCATTGCTAATAAGGGGTATATTTTCAATATCAATAGAAATTAGGTCATTATATTGGAAGACAGGGCATTACATTCACTTTACATTTTGGTCTCCATTCTTTAAACACATACATACATACACACACACACACACACACAGACACCTCACACTTTTTCATTTCTGAAATGACAGCCAGTTAAAAAAATCCATACATCAGGGCCTATCTAACCTCTTCGTTTTTTCTTTTCTAAAAGCTATGATGCCTTGGTTTTCGATGCTAACAAATGTCATATGACAGGTTCACCGATTTACTGTTCTGCACCCTTTTTAATTATGGATGTATGAAGGAAAATTTCACTGAGGAAAACAATAAATCATCAGTGAAATTATTTGTTCGTTGAATGAGCTGAATAAACAGTTGCCTTCGGGGCAAAGATTCATCTGGCATCTCTTAAGTCATCCCATATTTTTTCCTTTCTATTCTCATGAAAAGCAGGACTGGGCCTGTAAGAATCAACTGGGAATGTGGGTGTCATTGAGAAGCAGAGGAACCAGTAAACACCCGACTCACAGATGTCCTGAGTGTTAAACGAAAGGATTTTTGTCAAGTTTTAATCATAACAATGACAATACTTATCAACACTCATTGAGTGTGCTTTGTGTACCTGTGTCATTTCATTTGATTCTCACAACAACCCATTTCCCTATTCCTATTTCACTCAAAATAACACCCTAAACTAGAAAGCAGCAAGCCCAGAATTTGAACCAATTTCTGACTCCACGCCCTGCGGTCTCAGCCATCAGGTGCTTATAAATTTCCCCAAAGAAAGCCACACTTCCTCAAAGAAGTCCTCATTCATTATTTAAGCTTTAAAAAGAACAAACCCAAGTTCACGGTTGAAACCCCGATCTATAATTTTGCTTTAGACTTATAGAATCCTCTTTTTTCCTGTATAGGTGATGAAAAAAGCAGATTTTCCAGTGCCTCCTCTCAGAAAACCGAGCTTGATCAAAGTATGCAAAGTAGGCAAAGAATCGGCTGAGATAGGAATCACAGAAAAATGTGCTATCATATGAGTTTTTAGGAGGAGGTGAGGGAAATAAGAGTAATGAGATTATTAGTTTCAATTTGAAAGCATGGAATGTGTCAGCAATTATAACTAACTGTTGCTATTTTTATAATAAATGTCACCCTCAGAGTTCCAAGCAGACAGTAAGCAATGGAAGCTTCCATGTAGGAATCAGTTTAGTGTCCTTCTTTCATGTCCCTGTTGAACTAGTCCAAAAAGTTATGAAGAAACATGGCCACTTTGAACGCATTCATACAAATAGTACTGACAGTTTTCAAGCTAGGACAAATATCTCAGCTTTGGACTTCCTCCCACAGCAGCCAGTCAGCTGCCTGTAGAGAATCCCATAAATATCTCGGCTGGAACATTTGTTTGAAGATACTTAAATGGACCCTGGAGATCCCAACATTGGAAATAGATTTGAGCCAGGTAATCAGATATTCACTGCCGACCATTTCTGTGGCTACTGTTGTATCACCAAGCATCAGATTCCTCGTCATTATACTTATCAGCCATTGCTTTATGTCAGAAGTTGCCAACTTGTGTGGAGTGAATTGCTGTGAGTTAGTATTTCACACTAGTGGTTCAAGTCGGTATTTCTTCTGGGCATTTCCCATTTGCCTCAATACTAAACCAGGTGGGGATGCACAAAGGGATTCACTTGGACATTCTGAGGGGAACCAAAAGGAGGATGAAGGGGCCCTGGGAAGTGGAAGACAGACTTCAAGGTCCCTGGGACAGTTTTGTTTGTGGTTTCATATGCTGCGCTAAGTAGATGCACTAAGATGCACCTACTGCAAATGCGTAAGAGCGTGAAGGTGGCAGAAAAAAAAAAAACCAAGCCCTTTTTCAGGTAGCATGGGAACTAGTTGTGTGGTTGGAGTCTATTGTTCTTTGGCACTGAACACCTACTTGGTAGTCTTGAGTCAGAGCAATCTTAAGAGATTTTTAAAAAGCACAGAGAATTTAAAGTTTTAACTGTGCAAATAAGAATATGGATATCTTAATAGAAAGTGGATGAGGTGGGGTGAACATGCCATTCACAATGTATACCTATGCTCTCCTTAATACATAAAAATGTTTGTCAGCATCTTTTGGTCAAATTAATGTAACCTTTAGAAATGAATGAATGCTATGTTTTAGACTAGTAATGAAACCAACATTTTAATAAATGTTAACATCTAGTGCTGGGAAAAATATGGGAAGTCATCCCTCTCATATACTGATGAGAGAGCGTATTTTGATCTACAACCTTTTTGGAGGGTGATTCAGCAGTAGGTTCATACTCCTGAATCACTCACCTTGTAGGATGTTTTCTTGAGGTAATTATCAGTGATGTATACAAAATATGCAGGGTGGCTCACTCTTTCAGCTTTTTGTAATGGTAGAAACCAAGAAATTTAATATCCAACAGGGGTGGAATGCTTAAATAACCAATGGCGAAACTACATATTGAATCACATGTAGTCCTTACAAATAAAATTTTACAAGAATAGTAAATCATGTGAGAAATATATTATAAAACACTATCCAGATATATCTCTGTGTGTGTGTGTGTGTGTGTGTGTGTGTGTACTTAGGCATACATATATACTATAAATGGAATTATAGGAAATTTTCTTTGCATTTTTCTTTCTACTTTTTTGAATTTACCCAACTCAGGAAAATGACAGTAGTTTATATACTACTAGTAGTTTATATAACTATATGAAAAAAGCAGATTTTCCAGTGCCTCCTCTCAGAAAACCGAGCATGATCAAAGTATGCAAAGTAGTCAAAGAACCGGCTGAGATAGCCGGTTTGTAGTTTATGTAACTACAAAACTACTAAAGCACTTTATGATCATTTTTTTCTGAGTTGGGTATATACACACATATATTGAGATAAATATGTATCTTTACTGTTAATTCTGCCCCCCTCTCTGATGTCACTGATTTAATTAACCTGTGAGTCCTATAGTACATGAACACTTGGCACCTGTCCTTCTCCCAGAATGTTCACACTTATCCCAGTGCAACAGATAAGGCAATGTGATGAAAGTCCTGGTGAACATGGTTACAAGTGTGACATTTTTTCTCTATTTATTATTTTTTTGTCAGGTAGCTACAAAGCAAAAGTGAGCAAACTTGATACAGAAATCCAAAAATATATTATTCCATAGTTGGATGGGTCCTTAAAAAGATGTCACAATTTGTCACAGAGGCTGCCACCTCAATTGGACCATCCACAAACTCCTAATGGCATTCTCAAGTGGTCTTAGATGTTTCCAGTGTGAGTTCCTGGAGGTAGGGCCTGGTCGGAAACCCTTAGGTGAATGGGACTGTTTGTTAACTCCAATAGACAATTATGAAGGGCAATTAAAAATTTAAATTATGTTAACAGGCCAGAGAAAAATGACTGTTTGCAGAAATCAGTGGCAATTACCAGACATAATGGTTCTCAGTTAGGCTGGAGGGGATTTTCAGTCATTCATAATTCACTATCTTAAATGTATCATAAAAAAGTAATTGTCACTTGTTAATAAAACTTACTTAAAAACAACGTTGCTATCTTGTGTAGAAAGTAACTCTTTCTTCCTTCTCCCCCACCAGTTTTAAAAAAGGTATATTCTTAATTTTAAAATGTAGTGCAGGCTGGTTCAAAACAAAAATCAAACAATGTGGATGTGTATTTTAAAAAAATACAGTCCTTTCCAGTCCTCTACTTGCACTTCCCAGGGGTAACTGTTGTTTTATCAATTGAGTGTTCTTCCTCCCAACCACCTCCTAGTTTCCATTAAAAAGGGGAGGGGTGTTGGGGTGACTGTCCAAGGAATATGTTGTATTGATATTTTTAGTCAATTAAAAGTGAAAACATAAAAACATTGTCTTGCTGCTTCTGCCATGTTTATTTGTCTTCCAAGGTTTTTGATTTTTTTTTTTAGTTACTATATTCATATGCAGCTTCCATTACCCCTAGGAATATAGTCAGCATTCATGCATGTCCTTACAATTCTACTCTCAGGCAATGAAGTTTGCTGCATAAATTGCACTGCTCATGTGATGTAATTCAAGGACTCTGTCCAGTTGGTTCTAAGCTTTATTTCTGGTTCTCCAGGAAGAACTAAAAAGGACTAAAAGAAGAGGGGAAAAGATTCAGGCAGAGGAGGGGCAGAGGGCAACTCTTGAATAAGTAAAGGATTAAAGGAATGGGTTTATCTCTGGCTGAGTACCCAATCTCTTTTTTCTTTTGTTATGGATCATACTAAAAGAATGACAGCTGCCTTCTCAATTTTCTTGCCCAATCAGGAAATCTTTGCTGCAACATCAAGTCCCAAATTGCAGCTCTGCATTCAACAGAAAGACTGAAGCAAAGATAAATGAATTCTCCCTGTCCCCATGGGATGATAGTCTCACTCTGGTGAATCACACCGTTCAGCAACATTTCTAGAACCTTCTCTAAGTAGATGCTTCAGGCTACTCAGAGCCAGGCACTTTATATAAACATAACCTTATTTCATTTTCACCATGACCCTATGATGTGGGCATTTTTATAACCTCACCTTAAAGTTGAGAGTACTACATGCTCAGAGAGGGTCAATACCATGCTCAGGGGCAGTGCGAGGATTTGAACCCAGATATTTCTTGATTCAAAGCCTATAACATCTTTCTCTCCAACACTTTGTCCCTTAGTTGAAATTGTACAGACACAAAGGCCGGGCGCAGTGGCTCATGCCTGTAATCCCAGCACTTTGGGAGGCCGAGGCGGGCGGATCACGAGGTCAGGAGATCGAGACCATCCTGGCTAACACGGTGAAACCCAGTCTCTACTAAAAATACAAAAAAATTAGCTGGGCGTGGTGGCGGGCGCCTGTAGCCCAAGCTACTCGGGAGGCTGAGGCAGGAGAATGGCATGAACCTGGGAGGCGGAGCTTGCAGTGAGCCGAGATCGCGCCACTGCATTCCAGCCTGGGCTACAGAGCGAGACTCCGTCTCAAAAAGAAAAAAAAAAAAAAAAAAAAAGAAATTGTACAGACACAACTGTGAGATGGCCCAGTTTATGGCAGTTGAACTTATGATTGCCTTGTCTTTCTTTCTTTCATGGAAACAATGCTACTCACAGCACTAACCAGTAAACAACCTTCAAGATATTTAAGCACATGAAATCAGCTTCAAATACACAATGGATCCCAATTTTGCACATTTTTCAAAGGTACTTACAGCAGTGAAGACTTCCTAAGCTTGCTTTGAAATAGTCACCAGGAAATAAAGAAGGCATCTACAGTCTACCATTCATTGGACTTGTGTCTTAAAAGGCCTCAGTGAGTGTAGGAAAAATCCCCATAAAAGGAGCCAGGACCTACTTTTTGTAGTAAGATCTATACATGGCTGGCTTCTTCCTGCCACTGACATCTCAGTTCAAAATTTACCTCCTCAGAAATGTGACTCCTTCTAGCCACTCTAAAGCAGAGGAGGTAAAGTACCTGTTACTCTCTATCACATCCCCCTATTTCTCGTTTTTCAAATATTACTCATTCTCTGATATTTTTCATTGGTTTACCTGTTTATGTTTGTCTCACCTTCTAGAATGTCAGCTCCATAAAAGCAAGGTCCTTGCCTGACAAGTTTGCCACTGTATCCCCATATCTAACCCACAGCCAGGCATCTAGAACCATTTGTTGAATGAATGAGTTTGTGTTTGTAAAATGAGGCATCTATTTTCCTTAACAGTTCAGGTATGGGCTTCTAGTCAGGGACTTTCATTTACAGGAGTCTGTAGGAAATGAGAGCAATGAGGTCATAAGTAGAATATCATCTGGAATTGGGAAAGATTTGGGAAGGAAGGGGAAACAGAGAACCTTCTTTACTCTGTTGCTTACTGAGGCTGATTAGAGATCACACCATGTCAAAGTGGCAAAAAGGAAGCGTCAACATTTTTTTCAGTTAGTGACAGACTGGCTGGCCCACAAGGATGGTGCGTTTCCAATGGGACTGCAGCTCTAGTGTCTGGAATGTGGTGCCTTTCTCTTTGTTAGAGATGTTTCACACTGCTAAATCTAGGCCGCTGATTACGCAAAGACTGCGATAAGGTTCGGGTCAACCAATGAGCATGAGGAGATAAGCTTTGGAGGAGCCATGTGACTTTCTTCACTAGAATTTGTCATCAGATGGGATCTGACTTTGAACACTCTACTCTTCTGGACCAATCTATGTTAACACTTTTTGAATGTTCCTTTTGCTCTGGAAGATTGAGGATATTTTCACCATCAAAGGACACACTTCTGGTTGAGTCTGAAGTCCTTTGGTCATTTGATCCTATTGTTTGTCTGAAATTTGTTTCCTTGTATGAAGGATTTGTAACTGACTCCTAAAGTAAAGTGATTAATTCTATTATTACTAAACAAGTTTTAATAACGTTTGTGGATACATTTTAATAAAATAAAATATTTCATTATAAAATTGATGGATGCTTAATAATAATAAATGCTTAATAAAAATTACAAATAATAAATAAATGTATAAAATAAAGAGGAAAAATGTCTTGTTTCCCATTCCCAACATAATGGCTTCACATACCTTTCTACTAAAAGGGTATCCTTCTAGTTCTAAAAACGGTACCATGTACCCTTTTTAGTTCTGTACTAAACCCTCTTTCTAGATAGAACCACTCTGAATGATTTTGTGGGTGTCCAGTGATGTGCTGATAAAGGCTTAGAAATTGGCTCTGCAGGAAAAAAAAGCCCTGATCTGTAGCATTTGCTGATTTCTGTGCAGCAAATACTGTCACTATCTACAATTGTAAGTTAAGAATATGACAGAATTGAGAAGACGTATTGCACAATGGGCCTTTACAAGCTAGTACAAGCTGGCTCCAGTGCACTCCTGTGTGTATGCTTCCAAATTATCAATATTTCTCTCTACATATATTTCTTTCTTCTTCCTTCCTCCATCCCTCCTTTCCCTCTCTCTCCTTTTATTTCCTCTTTTACTTTTCTTCTTCTTTCCTGTTTTCCTCTCCCCATCCTTACTGACATTCTTCCATCCCTCTATCCATCCATCCCTGCCTCCATCCATCCATCCACACTTGCACATATATGCTAACATGCACAGACATAATGAATTAACATCTTACATAAACATCGTGCAGTTTGCTCTGCAACTTTCTGTTTTTTACATAATGTATTGCAGCTCTGTATTTTGATACTTTCTGAACACTCCTTGTAACTGGAAACACCTTGTGGTAGCTCAACAGCAAAGCTGGGGGTCTTTCACATGGTCTACACAGACAAGCGTGTGGGCCTGTGAGCATGCGTGTGTGCACACACGCTTGCTGTAGTCTATCTATTGTAAAAGGGAATAATTCATCATTGGGCAGCAGCTTCTGCTCAGATGGTTTATTGTCCTGACCTCATTAAAAGCATGTAATCCACGCAGTGCCGTAAATCTTTGCCTCTAAATACTTTCCTCTTTAATTTTTTAATACTGCACACATGAAGGGAAAGGTTAAAGCCAATTAAAAGAGATACAAATACCATTATTACTGCCCTGACAAACAGTTAGTTATTGGATTTGGTCGTTTCAGTTTAGAAAGCCATTATTTTTGTTCCTGAATGAATTAGTAATCAAGCTGTTTATTGACTTATATCATCTCAGGGATGCTAAATATTTTTTTTTTTTTTCGTCCATTCTCTCTCAATTGGCATCATTCCTACACACATAAAAATTACAGACAACTTAAGGTCTGAGTGCAAACAATAACTGCACGGCTGCATGTGGAAATCTACATATGGACAGGACCATCATTTTCACTGCAGTCCAGGAAGAAGAGAGCCACTCACTCATTTCATCCTTATGCAGCAAATTGTTGTTGTTGTTGTTGTTTCCTCCCATTAAGGCTATTATATGACACTGACAGATGCTTAAAAGCATTTAGACCTGAAAGAACTGTTGGGAAAATTGCTGCAAAAGGATTGACAAATGATGATCTTTCTGTCCGCAAGGTTCTTATTTCCTGTGCAAAATGGACCAAAAGAATAAAAGAAAGGAGAAAGATTCATTAATGTGGGAACTTGGTATTGTTTTCTGACATGAGTTTATACTTTTTATTGCATTGGGGCCAAAACGTGACTCTGTTTATGAAAGGCTGCAGTATTCTTAAAAAAAAAAAAAAAAAAAAAGTGCTGAACTCTTTTGCAGCTGATTTAGGCTTGCTTGGTGGTCGTCTTCTTTCCTGGCATGCTCTGCAACCACTAGGAATATAACATGGGCCCTATAAGACCTCAGAGGACCTGAAGATATGCATGAGTGGGTCTTCCATTTGGCTACTTTATTTAATTGTCTACCCAGAGTCCAAAGTGTTTTGTGAGACATGATCAATTGTGAGGAATAATGCTGACCACAGTGCTGGTTTCAGAATAAACTCATACTCACAGACCTGCATCCACAAGAATGTATACAATTCAAAATTTATATAAGCCATTCCTACTAATCAGAGGTCATAGTTAGGTACAAGAAGAAGAAGGAGGAGAAGGAAGAGAGAAGGAGAAGAAGAAGAAAAAGAGGAAGACAGCCTGCAGAAGAACACGGAGCTGTACTTCCCATAGAGAGAACAGAAGTACACATATTGACAAGGAAACTCACAACACAGAGCAAGACAGACAGAGGTGAAATGAGATATTTCAAAATTTAGGAGATAAAAAGCTGGAAACAACACAAGCATTTTCTATATTCTTTCCTCTGAGAAGCTAGAACAGTGGTTCTCAAAGTGTTTTCCTTGGACAAGCAGCAGCATCATCCTCTGAGAGCTTGTTAGAAATGCAAATTCAGAGACCCACTCTGGATACAGTGAGTGAGAAACTGAGGTTGGGGCCCATCAATGTGTGTTTTAATAAGCCCTCTGAGGCACTCAGACGTGCTCTCAAGTTTGAGAACTCCTGTTCTAGAGATCATAGTTTTCTTAACTGCTTCTCTAGGACTGTCTTTGCAGCCAGTCATAAACTTTTGAGCCTGAGCTGACCACTCTCTCTTTCGTTTGCCTCCTCTGCCACACACTATAGTACACAACATTGATTTGTTTCCACGTCCTGCTCTCCTACTAGACTGTAAACTCCTTGAGGCCACAGGCTGTCTCTGATTCACTTCATTATGCCAGGGGCCTAGAACCAAGCAGGTGCTTAGGATATTAATTACAAGATACTAAATATAGCTCAATCAATAGAAAAGAAACATCCAGAGAGGTATTTAACTTCATTAGTTATTAGTTCTAACTTGTTAGATTATACCCATTCCTAAGTAAAAATGAGCCTGCTCTCTTTAAAAAAGAAAGCAGAAAAAATGATAAAAAAACATTATCAAGCAACTTCTAAAGGATACTATGTATACTCTTAAGAAATGAAAGAAATAATTAAACACATCTCACTCTAATAGCCTCTCATAAAATAGGCTGACAATCCAGTCCATTCTAAATATTCCTGAGAGAGTTTCACAGTCAGATAGCACCCATCTGCCCATCTGATGATAGACATTCTTAAATTGAAAGTATTCTGAATACTTGGCTCAATAAAATGCCAAGAACTCTTAGCTCCAGCCTAGTGGATTAAGGATGTGAAGTCACATGGAAATGCATTTTTCCAGTCCCCCAATATGTAGGAGGATAGAAGGCAATTCTTGGCAAGAGGAGGTATCCTGGGACCATCTTGATTGCCTCTCCATGAGGAGCTGAAGGACCTGCAATATGGATTCATCAGCCCTTTGTGGCCTTCACTGACGCTCTGAAGGTGTTCTGCATAGCCTCTCTTTCCCACCATGGGATTCCTCATGGTGTCACATGCCAGCTAATGAAAGTCTGCTTTAGGTAAACTTTCTGTGCCTGCCTTTGTCAGAGGTTCTAGTATCAGACCAACTGGATTCTAATCCAGGCTCCAACACTTTCTGGCTTATTTAGCTTTTCTGTGCCTCAGTTTTCTCATCTGCATAATGGAAACAAATGTTACATCTGAAAGCTAAATGAAAAAAATGTATAATTATTATATATATGTCAGATATCTGCCACATTATAATTGCCTAATAAATATTACCTATTATAATTAACATTACTAGGTGTTCTATGCTACCAGGGCTTCTTAAACTGGAATTCATGGGCCTCTAGAGATCCACGAAATTGACAAAAGAATGTCTGTGGGTTCCCTGAAACAATGTGCAAATTGCTTCATGTTTACACATGTTGTTTTTCTCTGGGCATAGAACCCCCAACTTTAATCAGATGCTCAGTGTGTGGTTCATGTCTCCTATATTGTAAAGGATTGTGGTGCTAGGGGTTTTAGTAGCCAGACTGTATCCTCAACAAGCTGGCAAGCCAGGAACATGAGGCAGTTTCTTTAAGGCTGGTGTCTCACTGTAGGTGTGATATGCAGCTCTGGGACCTCCATTTTTAATTCCACACGATGTGTGTTTGTTTACTTTTCTTCTTCTTCATAAGAGGAAATAGCATTTCAAATGCATTTCACCACGAGGATAGGCAGACAGTTAATTTTCACCTTGAACACCCCCAAGATTTAAGAAAATAAGAGAGCTTCAATCCACTGCTCCTGACCTGCCAAGCACAACACTCTCAGTAGCAGCAAGAGCCAGTCCGGAAAAAGCTCCTCTGTTTCTGATGGGCTTCTCCAGATGCTATCAACATAGGCGACAAGAGGCAAGGCAGATGGGCAGAAACAATGTGAAACCAAGAGCCAGAGAACCCTGTCTTAACCAGCTCCACACCTTGAGCCTGTGGTTCTTCCTCTCATGTTCTCCTATTTCTTATTTGTCAAATAGAAGTTATCTTTAATCATCAATTCCCAACCTTCTATGTAAAAGGGCCCAGATTTCTTATAGAAATGGTTATTTTAGACTGCCATTTTTATATCAATCAGCTAAGAAAATTTTTAATTCCTAAAGAGGATTACCCTTCCTAATAAAATTATATTTTAGTCATCAGATAATTTGAAAAATAAATATATTTTTTCGTCTATCTGTCTATGTAGGTAAATAGATTAAGAATATCATTTATTATTGGCTACAGACAGCAAATAGTGAACACATGAGTTCAAGGACTCATTAAACAAATATTTATTCAGGATATATTAAGTGTCAGTTACTTCAACAGGGCTGAGGACGCAGCATCAAACAAAAACAGTTGCTGCCTTTATGGGCATGATCCTAGTGCAAGAGAAGGAAAATTATAACTAAAAATACACATGCAGACTATCGCTTAAAATGGTGTGACAGGTGCTGCAAAGAACAAACTGGATCCTGAAACAGAGCAACTGGGGATGGGGTTGGGGGAAAGGAGAGTTTAGATAAAGGGGTCAGGGACAGCATCGGAGCTGAGATCTGAGGGATGAGAGTAGCCGGTCCTACAAAGATGCAGCAGAACTTTGGTGGTGAAGAGAACTTCAAGTCAGCAGGACCTATGGCAAGCCCCTTAGCCCTTCACTGACTTCTTTTCCTCATCTGTAAAACGGTGATGATAATGGGATCTAATCTGTAAGGCTTTCCTGAGGATTAAATTAGATAGTATTTAACATTTGTCTAGGACAAAGCCTGGCCAAGTGCTATTGAAGTGGTTGCAAAATAAATGTCATGTAGAGGCAAAAGTATGTGCTGAGGCCCTGAGGTTGGATAAGGGATTGTTTGAGCAACTGCAAGGTGGGTGTGGCATTTGGGTGGGGCAGGTGTGGGAAGGCAGTGGAAACTGAAGTTGGTAAAGTGGCAGACATCACAGGGATCCTACAGGGCACAGCAGGGGAAGAGGGATTCCATGGTAAGTTCAAAGGGAAAAAGGTGGAGAGTTTTGCTATGACCCCAGTAGACCTCTGAAGTTCATTGTCCAGAGGTTGGAAAATTATCCCTGATTAACTTTTTGTATAGTTCTTTCATTCAGTGATTTCAGGCAATAACTCAACTCCTCAAAGGGAACAGTTTCCTCAGGTAAGAAGTTTTAAATAAAGAACCTCTATTTCATTCACGCTCATTAAACTGTTCCCCCCCCCCCGCCCACCTAGCTCCTTGCCATAATAAATATAATTATATCCATCTTTAATGACTTTGGTTCCTTCAGCTGCAGGTGCTACAATACTGTATTTATTAACATATTTTAAGCCCTTTAAAAATACTGCATTAATTCCTATGGTAATTTAGTACCCAGAATACATTCTCTGTTCTGAATAGATGTTAATCACCACAGAATGACTGATTTGCCTGTGTACAAGTTAAGCCATGCTCTAACTAGTAGCTAGTACCTTTTTAATTCAATATTGTTACTGAAACTGTTGATTAAAATTTAGTTGCAATAATTGTTCCTTGCCCCCTACCAGCCCCACTCTGAGGACTCAAACCAAGAGCAAACAATTGCATTCTGTTCCACTGAAGATGAGAGTGTTAATTCTGAGCAATTATGTTTCTAGTAACATTGGTTGGAAAAAAGTTCAGCCAATGCCGGTTATTCCGAACCACCTTGGATTTTTTCGTTATCTGGTTAAAACAGCAGCAGTGGGAAGGCCACTACAGAGAAACATACATGAAACTGAAGACTACTTAGGGGAGGACAGGAGGCCATCTGGCTTCTGTCTTGAGGATGGAGGATGGATACAGTCAGTTTCTACTTGGTGGGGCAAGGTGCAATCTGGCTTGTGCCAGAATCCCAGCACACTACCCATTTAACCTGAAATCATTTTGGAAATAGAGAAAACATTCTATTATAAAATTTGGATGAAAATGAAATGCTGCCATTGACTGTAGACAAAGGAAATAACCATTGCACGTGCCAGGTTCTGAAATCAGCACCTCAATGTGCATGATCTCATTTAACCACATGGCTGGGATATCAGGGAGGTACCTTGACTATCCGCCTTTACCAAAGCTCAGAGAACTTAAGTAACTTGCTCAGAGTCACTAGTAAGCAGCAGAGCTCCTGAGTCTGTGCTCTTAACCTTTGGCCACACTGCCTTTTTAATTGATCCCTTAATCAATCAATTAATTAATCAATCAGGTGGGAAGGATATTAAAAATGTAAGGAAATACATAGTAAAGTATTATGTGTCAGAAAAAGTGTTTTTGAAAACAAAAATGTAACAACTTTTCCTTTCTTGGCTTGAAGGTTAGTGACAGGAAATGGTGCTATTAACATCTTTGGGGAAATAAATCTCTATGCTATAGTTTTCCTTTTGCAGAGTCTATCAAGGGGTCTATGAAGAAGGAAGAAAGTGCTGGCTTTTTGGGTGCAGGTGGAGAGTGCTGAGCTGCTCTGCAAAAATATAGTGAAATCCATTTGAATTTCTGGCCAATCGGAAGAAATAGAAATGCAGCAGGGAACCTGGCAGGGAGCTGGAGCCCCAGTTAGTCAGAACTGACCCAAGCACTCTTGAAGAAGAGAGGTGTTGAATATTCTATTTAAACTTCTTTTTATTGCTGGCATATGAAACTCTCAATTCTTCATTTTCTCCAAACTTTCAGTAAAGTCTGTTCCACACAAGGTTTTGGGTGGATGATTTTGTCTGCCTGAGATTTTGTTTGCTAGTTTGTTTGTTTTTTTGCACATGCTAGGGGTAAGAGGCCAAATTCTACAACTGGAGCAGCTTGGGGTGGAGAGAAAGGTACAGGTACACGACGTGTTGGGCTGCGGGAAGGAGTAAGTGCTGAAAAATGAACAAACATGAGCTTGAGCACAGGAGCTCAGGGAACACCCAGAATGTGGGAATGGTCTGTGGAGATGGGTTTGAGCTGATACCTGGGTCACAGTTGTTTTTTTTTTTTTTTAATTATCATTACCATTATCTCCATGGAGCTGAGAAGTATTACTATCCACTATTCAGACAGATAAATGAGCGCACTGAGAGCTCAGTCACTTCAACAAATATTAAATGCCCGGCCCTCTTACTCAAAGCCACTAAGGCAGCCAGGGCCCAATCCCAGGTTTCCATGGCCAGCCTGACACTTAACTCAAAAGAGAGCCCTAGCAATTTGGGACTGCAGAGCCCGTGGGATCGCAAGTCTGTCCTGGGAGGTGCTGCCAACAGACTGACACTGCCTATGCATGTGTGTGTGCACGCCAGAGGAGCTAGATGACAATGCCAGTCAAATGGTAGCAGATGAGTTAAGGTCTAGGAGATGAAGATGAAAAGGAGATGGCTACTGCATCCTCCCCAGCCTCCCTTCTGCTCTTCTAAGCAAACGCTCAGTGGGTCTGCTTTCTCAAAAGATGTTCATGGAACCACTAGGGTCTTCTCACAGAAGTGGGGACAGCTCTGCCATCACCATATGGCATAAAGTTAAATGGCTGATGAGGAAATTAAAACATAAAAAAACCCCACCAAGAACCCCACCCCCCTGCAGAAACCCATGTACTACACGCACTATGCAAAGAGGTACTCATTAGCTGTGATCTGCTGGATTATGTGTCTATCTACAGAGTCAGAATTTTGACCTTCCTTTTGGATTCCACCTCCAGAAGCTTTGACTATACGAAGGAAGCAGAACACACCCACCATTACACAAATATGTAAAAATATAAATCCAGATAGGAATATGAACATATATATTTGCCTCCCTCCCAACCAGATTTCCAAGTGGGGACGCTTGAAAATTTGTCTCCAAACACACTCTTTCTGTATTTGTCAAAGCTCTTCTCCAAAATCTTTTCAGATAAGAAGCAAGTTAGTGGTAGGGTGAGTTCCCTTTGCAGGCGCCTGTTGACTATTTGCAGAGGTTGCAAACTGGTAGCCCCCAGACTCCATCTGAAACATGCACATGGCGTTAGTTTGGCTCACACAGGGGTAGCCAGCATTTTTTGAAACGTTGAATTAGTTGTGGACATTGTAAAACTTAGGTGTGTTCACATAAACCATACTGTTGTTTTGATATGCTCAACCCTCACTTTCCTTACGGCTATGAGCTGGCTGTCTGTCTCAGATTTATGAGGATGTGGCAGATTAGAGAAGACTTAGACTTGATGATATGGAAAGCCATTCACCACAGGGCTCTGCTTATCTTTCTAGTACAATCTTTTGCCTTCCTCATGCCTTGGGTGCCAGCTTTACTGAACTCAGTACTTGAAGTTCCTTGATTTGCTAAGCATCTGCCATGTTCTGGGTGTGGAGACCCCTGCCCCTTGGCTTCCAGGAGAATCTGCCAGGCCAGTTCTCTTAAAAAAACTGCATCTATGAAGCTTGTTCTGACCTCTCTGAGCTCTGAGGGTTGCCAGCTCTCTCCCCTGCACCCACATAATACCTGTGGCCATACAAGGCTTTCCTCTCTCAGCCCTCATGGCACTGAAGACAATGCTTTGTTCCATTTTTGTTCACAGATCTTCTACATGACACTAGGAGATCCTTGGTGGTGGTGGCAGGGTGAGGCATATCACACTTGCTTTCCTTCCCGGGGTCTGTCAGAGTGTCAGGCACATAGGCAGGGATTAAAAGAGGCCTTATGAAGTGAAGGGACCTCCTTGGCAACTTCTGCTACCTCTGTGCTATCTGTGGGTTAGGATGGTGGTCATGAAGGACGACAAAGGCAGCAGGCGATGCCTCTGGCCTCCAGGACAGTACGCAGGGCTGAGCTTTGCTGGGTCCTCCTCAGTTCCCCGGGGAGAAGGCAGGGGAGCCATCACAAACCTGAATTAGGTAAGGTGGGTCACACCGTTCTGAATTTCAGCCTTTGGACCCAGAGGCTGAGAGAAGTGTGGATGTAGCCCTGAGAGTAGGGTGTGAGTAGGAGAGGCCGTCCAACCTACCATGGCCAGGGCAGCTTCTCTACTTCCCCAGCCCCCATTGCAGGCTTTTTCCAGAATGCAACATACAGGAGAATTAGAAAATTCTTCAACTAAATAATGTATCTGTGGCTATTTAGGATAGGGTTAAAACTATTTTTTAAGGGTTAAAAAAGTGACTTGCTCCACAGGTCAGCAACTGTCACAACGATTTTTCTCTTGCCATATGCTCCTCTGAATTGCATGAATATGACATTTCTCTCTGAAGCATCTGGTCTCAGCCACTTCAAGGTACCCAAGGAAGCAGCACATTCAGGCTGAGTATATAATAACAGGAGAGCCATTCGCACTCCTGTCATCACAAAAGAAAATACTGCCCTTGCATAAATCTCCATTGTGTTTTATACAGCATTCCAGAAATGGTGCAGGAGGCAATTCAAATGAATAGAAGGAGAATTTGGTGGCAGGGGGGTGAGGGGAAGGGTTTGTAGACTTGTACATTGTGTGTGTCTGTGTGTGCGTGTGTGTGAGTGTGTGGGTGGGTACACATGTATAATTACATATATGCACACACACATGCATGCTTTATGGATCGGTAATTACCTTCACTGCCCAAACATCAATTTTTGTTTTTCATGGAAAAGAGCTAAGCATTCTAAGCATCTGATGAAAATAGAGCTCCACCAATCTGCAAAATATGGACAGAGAGGTAGGGCATATCTCTATTTCAGCACTTTGAAATACAAAAAAAAGGGAAATTTCCCATCACAGGCCAAAGGCAAACTAGCACTATCAATCTCCGACCACATTTTCCAGACTAAGAAAAAAATCTGGCAAGCGATGCAGTACAAAGGGTTGCCTCTCTCACACTGGTAACAACCTTTATCAAACGGATACATTTACCTATTTTTTTCCAAAGATCTCACCCCACTTTCTCAAATAGTTCATTAAAAAATCCAAATGGGTTTAATAAAACGTTTATCACCTAACAAATGGTTCCAACGTCCGTTCTTTTCTTGTCCTGAAGATCTGTGTGCTTATTTTGTCAGAAGCACAAAAAGTAGAAATGCAATTGCATTGGTACTGATGCTAAATGTTAATCGATTTGCCTAAATGCCTGCTAATAGCCCCCCTACAATTAGCTAGACTAGTAGTGCATGCCTAATGTGTTGTTGTTTTTGTTGTTCTACTTGCTTCTTTGCTTCTCCTTCTTTTATTAGAGAGGAAAAAAAAGACCCCTGGAAAAAAGTAAAGGCCTTTGCATGTGAAACATCTCCAGTGTGACATGTGAATTCTGTAGAAAGAACATATATTCTGAAACTATCCCACAGTTCTGACATTCTGTCATGAAGGTGACAAATCCTAGTGCTCTAATGTTTCATTAAATTAAACATGAAATGTTTAATGTTTTGTTAAATTAAACATGAAGCTGTGACTCTGCGCCCAAGAACCACAGGCTTCTAACAATTCCTCACATTCCTTCAGGTCACTTCTTAGGTTATAAAAACTAAGTTTTGTTTAATAGAAGTATTGCATTTCCCTGCACTTAAGATGTACTTTCTTCTAACGCACTTATAAATAGAAACTAACAAGCGACCCAGTTTTTGCATGTTTAAAACAGGTTTAAACTCAGTCCTACGGAGACCAGCTTATTGACAACCCCTCAGCTAACCCTCTATAATCATTTTTTTTTCCTTTCAAACATTCACAATGTGACCGAGAGGGCGTGGGTGTTACATTTTTAATCAAATCCCAAGCCCATTTCACAGATGGGCATGCTCTTTCCCAAAGAGTGGAAGGTTTGCTGGAAAAGTGTCCAAACAGATTCCTCAGACTAAAGACTAAATCTTGCCTGCCCCAATAAAACAAAACAAAACAAAACAAAACAAAATGAAAAAACAAACAAACAAAAACCCTGTTTCGCCTTTATCCATGAAGATAAAACTTTTCCTTCACAAGACAAAACCACAGCACTAATTTGGGAAGGCATTTGTCCAAGCAGAGAGAAGTACGCGGGGCTTTTGAGACTACTGAATGAAAGTTCTGGTGAAACCACTTAAAGCAGTAGATAAGCAAAGCACAGACCCTAATGAGAGAGGATGGAATGAAACTCAGACAAGAACGTACTCCTTTCCTTACCAGTTCAATGAAATCATCAAAAGGGACTTGTAGAGTTCTTAGTAATAATACATTTATAGCAATACATCACATAACAAAAAAAATTTCCAAAAACTATGTTATAAAACACTCCATATTTTAAATGGAGAAAGAAGAAAACAACAAATCTGTAGCCAAATAAGAGGAAAATATATACTCTTTTCCCACGATGGAACTATCGGATCATGTTTACATTTGTCAAGTAAATTTTAGTGTGCTATATAGATGGTTTCTAAAGGACATCCCATAATTGTCAAACCAACAACAACAGAGAACCATCCCCCAAAAGGACAAGTCACACAAAGCCTTCCTTCCCAATCAAACTTGTCATCTATGCTTTTTCTGTGTTTACACAGCAGCTCCTATCACTGGCCAAAAACTGTAAAACAGCCCAGATTTGAACAGATCCTTGCTCTGCGAGAACCCTCTCCCAGCTAGTTTACCCAAATCGGTAGGAATGTAATTGACACTTACCATTCTGAAGCTTCATGTCTGTGAGGCAAACTAAATAAATTAAATGGATCCTGCTTGAATCTTCTTTTCTAGACCCCAAATGCCTTAATCAAAAGGAAAACAAAACAAAACAAAACAAATGTTCCCTGAGGTCCTTTTCTAAACCACCAGAGTATAGGCAAAGGAATCGCTGTCCCTTTCACTAAATGCCCAGAGCCTGTCCCTGAAGATCCTCTACAATAGAGAATTATTCCTTACCCCACTCCCCACCTTTTCCTTCACTTCTATCATTTATGGCCAAGACTAGGCTTAAGTTGCACTGTAAATCAAAATCTGGAAGATGTTTCAGTTGGATATTTGGCTTGGCAGACCTCCTGTGAAAATCCCACGTGAAGACACATTGTTTCCTTCCTGCAAAAGAACTGTGGCGTTTGTGGTCCCTCTCCCTCTCCCAATGCACACTTTGCCTTTAAATGAGCTTAAGCTGCAGGACTTCATTTGGGGTTAGTTGTCCCGCAAAGCTCATTTGGCTCTTCCCATTAAGGCAAGAGGCTCTAAAAGGCTAGCAAGATGCTTTTCACTATGTTTGAGGGGCCAGTCATATCTTGTTAGCAACAGCTGCATACACTTACCCGGCTCTCAGGGCCTTGACGGAGATATCCTATTCCTTGTGGGATTAGGAACGCAAAATGAAATTAACCAATCTTAGCCGGAGCCATCCAGGCCACACCAGATTCTCATTCTCCAAAAGCCAAGTGAGGCACCTTCCTCTGGAGTTCCTCCTCTGTTGGCTTCTCCCTGGCACATCCAACCTGCCAAGGTCCTGGCTGCAGTTTCAAAAGTACCACTCAATAAAAGGATTTCAAAGGCTGTGCCGGGAGCCGGGAGCTTCAGATCCCAGTTTGGCTTTTTCTCCATCAGCATTCCTCAGCAAGCCTGCACAAAGCGAGGTACGCTACATTATTTATGTCAGCTCTAGGCTCTGGAAAACACACACTGGCATCCTGATTACTAAGAATCCTCATGGATACAATTAAACTGTTCCCACATATATTTCTCCCCCTCTCTTCCCTGATTCAACCTCTTTCAGAGGGAACAAAAACACTTTGAGGCGTGTCCCAACTCATCTATTAGAAGCCAAGAGGGAATTAAAATATGGCCACCACAGCAAATGAGCCCAGGGAAAAGGACTCTTTCCCTGGAGTGAGCAGAAGACACTCCAGGGAGGAAGGTTCAGATAACAGTTTGGGAAATGCCCTTCACGTGACCTCCCTGGGTTTAGGAAATTGACATGGAAGCAGCAAAGTTGAGGCAATACAAAAAACATTTTGATGAATTCATGGAAGATTGATTTAGAATGGGCTGTTAAGGGAAGTAAGGAATATTTGGTGACATGACTAACCTTCCTAGCTGGATGGAGAGCAATCACGCTCACTCCACAAATGCTCCTTGGTGCCCCATTGAAGCCACAGCCCTAGACAGGAAGACCACAGATTTAGCCAAGTAGAGCAATGATTCTGTCCTCAAGTCTCCTCTTCAGCAAAATGAACAGTTCTCCAAGTTGCAGTCCGCCATTTCCCTTCTCTATAGCTCAACAGCACATTATGAGCTGGGCATGTTAGCCACAGGCAGAATGAACTGCACCCTGGCACGGTAAAGGTAAGATGATGACAGGAACTTCCTCTTTTGGAGGAGTAATCAGAAGGCTATGAAATTCCCCCAGTGTCTAGCTAGAGAGTCCCTGCTTGGCAGGCAGAGGTGACTTCACTTTGTGAAAGCCCCAGGCACCGCTTAGTGAAACAACCTTTGGCAGGACCTCACAGTTAAGTCAGTTCATCTAAGCAAGAAGTCAGCTTGGGGAAAGTCAATTGTCTCATCCAAGAACACAAGGAGGCAAGAGCCACCTGCTTCTCTCAACAGCTTCTCCTGAACATGCATCCCTGTGTTTTGCCAGTTTCCTTTCTTTTTCTTTTTTAAGTGACTGTCACTTCCAATGACTTTGTCCAACCCAACTTAGATATCTTGGGAGGAAAAGCGCTGTCTGAGATGGAAGCAATGGATAGAGAACACAGTGCAGGTCAGTAGAAAAGAGCCCGGACAGGGGAAGTCCCACTCTCCAGTGCACACATTAGAAAAGCAATGGGAATTGGGCTTCAGTGCAGGAAGAAGCAGGACTTCCCTCAGCAATAAATGAATGAAGAGTAGCATTAGAGAACGCGCACGCACACACACACACACACACACACACAGTCACACACCACACAATGATACAACCCAGCTACCCAAAAACTGGATGAATGGCAAAAAGTAAAGGATACAGATTGCCCTGTGGGATGATGTCACGTGAGTGTGTTGGTTCCCTAGGCCCAGAATGCTGGGTTATCCAGCCCACTAACCTTTAAGGAGGCCCTGGCCACATCTGGAAACAACTGTGCTCTCAGCTTGAAGCGGTTCCTCTCATCCTCCCCACTAAGGAATTCAACCCGCGTTGTAATTTTTTGAATAGGGTTTAAAAGCAACTAACTGGAGCGATGAGAACAGAGACTGTTCCTTGGGATGCAGATTATTGAAGAAAATTATATCTTTTTCCAATAACTAAGTCATAATCAACTCAGAAGCTGACCTCAGGCTAAAAGTCTCAGCAAAGATCCCTTGGGACACCCTCACTGCCCTGAGTGCTGTGATGTGGGAAGGCCTAAGGGTCTGCCAGTCATATGCTGACCCCGTGGCCTTGGGAAAGTTGTTCATCCTCCTTGAGACTCAGTTTCCTCATCTGGAAACTATGGGTAATGAGATCATATTATTTTCGAGGATTCAGTAAGAAATGTAAAGTACTTAGTTAGCTCTGTGCTTAGCATCTTATGAGCTTATAACAACCCTCAGCTATTATAAATTTTCAAAATGTTATCAGTTAAATGGCACAAAACTTACACTGACGAGGTTCACACATGCATGAACCACATCTCTAAGTGCTCCCCAAACAACCAGATTGTTATTGACAATCTGTGTGCAAAGCACCGTAGTCATCACTGTCATTTGCCTTCAATAAACTTGTCTAGATGAGCTGCCCCATGACAGAGATGTCAATAAAAACTAAACAAGAGTATAAAAACTGAGAACATTAAGAGGAGGATCATGAAAGTTACCTTTTTAAAAAGGAGATTCCATAGTTTTCAACATCAACTGAACACCTTTCTGTTGATTTAACTGTAAAGTAACACTATTTCAGATTTTTGATACCCAAAACAGGGCTGCTGTTTAGGAGATGGGGGGAAGAAAGTGACCATGAGCCGCACCCTCTAGAATCTTCATCCTTCTTATCTATACATCCCGTCTCCCAAGTTACAGGGAAGAGAGGCTGAGAACTTCCAATCTAATGCAAAACTGGCATTTCCTGAAGGAGGGCAAAGGTGACAGGACAAATGAAGGGACTTTGCTCAAATTCATGCCCCCAGCAGAGCTGGGCTGGAACACACAAGACTGACTTCCTATCAAATGTCCCCACCATTCCCCCACAAGGCTGAAGGTAAAACCAGTGGAACTCATAGCCAGCGTTTCATCTCACTATCCGACAAATTGGTTTCAGTTCAATCCAGCCTCTCTACGTTAATACTGAGCTTACATGACCCATATTTAACTTTTTACTGAACATATTTTTTTTTCAGATAGTGATTGCTTTAAATTTTGATTTTAAGGTCCTACTTTGTAGAGAAAAGGTTCTACTTTTCACAGTTTGTTAAGCCATCTAACTATCTAATGGTTTTGATGGCCACTTCTAAATCTTTTGAGTAAGAAAAGCAATACTTCAAACTCTTCATATTTTATAAAGGCTGTCTTTTCATAAGATGGCATCACACATATAAGTTATTAATATCTTTGAAGAATACAGAAGTTTTTTCCATATATTTTTCTCTAATGATATAGTTAAATAGATAATTGCACCCTTTTCTGTATAAACAAATAAAAGATATCTTGAACATGCAGTTATTTGAAGTACTAATCACACTTCTTGCTTACATAAACAAAGGCTTATCAAAATTATAAGTCTTCAGAAGAAGCAGATTCTACAACATTTTCTCCTCTAAGAAATATCAGCACACTATATCCTGATGCTGGACTGAGTGAACATCATTAAGATCCTTTTCTCAATTAGAGTTCCAAACAACTCTATCGTTTGCTTCCTGTCAAAACACCTGAACAAAAATATGATATGTTGCATCATTCGCTGAAGCTATTTCTCCAGTTGGAACATGAATTACGAGTCCTTCTGAAACACATCAACCAAATCAAGTTGTAACAAGGCCCTGTTTTATTCACTGCACAGATCTCAGCTAATCACTTTCTAATACGAGTCATGATTGTGCTTCATTAAGTTAGCATTTCTCTTATTTTTCCCTTATTTAGTATGTACTTCCATGGTACATACTAATGGTAGAGCCAGCAATAAGTTGAACATTTCTTGCCTTACAAGGTGTACTTCACCCGGGTCATTCTGACTTTGCTGGGCCATTTGTACTTTTACAATGTGTGGGGTTAAGAATGCTTGTTATAAAACACAGGTCTTTCTTTGTCTCTAAATAATACGTAGGCACTTGTGGTGGTCTTTAAATTCTAGGATTTTTTTTTCCATATGGAAGTTCTCACTCAATTTCTAATGATGAATGTCTCTAAATACACACTGCTGAGGTGAAGTTGTGTCTCACTGGCGGCAGAATTGAGAAACTATCACTCCTTCCAACACAGCAACCCGAGGAACTGCCTGAGGCATCCACTTCCTGTTTCCACAGGGGCAGAACAGTTGTTTAAGGCTATCTTTAAATTGGTGGCTTAGAAAATTAAAGTGGCAGAGAAGATTCAGAAACTGTATAATCCTCATCTGAATAACTTTTGTAAATGAAGCAAGAGAAAGCAGTCATCTTGTTTCCTGAAGTTAAAGGTAAGGTCTTTAGAAGGAGGGCTCATAGCATGTTTCTTGTCTATACAAGCTAATTCAAAAACTTGGTTGATTCTAAGTTGTGGTTGGCCAAGAAAGAAGCAGGTAGAGAGATCAAAGGGAATACAGGAAGGGAGTAGAATGTGG
Organism: Homo sapiens; assembly: GCF_000001405.40. Lineage (NCBI taxonomy): Eukaryota > Metazoa > Chordata > Mammalia > Primates > Hominidae > Homo > Homo sapiens. The sequence goes on along the minus strand of NC_000005.10, from coordinate 167,816,227 downwards.
CTCCATGTTCCCCACACCTTCCCCTCCCTTCTGTTCCGGAAACAGGTGTCTTCTGCATACTTCTTGGGATCCTTCATGATTGATAATGTGGCTCTATTGTTTTTTCTTGACTGAGTCACCAGTGAAGGTAAGGTTTCTCTATTGTTTCCCTGTTGTTTTAGCAACCACTCTCCAGGGCAACTCTCTCTTTCTGAGTTATTCTACATCAGAGGAGAAACACACACACACACACACACACACACACACACACACACAAAGGATCATAATGGGACTTAAGTGATCCTTTAGGTCAAACCCCTCATACTATGGAGGGAACAAAAAAAGGTCAGGGGAAAGAAGAGATCTTCTCAGTGTCATGTAGGGGCTCACTATGGACCTGGGAAGAGAATCCCAGTGTATACATTAGCATCCCTCTCATCTATATGGATCCATTATTTTATTTTCCCTCTCATTCTCCCACATGAACCATCCCCCTGACTCTCCCACCCTTTTCCAAGAAAAAAGATCACAGTCAATGTTTTCTTGTTCTGTGATGTCCTATTGCTAGGGAGGACAGTCACTGTGGGCATTATTCTAAGGAAGGCTTTGTAGGATTTACATAGGTTCTGTTGTGGATAGAACCAAAACTATAGGAGAAGCCATTCCCCAGAAGTGTTCACAGCCAAAGCATGGCCTCTTATTGTAACTTGTGAAGAAATCCAACCTCTTGGTCAGACACAATTGTATTTGAATCTCTTCCTAGCTGTGTAAGTCTCCCATTTTAGCCTCCCCATAAATACAACGATACAATGATGAGAATAATGGTGCTTGGTTCACTTAGCTCATCTGGGGGTTAGATTTAATATGTCATGCCTGGAAGATACTGAAGACTTGGTAGCTAGGAGCTGCTATCATCTTTCTCCCATGGGCTCAGATATATTATGGGATCGTTACAAACTCTCCCCTTTCACTTAAGTCCAGTGCAGCGTCCACTCTTTTGAGGTGAATCCTTCTCTGAAAGGCACATCTCCTGAATGGCCTGCAATATCCTGCCTTATGAAAGTCACATGAAAAGGGTTAATACGACATGTCAGATTGAGGCAGCATGAACATGTGTGATTTTCTGCTTAAAACCACAAAGAAAACAAAACTTCACACAACAGAGAACTGTGTGTCAGAGCCACAGGAATTCTGCTGTGGTTGACGTCTCTGTAGGGAGACAGACATTCCAGGAAAAGTAGATTCACACTCATCCCCACTGACCAAGGCAGAGCTGGCTCTGCCTCCTCTATTAACACATGAGGAATTTCTCTCCATCGGCATTTCCCACATTAGCCGTTTCCTCACACATTCTGGGTATTTGTTCTAGCCAACCCTTCCTGATTGGAGCTGCTGGAGCTGCAGTTTCATCTAGTCTTCAATTCTTTCCTTTACTTTTTTTCTGCAACTTGACTTATTGTTTCTGACTTTCGTTTCATCTTAGTTAATAATATCCATAAAATCACAGCTTGGATGTGCTAGCTGTACATAACTACATTTATATAGATATCTATATATATGTATGTAATATATATTTCCTAAAATATATTACAATAAATAAATATTAAAACTTTTTTTTTTAAATAAAATACTTCAACCATGTGCCTCTTAAGGATATCTTGCATACTTACACCACACAGATTGGTACATGGCACCCATATATGCATTTGGAAATACTGTCCTAGATAAAATTTTATCCTTTTTTGCTTATTGCTTTTCTTTCTTTTTCTTTTCTTTTTCTTTTTTTTTTTTTTTTGAATCGGAGTGTCTACTTTGTGCCTTTCCCCCTTCAGAATGCAGTGCCTCTGAGTGAAACGTCACCAGGAAAAGAAATGTTCTAAAAATGAGGTTTTCATTATGTCCTATAGCCCAGCTAGAAAACTCAGAGAAGAGCCTACGTGCTACTTTTCATCCTGGGGACTGATGCTTGAATGTGTTAAAATGCTATTTATTTTCCGACAGACGACTTGGGCTTGGCACCATGTAAACCCAAAGTGTTTGTAGAGATTCCCTTGAGGACAAAGGAAAAATCATCTGTATAGATCAAACGTGTATTAGCTGCATTAGCAATTGGCCCCTGGAGACTGACAAAGACCTTTTTAGACAGATTTCATTGCACGGCTTTTTAAGAGCTTTCATTGAACTAGCCTTGAGCATCACAGGTATGGGGCTTTCTTCACGTCCTAAGTGTCAGAAAAGAAAGGTGGACGATGAGAAGCTGGGATGAGAACTGCTACCTTCATTGTAGATGAACCTCAACACGATGCCCATGCTCCCGTCCCTATCAATATTTCATGTTACCAGAGCCATAAGAAAACACATCTGTTGCCTTCCTGCATTGTAATATGTAGGATGGTGGAAAGATGATTATAGCACAGGTTCAAGGATTTAAAAATTCATCACCTTCTCAATTTAGAAAGCTGATTTGTGGTTAGGACTTACGAAGGCTACACAACTGAAATGATCAACTGGGGGCATAGCCTGTTCCCAAGAAATCTGGGGAGTAGGGGATGCAGTGAGAGGGAGGGGGAGGTTGGAACTGTGATTGCTCAGGCTGCTGACTGGGCCAGTGGTTGAAGGCTTCAATTTGTCAACATACTGTCAATGCAATGTTTGCTTTGTATCATGGCATGGTATGCGGAATAGAGAGAGGAAAAAAAATGCTGCCACAGTTGCAAGCCCAGAAGCAAACCCCAAGTTTTCAACAGACATGCATCTCCCTGCTCCTCCAACACTGCAACACTCTTTCTGCCATAGCTCAGTGGTTTCCAGTGCTGACCTTAGTTCCACTGTGTGTGTGTGTGTGTGTGTGTGTGTGTGTGCAGAACTTGTAAGCTCTTCAGCAAAAGGACCCTTTTCCAGAACCCTGGGCAGACACGTAATATTTCCCCTTCCTCTGAAAGCCTCCCAAATCATTCATCTGGATTGGCTTCACTTCTTTATTTCACTGCTGGAAACATTTTGGAGACTCATACAATCTTACAACCTCATCCCATCTCTACTAACTGGGATGCACACATCTCCCTCAGAATGCAGAGGCCCAGCCACTGCTCATGAAGAAACAGAGCTTCCACCCCCAGCAAAGGTGGCCAGGAAAGTCGGGTACTTTCCAGTGCTGGATACAAACCTTTGTATTTCCAGCAGCTGCCCTACAGAAGCACGAAGGAATGTTTAACCTGCAGCAAAATAGTTAGAAAGGAAATGAGTATAACTTTCTGGCCTGATAAATTATTTCATATTTCTTATGCCCTGTAGCCTGCCTTTTTTGCAGTGCTAAGTCTCAGTGGAATGAATACCAGGGATGCGGTCACCAGTCTGTGTGGCATCGGGTCCCTGACTGTGGTTCACAACATATTATTGCTTCTCTTCTGTCCCTCTCCACTCTCACTGCCTTTCTCATTTGCTTTGTCCCTTGGTCATATCACCTGGCCATCAAAGATAGGCATTGCTCAGAAAGATGGTTCTCCTTGGCTTGTGAGTATAAGACACAAATATCCTCAGGCGCAAGCCTGGAGAAGAAGGAGTTACTGTCTGCTGCAGCCAACTGTCCAGGGAGGGTCTTTTCCATAGACATAAAAGGATATCAGCAGGATACACACTCAGGCTGGCGCTTAAAGAATGCAACTCTAAGAAATCCTGGTACATTTGATTTGATACAGAAGCATTAAATGTCCACGAGCAGCATTCACCAATAAATTAAAGAAATAAAAAGCTTCATTCTTCCCATTTAAGTCAACAAATAAAATGCTGGGATGCCTGATCCTGAGGGTTCTACACAGATGCCCCCTCCAAGGGCAGTGCCTGCACTCAGAGAGTGGATTGTCTTCAAGCCAGGTCTACGAGGCAAACTTGCACAATTATCACTTCAGCAGGGACAGAAGCAATGCCCTAGGATGATCTTTCCAAAATGGAAATCTGAACCTCAGCCCTACTTAAAAATTCTCCCTCGGCTCCAGACAAAGCCTTCATTACATTCCATCATCTTCAGCCCCTTCTCTATCACCTGCCTTTTACTTTGTGCTGCAGGAATACTACATTTTATTGGATGATCTCATCTTATGTAGCACTTTAAGTCTTTATTTATGAAGTTTACTAAATTTAGAAAGGTTTTATCTTCCACTCCCTTATTTTTTAAACATTGGGTATAATTCTTATCCATCCTTCAAGATGCATTTAAATCCCTTTTGCAGGGAACTTTCCATGTCCTCTACCTTCCCCAGCTGAAATGACGTCCTTGTGTATGTGCTCTAGGCATAATAGTCTGACCTTTATATTAAATAATTTGTTCTCTGCAAAGCACTTAAACCAGTGAGCTGCACATAGTAGCTGCTCAATAATTTTTACAGTTGTGATTATCCTACCTTATATATGTAGTATTTGCTCATCTCTCTTAAACCCCTATTAACCCATATATGCCTAGTATTCCATTACTGGAACGCCAAGCTGGTGGGAGCTATTCATATCCTGCTGCTCAAGGTCATCGCTGAGGTCTGATTTTTCACACAAAAAAACTGCAACCTCCAGCATAAATGGGTTAAACACAGAACTCTATCCATGACTTATTTGAACCATTAACATCTTGACAAATATTTGGCACACAGTAGGTGTATTAGGTCATTCTTGCATTTCCATAAAGAAATTCCTGAGACTGGGTAATTTATTAAAAAAAGAGGTTTAAGTGGCAGATCGTTCTGCAGGCTGTACAAGAAGCGTGGCACCTGCCTCTGCTTGGCTTCTGGGGAGGCCTCAGGGAGCTTTTACTTATGGCAGAAGGTGAAGCAGAAGCTTGCACCTCACATGGTGGGGTCAGGAGCAAGAGAGAGAGTGGAGGGAGTGTGCATGCCACACACTTAAACAACCAGATCTCATGAGAACTCACTATTGCAAGGACAGCACCAAGCCATGAGGGATCCATCCCCATAAACCAAACACCTCCCATCTGACCCCACCTCCAACAATGAAGATTGCAATTTAACATGAGATTTAGAGGGGACACATATCCAAACTGTATCAGTAGGTTTCAGGTAGGATTTGCTGAACTAAAATGCACAGTTTGTGCAAATCCTACCTGAGAATTCTACACTCTGGGGATTCTACACAGTGTCTACTTCCTCCTTGCAGCGATATATCATGCAAAAATTTGGAGTAAGATTCTTCTCAATTCTGTTCTCAGTAGCATAAGTCTCAGACGTGTCTTTCATTCTGTGTGGCCACTATTGTCTGGTTGCATTATGTACCAGGGTGATATCCAGAAGCCACAAATCTCAGGAACCAAAGGAGAAGACGTAAGAAAAGAGCTTGCTCTCCTCTTTCCATTACTCTAATGAAACTATGTGTTACAGTGCCTTTCCTTAATCTGATTTGAGAAGGGCCTTAATAGCAGGGTGAAAGCAAAGAGTGAAGCCAGTTCTTCAAGGAGCTGCTTGCTTTAATGGCAATTTCTTTGTTGTCCATTGTGACAAGTGTGGCCTCTGACTGGGGCCAATTGTTGCACTTGGATACAAGCATGGCTCTCCCTGAAGTTGCACACATTTCTTAGGGCACAAGTCAGCCCTTCCTGATTTAATTAGAGTTTTCTTTTTTTTTTTCCTCTCTCTCCACCTCTCTTGACCTTCCGCTTGATTATGTAGTGAAGTATTCCTGGAGAGCAATAATCCTGTAAGCTCAACATCAACCTTCACAGCTATGAAAATGACAAAGCTGTCAAAATTTCAGCCTTACAGCTTCCAGATGGGGTTAGTATGGACATGTAATGGTGGCGAAATGGGGAGACCAAGTTCCGTTAAGGGGAAAAAATGAAGATTTAAAGAAATAAAAGGACCCAAACAGTGACAATTGGAAGCTTTACATTTCAAGTTACACTGGAAACTTCTGCCTTTCTGTATGCGCCACTAACACCGTGATTTAGTAATTTCCATGGGAGCTGCCATCGCCTCAGAATACTATTAGTGTCAGAGTCAAGGAAAAAAAGGAAGTCTTCTTTTTCTCCCAGAGTATGCAAACAGAAGCTTAGAAACATGTTTGCATTTGGATTGGATGATCTAAACCAACAAAGTTCAACCTTTTCACTAGGAGCTGTGAGCTGTTTGACAAGACCTACTTTTTATCAGGCAGGTTCAAAGTCTACTCACTGCAGAGGCTTCCTTAATAAGAGGGACTAATAAGATTATTTCCTTAAAGATCTAACCTTGGCACCCATCCTCCAACCAGACGGCAGAGCAAATTCATTCTCTAAATTGCTTACCTTCAAAAGAAAATCTCTATTGACTGGAGCAAGGACCTGGCATGGCGCACCAAGATGCTGTTAGTAGAATTCTCATTTGGATTTGAAGAGCCTATTATTTTTAGTTTCTCTTTCTCTTTTTGGAATTCTGTTTTTCTATCACCAAAATTTAATTCCCCAAACTACATATAAAGATCGCATTTCAATGGGCTGATTCAGAATCATTGATGGTACACCTGTCCCCAAAATCTTCCCCTAACACTTTGCCTCCACTCAAGGACATATTTTGCCAACTACTTAAAAAAAATTAGCCAACACAAGCACATTTCTGGCCAAGCAGGCTTCAATGTAAGGAAAGAGAAATGGGGCATATCTGTATTAAGTATATATAGAATAGAGAAAGACTATTCAGAAAACTTTTCCAAGCTTGTATTTTGACCCATTTGGGATCACAACACAAAATCTTCAGTTGAATGGGGAGGTTCAGGGGAAGAAAGATCATGTGATCATCAAATTGAATTCCCTCTACCTTCTCACCTCCTGCTCTCCTGCAGCATGGCTTATGTGATCTGCTGAAATAATGAGAGCCATTTTCACTCTCATCCATGGGTGGGATGACATACAGCCATTTAAAACTGGCCCTGTTTGAAGAAAAGTGATTCAAAAATGGGACCATTTAAACAGGTCACTGTATTTCTCAAAGGTGAAACAGTGATCAGTGTATGACATTTAATGATGTAAAAGGGGCATGAAAAAGAATTTTCTCTGGATGAAACTGGAGTTGACTCTCTTCTCGGGAGCAAGAGGGTTGAAGCCAACTGTGGATCTTGGTTCTTTTCTGTCCCCCATCACTGAGACAGCGTCTTGTGTAACTTTGTGTCTTATGCCTAGCATCCTGGAGGATTAATTCCACACTGACTGCATTTCACTGATGTTATCTTATACATTTCTTTGTTCAACTTAAGACTTCTGAAATAAGAATCCCTTTTGTAACTGAGGGTGCGGCACAGTTTAATTGGCTGAGTTTTTCCCTCTCTTATTCATACATAAAACAATGATACATCTTGCAAATGAGTGCATTTTAGTATTGACGAAATATTGTCATAGACACTTTACAAATATTGTGTGGATAAATGACTGAATGAATAGGACACCTCCTCCTGAAGTTCTCAATATTTAAGGGAACAAATGTATTTAATGACAAAGACAAGTTATAAGTTTTGCATTATTGACAAAGATACACTTTTTAAAATCCTACATGGATATATTAAAAACAAAACAAAACAACCCAAAATAACAAAGGCTGAAAGACAGGAAAAAAAGACAAGGGGTTTCTATCTCTCTTACAATAAAGGTAATAGTATAAGTAATGAAGTTGACATTTGCTATGCCAGGTACTTTCTGTGTATTTTCTTTCAGAAGTTCCAGGCATGGCAAGGTGGCTTACGCCTGTAATTCTAGCATTTTGGGAGACTGAGGTAGGCTGATCACCTGAGGTCAGGAGTTTGAGACCAGCCTGGCCAACATGGCAAAACCCCGTCTCTACTAAAAATATAAAAATTAGCCGGAGGTGGTGGTGCATGCCTGTAATCCCAGCTACTTGAAAGGCTGAGGCAGGAAAATCGCTTGAATCCAGGAGGCAGAGAGTTCAGTGGGCCAAGACTGTGCCACTGCACTCCAGCCTGGGTGACAGAGTGAGACTCTACCTCAAACAAACAAACAGACAAACAAAAAAGAAGTTCCATGTCATATAAATTATCAGTTGTTTCACAGATGAGGAAACTGAACCTTAAAGTGATTAAGTTGCTTCCTCGAGGCCCAACTAGTAACGTAAGTGTAATGAAAAAGTAAATGGTAAAAGCCGTGGTTTGAACACATATTTCTCCAACTCAGATTCTATACTACATCCTGCTGAGACTCAAGAGGAGTTCTTCTGCCAGTGATTGAATGGTGTCCATTTAATTAGGTAAGGTTGGTCATATTGGAAATTAGCATTCAGATTAGTAGTGTTTGCTGTTGTTTCAGTATCTACTACAGTAGTTTCCAAATCTTCTGGGAATCTTTAAAAAACACAGTTGCCTGGATCCCATTCCTACACATTCTGATTTCACTGGTACGGGTGTGACCTGGGCATCAGGATTTTAAAAGTTCCCCAGGTATTTCTAATGCACTACAAATTTAGAAACCACTGCTCTAGGGAGTTTTCATGTTGCCCTGCGGAAAAAGACAAATTCATTCTTGGTGGGAAATTTGCATAAGTGATCACATATAGAGCCTCTTCATCAACTTGCTATTATTCTGCCTCTTCCCTAAGTCACACATGTCATATTTTAAGAGGTTCTGTCTCTTTTTTTTTTTTTTTAAAAAAAATGCATTTATTAAGTCACTTTTAGTTCATTTTCCTGTGGACTTGCTAATGATAGCACATCAAATCAAAATAAAGGGAATTTAGTATTTTAGTTTTGCTACATAGCCTTCCCATGAGTTAACATAGACTAGTGTCTTCTCATTTTATTTACTCCTGAAATATCTTGGTCAATGTCCAGTTTTCTTGGAGAATCACCCCTACTTGATCTCGTGCTATGTAGTGGGCAAGGTGAATGGCCCCATCCTTAGGCTTAGCCTATTAGCATGTTCATCTCTGTGTCAGAGCAATTGCTTTAGGGATGGGTCCATGAACACAATGGAGGCCAGGCTTTTATTAGAACACTGGGGAAGTGTGTAGTAAAGAATTAACCTTACCCCCCAAAAAAGTCTTTTGCCCTCAGCTACTGGGAGGTGACAGCAAAACCCTTGGAATATCCCGACTGACAAAAACTTCTTCTTCTTCTTTTTTTTTTTTTTTTTTTTTTTTTTTTTTTTAACCTAGGGGCTTTGGGCCAAACTGTGCAGTCGAATAATATGATTTATGATGGGGGCTTTGGACCATGCAGTATTAGCTTGACCTCTAGAGGGACTAGAGACTAATGGTCAGCCACAAGGGTAGTCAATTATGTCTTTGTGACTGAGCCCCCAGTTAAAATTCTGGACTTGAAGACTCAGGAAAGATACCACGGTTGGCAGTGCTCTGTGTGTACTGTCACACACTGTTACTCAGAAAAGTTAGCCCTGTCCATGATTACACTGGGAGAGGACAACTGGGAACTTTGTTTTGGGAACTTTCCTGAACTCTGTTCCATGAGTATCTTCTATTGACTCATTTTAATATGTATTCTTTCACCCTAAGAAACCATAACTGCAAGTGTAAGCTTTCAGTGAGATCTGCGAGCCATTTTGGTGAATTATAAAAAATGAGAGTGATCTTAGGGACCCCAAAACTTCGCAGTTGATGTCACAAGTAAGCATGATATTGTGGATTTCCCTGACTCTGTAGGAAAAGAATCTTCTTTTCCATTGGACTTGATCTTCAGAGAACATTAAATTGGAGTTGCTGGGGGCCATCTTCATTACCACGTAGTGAAAGGCAATAGGGAAGAGAAGGTAACACGGGAGAGAAGGGTACTGTGATATTACTTGAGTCCCTGAAATCTAACATGTCTGAAGCTATTCTGGACTTCTCTGCTGTTCCAAGAGTAAAAATCTTTTTTTTTCTTAAATGTGACCTTAGTTGAGATGCTCTCATCTATAATACACTATACTACCTCATTGGGCTCTCCAAAAAATCAGTTATATGACATGATATGTGAAAGGGCTTAGTATATTGCCTTATACATAGTGAGGAGATTGAAAAATGCTTGTCATTAATTATTATTGTTGTCATTTAATTTTTAATATTTTCCTTTTACAAATTTCTTTTAAAGCTCAAGCCTAAAATTTGACAACACTGTGCAAGGTGTGGAGACACTAGGTGACTCTGTCCTGCCTCTACCTTCAGTCCTCTCACAGCCTACCGTGGCATCCGGTGGCTTACCTAAATTTCTGCACCTGTCCCTCTTAACTCCTGAGTTTCAGATACATTTGGGAGCACACTTTGGACTGTCTGTGATAAAATATGCGTATTTCCTGAAACCCAAAGTATTCTCACTGAATGTAATAAGTGGGAAATTATTTTATAGGAAATGAAAATCTAAGATTAATATTCTCCTATGCCATCTAGTCCCCCCAGGACAATTATTCACTGTACTAGAGCAAAATGAACTTGCAAAATATGGGAACTGGTTTTCTTCTCAGACTTTGGATAAATAAACTCCTGAAACTACTCAAAACCAGTTCCTGGATGCTATGCCCACCACCTCACCTCATTAAATAGGCATCAGGTCTTTTAGAACACAAAACTTCAAGGGAATTCATAGCCATTTGCTCAGAGCTAAGCGAAAAGAAAAAATAAAACATAGGTTTAAAACTAATAAATCAGTAAACAGTTATTGATCACTATTTACTGCCACTGTGGGAGGTAAGTTTCATCATGGTTGACCTCAGGGAAGCTACAATAGCCATTTATTCCCTCCTTCAGTCAACAAGTATCTACTGAATTTCTCTCCCTGTGAAGCACTCTGTGAGCTGCTAGGAAACAAAGTGCCCTCATGGACTTATAGTTTTAAAGAGCAACAAATCCCACATTTGGTTCATTCCAAGAATCACAGGAAAGCTTCATAAAAACACAGGCGTCTGAACCTTTTCTCAGGACGATTGTATAAAAAATTTCTCAGGAGAGCCAATACCTATTCTTTTAATAAGTATCCCCCATGATTGTTGTACTTCACCAACTTTGAGAACCATAGGGACAGCTAATAAAACAGATAGACATGAAACAATTGAATGGAAGGCAGTGTTTATCTGTTCAGTGACACGAGTGCTACACCAAGGAGTTAGCTGAGGGAGAGACCACTTCAGACAATGCCCCTCTTACGCCCTCCCAATTGCTACATAATCATGACCTATTCCAAGTTTATTCAAGCAGCCAAGTCAGGATGTCTCCCCAGCCTCTACCACAGATGCCTGGTGAACTTCATTCCCAGGTGCAGAGTCACCAAAGGTGAAACAAGCTGTAGCGTGTCCATGCACTGTCTCATCCTCTCATTCAGCCTCAAATACTGGTGTGGTTAAAAAATGTCTCAAAACTTCCAAAGCCATAAGCATTCTTGCCTTAAATTGCTTTTTATTCCTGCCATTTTGGGGTAGCTGTTAAATATGATGTTAGCTTACTTTTTTTTCTCCTAGGGCCATGTATTTTCAACTTTTCTTCCTAGTAATAGGAGCAGACCTCTGACAATTAAGCTGTCCCTTGATCGCCATGCCGTGATTCATTTGTTTAGAGATGTTATAAAGTGTGCTCTTGAAAGTAGAGGCTGAGCTGTGAGACAGGTCTTGGTTTGATCCCTGGCCTTGACATCTACTGTGGAGTGACTTTGAAAACTTTATTCGATCTATCTGAGCCTCAGTTTTCTAATCTATATAAAGGGAGATAGCCCATGGTGAGGCTTAAATGAGATAATGCACGTAAAGGAAATAAAACAGAATATATAGTCAACAAAGAGCAGAGATTATTACTATTATTGTTCCAATTTGCTGGCAACTAAAGGCTTAATAACTAGTTTAGGACATATGTAACCCAAGAAGCAGATTCCTCCTTCTCTACCACCCACAACATGCTCTACGCCCTCAGATCTCAGCATAGAATGTCAAAGTATGGGAAAGAGGATCAGCTCTTGCAAACAGGGCTTACGGCAAGAAAGGGTTATCTTTTTTTCCATTTCTCTGTTTCTTTTCATGCCATAGCAATTTTATTATCATAGAAACTAGAAAAAATAAATTTAAATACATTATTAGCCTAAGAGACTGTAAAACATGCTTTCTTGGTGTTCAAGCAGAAGAATGTTATCTATGGATTAGGTATCTCTTATCCAAAATGCTTGGGACTAGAAATGCTTCGAATTTCATATTTTTAAAATTTGGAGTATTTGCATTACACCCATTAAACATCCCCAATTCTAAAACCCAAAATCCAAAATGCTTCAAGGAGCATTTTCTTTGAACATCATGCTGGCGCTCAAAAAGTTTAGGATTTTGAAGTATTTTGAAATTGAAAATTTCAGATTCAGGATGCTCAACCAATATCAGCCAATTTTAAATGGGGTTTTGTATGTTAATTAGAAATAAATTGGGCAGGAGCTAGGGCAAGCACTTTGAAACATAATTTAGGGGATTATTGCACAACTATATACATGCATTAAAAATCACTAAACTGTACACTTACCATAAGTGAAATTTTGGTATGCAAATAGACCACCATAAAGAGATCTGGCAACTATATATATAAAAAAGTTAATAAACAAAGAAAGAGAGGAAGGAAGGAGGAAAGAAAGGAGGGAAAGGAGCATGAGGTCTATCCTCTGAATCAAAGTATTTATGCCTCTGTTCTGCATAGTAATATTACTCCCACAAACCCTGAAGTATCAGATCTGTGTCCTGGTAATGGAAAATACGGAGCTCCACAGGAGCCCTACAGGTTTGGTGCTTCCCGACTCCCTGTCCAACATCAACACAGAAAGCAGACCCACTCCCGGAAATAAAGAAAAATGGAGACTAGGAAAGCTGTCACTGGTTCATTTTTGTCTCCATTGAAGACCTCTCTTCTCCCTGGCTCAGTTCTCCAGGGTGCCCTAACCCTCTCTGAAATCTCCCACTTACCAAAACCTACTCTCAAATTTCTATCTGTTCAAAGGAGCAGAGATAGACAGAGCTGATAGGCTTAGAATGTCAGTCTCCCTTGGAGAAACCTTGACTGGTGGAATTTTAGGAATGCAGTGGGGGCATTCTTTACCCCTCTGTTTCCTCCCGTGTAAATGGCCATATAAGAGAAATCTGGCCCAGGCAGGCAGATTTGGTGTTCACTGTGTAAGAGGTAAAGAATTTGATAAACTCAGAGAAGTGATTGGCCAATTATTGATTTGCTACATTTCTCTGTGTGCCTGAGGCTCTTCCTAATGCCTCCTACATCAAGCATTTAGGTTTTTCTGCACTCAAGTCTCTGCTGGTATCTACCTGAAGTCAGCAACCGTCTTTGCAAATACTCATTTGATTTTCTTTGAATATACAGGGTCAACATGCCATCATTTCTAGGACTCACACAAGTTAAGATTTGGCATCTTAGGAAATACCTGCTAGTCTCATAGTGAAAGAATGAAGGTTGACAGGTGTGAACCTTGTTCAGACATCATTAGTTGCACTACAATGCACCTACACTTACTCAAGCCAACATGAGTGCTTTATCACCATGACAAGAATCAGGAAGAATTCATTTAAACCATCAGAAGATGCAATAAAGAAGCCTACTAGTAGAAGCTGCAAAGAAATATGTACACTGCCCAGTGTGTAACTGGTTTAATTTCCTCAAGCTGTGAGGAACACCTTGGGTACCCCTCAACAAAATATTCTGACATGCCTAAAGGAGGAAGATGTTCCTTTCAGGTTTCAAGCTCGATTCATTCCCATCTAAGAGGATCACACATTTTAAGGAATTAGAATGATTCCACATTATTTAGAAATGTGACCAAAATAAATTCTTTCACATTCTAGGCTCTTAGCAGGGTTATTGTACATCATCAGCTCATTTAACACTTCTAGTAACTGGTAATAGGGAAATGTACTATTACGGCTGAGTCATGGGAGGGTCCCACTTAACACATAGAAGAAATGTGTTAAGTGGGAAGAAAATATGATTAGTTTTTATCCACACTCCACATTGAGGGTTCAAAGGTTTTAAACAATGAAGCGTCCCTCACTTACTGCTATATTTTGAATGTTTGTGTCTCCACCCCAATTCATGTTGAAACTTATTTCCCAATGCTACAGTATTGAGAGGTGGGGCCTTTAAGAGGTGATTAGGCCATGAAGGCTCTGCCCTCATGAATGGATTAATGACTTCATAAAAGAGATATAAGAGAGCTGTTTGTTCCTTTTGCACTTCAGGTCTTCCACCACGTGAGGACACCTGATATGGTGCCATCTACGGGGAATGAGCCTTCATCAGATACTAAACCTGCCAGCACGCTAATCTTGGACTTTCAGTCTCCAGAAGTCTCAGAAAATAAATTTCTGTTCTTATAAATTACCCTGTGTGTGTGTGTGTGTGTGTGTGTCTGTGTGTGTGCATGTTTTGTTACAGCAACACAAATGGACTAAGACGCTTCCTGTGATCTCTCTGGTCTTACAACTGAATTACCCATTCTCTGCCTATTGGCCCCACCCAGTTCTCTAAGCCAGGCTGATGTACCCAAGTGTCATATCTCTACCAGTCCATACATACAAATCAAATATGAGCCTGCATTCTGCATTCCTGGCCATCTCTCAGGAGGCATATCCCCTGCCCCTGCCAATGTTTGGTTCTAACCTGCCTTCCTTCACTCTTGCTTCCTTGGATCTCTGGTTTCCTGTCCCCAAATTGAATTCAATTCAATTCCAACTCTTCTTGCGTCTTCTCCAACATGGGACTTTGTTTATCTGTGAATTCTTTGTACTAGCTCCATTCTCTCCATCCTGTAGCCTTCTGTTCATAGCTCCAATAATACCACTCATCTTGTCCATTGTATTTATCTGTTTAGAGGGTTGGCATTCTCCACTGACTGTTAGTTCCATTAGGATATGGAACAGGTATGATATATCTCTGTACTTTCAAGGCCTAACACTCTGCCAGGCATATGCTGGCACCAACTTATTGACCAAGGAATAAATAAACGCTGCCCCTCATAACCAGCCACCAAGAAATTTTCAAAATGTAATAAAAATAAATTATACCTTCAGCAGCCAGAAACATTTGTTTACTAATATGAAATTGCCAAAATATTCTCAGCTCGCACAGCATTGGAACACTTTGACCCTGGGGAATATATACATATATATATATATATATATATATATATATATATATATATATATTTTTTTTTTTTTTTCTTTTCAAATACATTCAAAGTATAGGGAAAAAGTACTGTACTCCTATGGTCAAAGACCTTTATTCGAAAACTGATAATTTGGAATGAGAGCGTTGTTCTTTTTTTTAAGGCAGTGGTTTTGAAACATAGAAGTGAAGTCTAGAACAAAGGAAGATCTAATAAATTCCAGAAATCAGCCTATTCATCTACTGGGACTACTGGCTATATCTTTTGCATTGTCTTCTAAAATTAGTGTGGTTCCTGAAGGGGTTTCTCTGCCAGGGAATCAAGAAAGGTTCTGGGATAATTGAAGGGACATCCAGACAAAGAGAAACTGGAGATTCAAATAGGGTAGGTGTGTTATTTTACAGTCAGCATGGCCTTGTGGAAAACACACATAAAGACAGCAGCCCTTGGCAAAGCCCACGGGGCTGCCAGCACTTGTCTGCTGATGCCCAACAGAACTGAAATTCAGTGGAAATCAAGCATCAGATTATGCATGCTGCAAGACTTGAAAACTAACATGCGGCCTAATGAGCATATTATAACTGCAGGCTCTGCTTGTTAACTGCTGAAAATATTTTCACAAGGCTTTTGGTATGGCAGGGTAATGCTAGTTAGGAAACGTCTATGCTGAAAGGGAACTCTGTGTAAGCTAGGCTTGAGCAAGTCACCTGGATAATGCGTGATTAGAAATGAATCCTATCACATCTGGTCTTGGGTGTTCCACGACAGACTTCCATTCGTTTTCTCAGAGACCTGAAGTAAACGACATCATGAAGCTTGTCAAAGAGAAGGACTATGGAGCTACTACTAGAGGGATCCAAGATGTTCCTCTCATCTGTTAAATAAAACCCAACTCAAGACTTGCCTCTAACAGGAACCAGGAAAATTCCTAGATGACATCTGTGGCATTCTGTAAGAGCCAGTTTTTCAGGGATTACTTTGTGCATAGAAACAAATGCATGCACATTGTGCAGATAAAAAGGACCTCCAGTGGATTGTCCAGCCAGATTTGTTATCCTCATATTTTCAAGGTGTAATCATATACCTTTCCTCATGTGGATCTACATACAACACTGGGTGGTAACACTGACCAAAGCCCATCAGTGATTGTCAGTTGGGGATGCTGAGCTATGACACGGGATAGTTAGCAAAACACACATGCCTAGGGCCTACCCCAGGCCTACTGAAACAGAACTTCTGGGGATGGGCCCCAGGTATCTGAATTTTGGTACAAAGCCAACATCTCCCATGAGTCTGATAACTGATGATCAAACTGTGATCATCATAGATAATGTATTTAGACTGGGGATAGACATGCCCAACACCAAGTATCCTTCTTTTGATCTTGCCTTTAGGGACCTGAAATGGTTTTTAGACCTAACTTACCACTCTTAAGGATCTGCCACAGTTTCAAGACCCTCTAAACACAGGCATGTCTGCAAGGAGAGCTGCATGAACATCTATCAGTTCACAGGTTTAGTCAGAGTGAACCTTAACACAAAGCATCTTAATTAGAGCTTTTTCTAAAAGTTAGTCCTTGTATTTCTTACAGTTTTCATTTTATCATGTACCTTTATTATTTATGTAATAGTTTTTCTTTAAGCAAATTTGATTTTCCCCTAAGTAGATGCACTTATTTTAAAAGACATTTATGTCATCACCAGAAAAGTAAAAGTATCTGCCATAAATAGAAAGCAAAGGCCAAAATAAATACAGTGAAAAGAAAGCAAGATTACAAAAACACTCAACCAGAGATGTTCTCCCTGATTTCATCTGAAGGACTAAAGAGAGTTGGAAATGGAATAACTTCTTCACCATGCGATTTGAAGTTGTTTAATGCACATTATTGTTCATTTAAAATCTCAAGTACACCCCCTCCCCTGCATTTACATACCCAGAGGAAGGCTCTGCCATTTACCCTGCTGGGAGATACAGCTGAGTGCCTCTCCAGAATATCGGGTCATAAGCCCTGCAGAGGGAGGGTTGGAGACCAGATGCATGGGTCCTGGAGCAGGAGGGCCACTATAGGGGCTTGAACATGGGAAGCCCATGCAGTCCCCTTGGATGTTACAGTTTTGTCCCAGGCCACCTGGGCGCTGACTATTCCTAACCCCATCAAAGCCTCCTGATTAGGTGTTCATGGACGGCAGTGCAGAGGTGGGGACAATTGGGCAGAAGAGAGAGAACTGTTCTTTTATTCCAGGTTTGAAGCTCATCAAGGGTAGGGTTCAGCATACTAAGTCCTTTTCTGACTGTAAAGATAAAAAGATAAAATAGCTCCCTCAACCACAGTGGAGTTTAGTGTGTCTTTGACAAGCAGCATAATTAAGATCTAGCATAAACACAGAGCCTCTGAGGACAGTAAAAGCTGACTAAATGGGAATTTGTTCTGTTTGGCTTTTCTTTCCTTTATTTAGTTTTCCTGTGGAAGTTTCACTTTGAAGCAGGGCCGGCCCTAGGCAAAAGTGCGGAGTCTGCGATCTGTTGGAATACTACGCCCGCTCTGTCTTACTCCTTTGAGTGCTTCAGCCCTACGTCAGTCAATGCCACCCACAGAAGGGGCTTTCCTCGAACTGCACAGCCCCTCTTCAGTCTACCCTGGCCCCACCAGCCTTCTTCCCTAAAGAGCAGTGTGAAATGCCTGATACTGTGCCTACCTCTACATAGTTGGAGGTTCTCGTCTTCTTCCTCTTGTCCTAATTCACCAGGAACTTGCTCTCTGCTGTGGGCTGATTGGAGTGGTGAATAGGGGGCTGGCAGTAGCTTCTTTGTTGTTTAACAAGGGCTTTTCCAAAGCAGTGACCCACTTAGAATCTTTAAATTATAGAAAGCTGATGGTGATGGGGCAGGGGAGCAGGAGGCCTTCACTTTCAGTGCTGGTAAAGCTGACATCTGTGTGGTAGGGGTGTCAAGACTCTGGCCTGCAGTTAGCTTGCGCCTGGACGTGAATCCCAGCTCTTCCACTTTCTAGCTGAGTAAACTTGAATAAATGGAAACTTAAGCATCATTCTTTCATCGGTAAAGAGGACTATCAGGATGAGTCATTGAAAAAGATTATGAAATGCACTTTGCATAGTTTCTGGAATTTAATAATCACTTACTAAAATTTCTTGTTATTATCCATATTACCAAAATGGTGCCAGAACCACCCATTGGTCAGGATGAATTAATTCAAGCACATGCAACTCTGTTGGAGTCATAAACACATTGTGTTAGATCCATGTTTTCCCCTTAAACTACTTCAAAAGATTTTTTTTTCCTGCAGCTGTCAGTCAGCAACAAGTTTTCTTTCCTTTCCTTTTCTGACAGAGTACTCATTTCTCACACATAGCATCCCTCTTCATTTCCTAGACAGTGGCCAAAAGGCAGTGATCTCAAAGGCAATGAGAGAATTAATTATAACATGAGAATCATTCTCAACCTTCAGATCTGTAATGACAGGTAAATAGTACAATTTGAAAGGAACATATTTTTTTGTCCTCAGAAATGCTTACATGTTGAAGGGGTTTCTATTTACCCACCACACACATTGCGAAAGAAATACAATGACTTACAATAGTGCTGCTATTAGCCCCACTGCCACAAACGCTTGCAGGTGCTACCATAGGAAAATGAGCATCTATCTTCCAGTTTCAAATTAGT
Source organism: Homo sapiens (assembly GCF_000001405.40). Lineage (NCBI taxonomy): Eukaryota > Metazoa > Chordata > Mammalia > Primates > Hominidae > Homo > Homo sapiens. The sequence continues at coordinate 167,797,468 of NC_000005.10, read as the reverse complement.
CCATAATGGGTAGTTTGATGAAGACATTATTTCTAAACAAGAAGTTCCCTAAATGCTAATTGCTTCTAAGAGCTGTTCAGTTAAAGGGGACAAATATTTCCGCTCATTAAAGGGGATGCCATTTAGAATGGGTCCTAGTTAATGCAAGGAAGCTTTAAGTGGGATGCCAAAAGAAAAAGGAGGTCAGGACTCCAAGGACCATGTGAAACCTCCCACACACTGAGGTGTCAGACTGAAGGGCCTTGGGATGGATCTGGCTCAAAAATCAGCAGATCTGACAACATTGAGTGCATATTTCTGCATGTCAACAATTGCTAAGTCCTCACCTCAGCAAAATGGTCAAATGACTGTCAATGTTAGGCTAAGATTACTAACAAGCAGAGATTCCACTTCCGTATTACCATTAATAACTTATCTGGATGGTATTCAAGAGGGGATTGTAACAAACTGGAGAGTGGATCCATGTTTGGCTCCTGTAGAGCATAGAGCTATGACTCCGATATTGACAATGCCATATTGACAGTATGAGGGAGGAAAGAATAAGAAAAAAAAAAAATCTATCCTCAAGGAGGACATGCCTGACTCACGCTGCATCAGGACTTTGAAAGCCAGCTAGAGAGAATTCCAGAGAGGCTACAAAAACACTTGAACATGGACAGCCCATGTTAACAGCAACTCCCAAAGGATGTGCGACTTTCATATTCTAGTTGCTATTACCAGCCTACGAAGAATGTTAAGGCAATCTCCTACGAAGAAGATATGGCATCCCTGCAGCCATGAGCCACTCCCAACTCTACAGGAGAGACAAACATTAATCAAACAATTCTGCACACGCACACACACACACACACACACGCACCCCAAATGAACTGTGATAAATGCTTTGAAAGTAAAAAAGATGCTAAGAGTGTATAAATGGGAGAATTGACTTAAGGATATCATGAAAGGCATCACTCAGGTATTAATATTAACTGAGTTCATTGCTGCGAGTTGAGTACATGAAGGTACAGAAGGAAGAGCAAGGAAGAGTAAGCAATATGTGCAAAGACCCACAGCGATTTGCAGAAACAGAGAGCAAGTCAGTGCATCTGGAACCAGAGAGCATGGAGAGAAGATTGAGTTAAAGCTGCAGAGTAGATCATGCAGCCCCTTGTAGGATTTTGGTCTTGATCCAAAGAACAATTGCATAAAAGGTGTTTTGGGTCAGAGGCAGGATAACACATGATAAGATTCTAATTGAACTGTGAAGAATATATCAAGAGGATCAAGAGTAGATATGACTAGATTAGATAGGAGGCCACCATGGTGCCAGAGGAGGAGACAAGATGGTGGTGTCAGTGGAGACAAAACCAACCCCTTTGTAAGTGCCCTTGTTTCTATCTCTCTAGTTTCTGGAGGTCACTGTTTCCTTTCCATTACTTTCTCTAGCATCCATAGTCTCCTACTTCTTTTCCCTTTGCTTTCACCAAAACCACCTACTCTGTCTTTAAAAATAGTAATAAAGTAACAAGAAGAAGAACAAAATGCATTCTTACTCATAGAGGTATCTCCACCATTTGACATCTTATTTCTCTCCTTATTTCTAAAGAAGTAATTTCTTATGCACATTGCCTCGAAGTCTTCTCAACGTTTTGAAAATCTGGCTTGTCTTCCTCACTTCAGTGACACAGTTCTCTTGACAGTCATTAGTTACCTCCCTGATTATATATGTGTGGCTACTGTTTGCCTTAATGTATACTATTTTCCTGCATTTAACAATATTGTTCACATCATTTTTTTTTGGAAATTCTTTCTTTCTTTTACTTTTGGGAGCAATGTACCTTCCTGGTGCTTCTTGTGGCTTCTCCACCTTGCATTCTCCATTGCCTTCAAGACTTTTTTCTCCCCTTTGCAATCCTCACTCTAGATTTCTACCATAGAGAGGTCCTTAGATGGGTCTTCTCTGGTCATTCCCTTGCAAAATCTAACTTAATTTAATGTGGATTTCTCCCTTAACATCTTTTCCAAAACCCATTTAGAAGCCTCAAATCACTGGGATGATAGAATAGATCTGATTTTACATATCACCATTACTGAATTCTCAGGATGTTAGGGGGAAAAGCAAGCATAAATATTATCTTTCCCCAAAACACTTTCCTGCAAAAGAGCTTCCTCATTTGTCCACCTGTACCAATCTCTATTTCTTACCTGTGTTTCCTGCACATTTTGACCACATTAATCTTTCTACAACCATACTTCAGTGAGATTACTACTTTGCTTAAAAACAAAACAAAAACACCTCCCTAAGGGTGAGGATTCTCCAGTCTGGCATTCAGGTCACTCTCTCATCTGACACCAATCCTTCCCTCAATCTCAGCTGTAATTTTCACTCATCTACCCAAATTTCAGGTAAGCTTAATGAATTGCTCTACTTAGTATCACTCATTCCTGATTTTGTTTGTAAAATAAAATTTTATTTTGGAATAATGTTAGAGTATAGAAAAGTTATAAAAATAATCCAGTGAGTTCACTAGAAACCTTCACCCAGTCTCCCCAATGTTAACCTCTTACCTAACCACAGTACATCTGTGAAAAGAAAGAAATTAATATCAGCACATTACTAGTAACTAACCTGTAGGTTTCATCAGGTTTTTCTGTCCCAGGATGCAATCCAGGAAACCATATTGCATTAGTAACGTGCTTTAAGTTCCCATTAGCATTGCTTTGCCTAAATGTCCCTTCCCTGCACCAATTATCTTTCAAGGGGACCTTGCAGCTTTTTCTTTTCCACAGTGTTTCTAACTTTGTGCCAAGAATCTGACTCCTACTCACCTTTCATGTGAAACATGTCCCCAAGACAGTTGCCTACTTCTTTCTCCTTCCTTCAAACTCTTCCAGATCTTACTCTTTATTGCATGAATTTGACCCTTGTCATATACACCCACATTAACTTCAGCAACCGGAACACAGAAGGAATCAGCAAACACCTACTGAATCATTGCCAATCATGTTGATAGCAAATGCATATTGTAAAGGAGCCATCACAAATGTAATTTTTCCCTAACATTTTCCTAGTAGAGGAATTGCTACTGATGACGTGACCCTGTTATCACCTTTCTGCCTAAGCTGCCAGGACCAAAACAATTTATTTCCCTTTCAGGTTCACCAGCAGAAGCCACAACTTTGAAGTAAACACGTGTAATTTGTCATGCCCAAAGTAAATGTTTATTTTTTCTCAAACAAGTGTTTTATTTGGCAAACGTGTACCACCTGTAGCATTTGTGTAATGTGTGTTTGTAGAGGCAGCTTTGGATTTTATCTGGGTTCTGAGTGGACTGGTGGGCGACATAGCTACTGTAATATATTCTTCAATTGAATAGGTGGATAGAAATAGAATTTAAATATTCAGGAATAATAATTGTTGGGGAAAGGAGCCCTAAGCGATATTCCTCACTGTCTATCATTTTTCTATTCTTACTTCTCAAATTTGGGGCTTATTAACATTTTTCTGATATTTCTCTCCAAGCAAGCAGAAAGGTGCATACAGAAGTGAAAGTGAAGACTAATAGAAAGTTTGCTATGCTGCAATACAATGCTTTGTACTCTAGTTGGTCATGCTTGCTTACTTCTTAGTGCTTCTTTTTTTTTCTTTTTTTTTTTTAGACAGGGTTTTGCACCCAGGCTGGAGTGCAGTGGCACAACCATGGCTCACTGCAGCCTTGACCTCTTGGGATCAAGTGATCCTCCTGCCTCAGCCTTCTGAGTAGCTGGGACTACAGGCCTGTGCCACCATGATTGGCTAATTTTTGCATTTTTTGGTGGAGACGGGGTTTCACCATGTTGCCCAGGCTGGTCTCGAACTCCTGGGCTCAAGTGATCCTCCCACCTTGGCCTCCCAAAATGCTAGGGTTACAGGCATGAGCCACTGCACCTGGCCTCTTGATGTCTCTTAAGGATAAACTATGGTTCGAGAGATAATACATTATTTACATGTGGTTTTAGCAAAAAGAAAGGGAGAAAAAGATGAAAGAATGGCTAAAGAGGTAAGTTGAAAAATAATAATATTACTATATATTTATTAAGTATTTAGCATAATCTACTAGGTATGGCTATATAATAATTGTCATTATTTTCTCCTTTAAACCTCAAAAACTCTCTTCTTCCATCCCATGAAGCTATTATTATTATAACCCATTTTTACAGATGAGAAAATAGAAGCTCAGAGATGTTAAGTCATTTGCTCAAGATCATACAGTAGGAAGTAGTGGAGTTCAGATTTGAACTTGGTTTTCTCTTGATCTCAAAGCCCAGCTTGCACTAACTACCTCAGAAGTGAAGGTGAGAATATTCATCAGAATTTAATTTAACTATGAAGGGCAAAGCTCTCTCAAGGCTTTACTAGCAAGGACAGGCTCTTTCACCCAGCCTATTTCTAAAAGCCAGTTGGAACTCATAATTTACTAATGGTCCTGGGGAATCCAGGAAGTGTTTGTACAAAAAGAAAAGATTTCCTTCCCTGGCATACTTCGTGTGTGGCAGGATGGGCAGAAGGAAGAACGAGACAAATTGGAAAGCTCAGTCAGGGACCGAAACCTCAGAGGGGCAGGCTCCTGCAGAAACCGTGAAAATGTTACTGGACCTAGAGCAAAACTCTTTTCATAACATTGCACATGCTGACACCGCTATTATCATGTAAATGCCTGTTAACAGAACAGTACCTCCTGGGGTAAAAATGAGTCACCTTTTTTTTTTTTTTTCCATTTTTCAAAAAAGGCAGTAAGACCCCCATGCAGATTTATCTGACCTCTGGTAACCGTTCCCAGGGAGCCATTATGTTCTACTGTGTGAAACACTAGCTCTGGAGGAAGTCCTTAAACTTAAGGATGTACACAACTGCTCTTTGTGGCTCCCGAGGAGCTATTATAGTCAGTGAGGTGGACAGAACACGTTGTCTTCAAGTCTCGAGCAACCCTCTGGAGCCACACGTGACGATCACATCTCCTGATGCACGCTTCTGGTTGGGATATGTTCCAAATATCTTTCCGCACCTGTGCTACAAACAATAATGGGGAAATGGGCCCTGAGCAGAAAGAATCTCCTCCCAAAATGTGCCACCAGTCTCTGCCTTCATCCTCAGGCTGTCCCAGGCTGCACAGAATGACCTGTAAGCCAAAGGCAATGGCTGATCCTGTGTAGGTTGTAATGACAACATCATGGCCATAACCATATTTTTCCTCAAAGGAAAATTGTGAGCTGGGAAGAGGCTGTAATGAAGGCTCAGGGCTGTTATGATTTACTTAAGGCATGGTTTGCAGATTTATTTGCCTAGAGGGCTTAGGAAGATCCCATAAACGAGCAAGGCCAGCTTTGTGAAATTGCAGCTGTCTTGACCTGCTTTTCACTTGTCCACTTTTGATAGAAGCATAGGAATAACAAATAGTTTACTCTCCTCTTTACCACAGGAAAAACAATACTTCAACCTTGATCTTGTAAATGGTAAGTGACACTCTTCCTCACTGCTGGAGGTGAGTAGGGATGATGAGAGAGTGGATGGAGTATGGAGAGTGGGGATGATGGCTCCCTGGAAAATGTATGTTCCATCTGAAGAGTCAACTGCCTTTGCACTCCACATGACTCTGAGACACATGGGGATGTGGCCCAGCGGTCAGGCTGTCTGATGTTTCAAGAGCAATTGGAAATCTAGATGTGTTTTGTTTTTAATTCTAGCTCACTCATTCCAAACTTTCTTAAGCACTATGTCGGTCATACAAGACAGGTTTGATTCATTAAATGATCAGAGAGGGCTGAAATCAAGACTAGATCTCTCTTCCTGATTCTTAATTGAAGAATTTGGGATCATCATACTTAGGGTTCCAATTGTTTTTCCTGTGTATTACACAACCATTATCCTCATTCATTTCTATATATATATTTATATATTATAATATATAAAAATATACATTATATATATTTATATATTATAATATATAAAAATATACATTATATATATAATAAATTATAAATATATAATCTATATAATATATTATATATAAATATATAATATATTATATATTTCATATCTATGAGAATTTACTATATGTAAAGCACTTTGCTATCCATCCTGTGGAATATTTACATATTTCAATATGTAATGTGTACCCGTATTACATTATACATAAGATACACAGATTATAAAAATACACACCTGCATACATATAAAAAATAGTTTCTGTTTCTAGGAGTTTACAATGTATGAGAGAAATCAAAAGTATACAAAAAACTGAAATATAATAGCTAAAATATCACTCAAGATCTTTTATTGAAGGCATAGTGCTTTGCTAGATAAATTCTAAGAATATTACCAAGACTCTAGGCTCACACACTTGGGGTTTACAATCCAAGCCAAATACATTCTTGTGGGCAGCTATTGAGATACAGAGAAATAGAAACCTCTGGCAGAGACATGCATGGCCATGAGATTTTTGAATCATATTCTGGGGGTTGGGGTGAAAAATGAAAGGCAAAAATATTTTTCACTGGATTACAAATAAGGAAAAATCAATGTGGTCACTGAATGCCTACTCTGCCAGTGATAGAGAAACATTTTGTATTCAATGTAGAAAGCATTTGATGGAGAAGCCTTGTTTTCAGAGAATGTTTGCCCCATAGGAATATTGCCACCTGGGGGCTTAGGGCAAAGGTCTTTGCAGGGATCCTATGCGGAGAAGGTTAGAGAAAGGAGTGCCAAAAAGTGACTTGGAAACTGAGCGCCTCCTCTTTCCACAACGTCATGTCTCTGTTGGAATCTATGTTGCTAATAATATTGGTTCCCACAGAAATGGTGCAAGATGGCGGAGGCACCTCTGGGACTGAGGGGTGACGAGAACAGTTCCCTGTTTTATAATCTGAAGGGTCCAGGCACTGCAACGTTTATGTTTCTAGGTTTGCTTTTCGGCATGGACTATCTGAAAGCCCATTATTCCTCTCTCTATTTTCGTTCCTCTGTGTTAAAAAATGATGTTCTGGCAGTTGGAGAAGGCAAGCGTGTGCATTTTCTAAGTAGGAATCATGCAGAGTCGAACATCGCTTTACCCAAATAAAACTTTTGCTTTCAGACTTTCAGTGGGCATGTTCCTTTTTTTAGCTTAAAAATTTTCTGGTCTGTATTAACAGCTTCTTTCACCAGCTTAGTCTCTCCCATTTTGCCAGCTGTGGACTCAGCCAGTGTGATTTCTTTTGTGCCCTGCTTTAAACAGTCTTAGAAACAGACCGTATTCTGCCATCAATCCATGCAGAGAAATCGCACTGACACGAACGGAAGCTCTGTGCAGGAATCAAAGCCGGGGCATGGCTCCATCATATCTTTAAAAAAAAAAGTCTGCTTTTTATTTTGTCTGTTAATAACAAAAAGTACACTCAAAGAACTGAGATAGAGGTTAAATCAAGAAACCAGGCAATGGGAAACTCAACTGTCTTGATGTCATTTCTTTATCTGTAAACTCTAATGGGATCTAGTCCTGTTTAAAATGGTAAAGTATGAAAATTGTATAATGACAATAAAAACGATGCTGGTTAACATTTATTAAGTACATATTATGTCTCCAGCACTGTGCTGAGTACTATTTTTAAATAATAACCTGCTAGAGAAGGAGCTCTTATTAAAGTCCCATTTCATTCTGCTGGTAAGCTGAGCCAGGATTTGAATTAAGGCAGTCTGACTGCAGACAGCATATTCTTAACTACTTCTCTAAACTACCTTTAGTACCAAAGAATATTGTTGGCTCTGAAAATAAACAAATGAAAGCACATACTAAGATGGTTTATGAGAGAAAGCGGGCTGGAATCTAAACAACACGATCAAAGCAGCAGCAAAGAAAACCAACCCAAATGACTTTATGTGGATGCTATAATAATCATTAAGCACAGGACATTCAAAGTGTCCAACCAACCTGGAAGAGGACAGACCCATGGACCAGGAGCAGCCAAACTTGGCTGGGCGATCCAGAGAAGAAATGTTGGAATCCACTCCTTCCACCTGTCCAGGATTACCTCTGGCTCCTCATCCATTCAAGTCGAGGAATGAAGTGAGTTTAACTTTGTAAATAGGCCAGCAATTGGGATGAGGGTGAAGCAGCCACTGACCTACGACTAGTTCTGGCTTCCCACAATGGGTAGCTCTTACTTGGGAGTTCTCTGGTCAGGGGCTATTAGGGTTACATTACCCTACTTTTACTTCCATATCAGACAAGTTGGACAGAGACCAGGAAAAGAAAAATATGGATTTCAAGTGGTTGCAAATTTTTGTCTAGAAATTATTTTCGAGGCCTAGCCTGATTATCTGTTAGTTTTTTTATTGATACCTTTGTTCAATTAGAAAACATTTATGAACCAGGTACTATGCTGTGCATTGGAGGCAATGCTAAGTAAGACACAGTGGTTCTTCTCAAGATGCCCGTAGATTCGTAGATCACAGGACGTGTAGTAGATCTAGTGGGGTAGAGCTGCAGCAGGTATGATCAGCTTGACCCACAAAGATTTTGTAATTCCTACCTGTCATTTTGAAGAGTTGCTATTAGGACTCACTTTCCTAGTACCTGCATCTAGGAAGGGCTACTTGACCATTAATGGAAAGGAGTGACGTAAGTCACTTCTTGGCTCAGTAATCGAGAAACAAGGGTGACTTTGCCATGGCTGAATGGAGAGGAAGCTGATGATCTAAGGAAGAGCCCTAAATAATAAGAAAGAAGACTGGACCTTTGGCCATTGGACCATAGTGAGCGTGAGAGACACTATGTCACTGGAAATCTAAGTTTTTCTGTTACCACAGCTTGCATTGCCTTAATTAATACATGATCTATAAGAAAAGTGTTGTTGAAGACCCGTTATGTGATGAGTTTTACCTCTTTGACTCTCAGAGGACTGAAATATTTTCCTTATTTCTGAGATCTTCTTTGGCATTTCACTGTGGCTTGTATATGCTGCCAACAATTACTAATGACACTTTCATCACAATAATGAGTTGTAAATCAGGTGGTTTTTTCTTTATGCAATAGATTTAATTGAAGAAATGTTTTCACAGATTCCTTTACTGTCAATTAATCTATGCATCCCATGTTTTAAGGAATTTTGTAATTTAAATAATCCTTGCGAGTAAATCAAGTTAAGGAAGAGAAAAGCAATACTAGGAGCTAGCAACTGTGCTGAGACCATTTTCTGTATCATATGCTTTCAATTAATCCTCAAAAAAATCCTATGAAGGAGGGGACTGGAGTAAGGCAATTGGCCCAAAGTCATACAAAGTCATTCAATAACAATCAGGATCTGAACCCATTTTCTGATGTCAAAAGTAGGGCCTCTAACAGCTATGCATGTGTCTTCTCAAATAGTGTAGTAAATAAAAACAGTCCTACCCACTTGGAAAACAGAAAATTCCTTGGGCCACCCATCCACCACTAATTGCCATGGTAAAATAAAAAGAATTAAGCAAAAACTTAATAGCTGTTATTTTTAAAGGCATATCAAGGACAAAAGAGAAGTAACATGAAGCATTAGAAACAGCATTCATTTGAAATTAAAGATCTATGCTATGATCTCAGCTCTACCACAGCGGTGGTGGGCAAGTGAACTCTCATCTACCACCTTCTACCTTCACCAACAATCCTCTAGTTTTCCTTTAGCGGGGCAACTCACTCACACTCCCAACCCATGTGGTTCCCGAGGGTTGTCTCCATTCCCACCTGCACAGGTGAACACCTGATTCCACCATGGCCAAACAAAGCATGGTACTTCTCTGGCCACAGAGGACAGGGACAGCCATGATATGTAGGCTAGGTCAAAAAGATCTAATAAGACTCAGTGACAGGGTGTTTGTTGGAATCACTGGAAAAGGAAAGCCTTTTCTCTGCTGAGATTGATAGAACATAGGATGGATGCCAGGAGCTTCCAGGTGGGAAATGCAGGCCCTGAACAAAGTGAGAAGGGAAAGCATGATAGATATCCATCCTGTTTCTACATGGAGTCAAAGAATGTAAACTTCCTTGAGTAGAAGGAAGCCCCGGTCATGAAGCTCTGGATTCAGCCAGGCCTGGACCTTTCTATCATTTTTTTGAGGTTAAGTCAGAATTCTTTCATTTGCAATTGTACAAGTACTGAGCAGTAAAATAACTTCATTACTTGCTAAGTGATTTTCACAAAAAGAATGTAAGTATCAATGCCTTTAGAAAAATTAGTATGGAAAACTTAAAAATGTAAGACCAACAAAAGAAGTGCTCTGATGGAGATCAGGCCTTGGCCTCATGATCTACACTTTGGATTCTCCCAGTCCCCCCATCTCCTGAGTGTGGAATCTCATGGCTCCTTGGAACACAGTTTAGAACCTTGAACAGCAGCAGATGCTCCTTATTTGCCCCCTGGGGATAATCATCTCTGCTTTGCAAGATTGTTGTATGAATAAAATAAAGCATGTTGTCAAGTGTCTGGTATTTAAGTGCTTAATACCTAGCAAAGTGACTAGTATTTTACTAAGTGCTTAGTAACATATGTTAAAGAAGAGTGAAGAAAAGTGGAGAAACCTAGAATTCTATAACGGGTTAACTTTTTGCATTTGAGTCATAGAAAGTTGTATTAATTCCCAGTGTGTGTCTTCTGATAGGTTTGGGGAGCTCTGAGATGTGGCCCAACAAAGTCCAAACCCCTATGTGCTAAGTTAAAGCTCCTGGGTGGTAAAGACAGGCTCTGAACAAACAGAGTGTGAAGTGGAAGCATGACTGGTAATTATTGCTTTTGGCTGCCTGATTCCCATCCCCTTTTTTGGACCAAGGTCTCAATCTTTTCTCCTTATTTCCAGGCCAGGAGGTTCAGTGGGGAGTTTCCACAGCCTGGTCAGTTTATTCCTTTCTCCTGGCCACAGCCAGTGGTTTAGGAAAGGGCACATGACCTAAGTTATTCAATGAGATTCAATCTTAGGAGTGTGTTGTTTGTATCCATTAAGAAAGAGAAGCTCTAGGACAATTTGGTTGGGTTTTTAAACAGGTACATATGTAAGTCTAGGCATACTGGAACTTATCTTGTCATTACAATGGAGGGTCTTCTTAAGAACAAGGCCGAGAGAGAAAACTGAGCTAAGAGATGAACATAGGTCCAGTCACTCTGTTAGCTAGAATTGTCTTATTCTTCTCAGTCATGAGGTAATGAATTCACCTTTAATTTTTGCCAAAGCCAGCTGGAGTTCAGCCTCTGCCATTTGTGAGAGAGAGAATCCTGTCTAATAGTGTAAACAATAGCATTCTGCAGAGGCTTGGTACCTGAGGCATTAGAGGCTGGTTTTCCAAAACTAGAAGTTGAACTCTAAGCATGGCATTTGGTCATGGCGTCAGAGACAGAAAAAAAAATGTGAAAAGATTGGGAAATTCTGAGTGTGACACATTGGGTAAGGAGGTTTAATTTCTCATGTTTTGAGTTTCTTCTGTAAAATGATGAGTAGTATTAATTCAGGGACCACAAATAGCAGGTTTTAGGATAAAGATGACCCATAAATATGTTTCATTTGGCTATTTTTCCCCCACCCCACTCATGCTTTATAACACAAAGTAAGTAGGCAGGTGCTATCCTGAGGGATGGACAGAAATTATTTAACACTTACTGTCTCACACCAACCTACATGGTACTTGTGGACATTTGAGCTTGCTGTCCCTTGTCTAATGCTCTCTTAGGAAATGTCAGCACCACTGCTCAACATTCTACCTCTGATTTGCCAGTTTCTAAAGTCTGAATTTGTAAATTTATTTTGGCAGTTTATTATGGCAGAGCAGACCTGAAGAGGGACAAACTACAGGCTAACACACCTGCCTACTTGAACTACCATCTGGACCCTATGAAGTTCCTATCCTGGGGATTACTCTATTGATGAAGGGATTGTGCATACATTCAAGACATGGATGATAGTGAAGCATCCCATGGGTCCTGTTTCTCAGCGATCAATCCATCTGATTTCTCTACTGCTTCCCCTTTTCCTGCAGGACTAGAAATCAATTGTGTGTTAGCTACTCTCTAGGTCTGAATCCAGGGAGCCTTGGAATTGAAATGCATATTGTTTCATTAGCTACATGAGCAAGGAGGAAAAAAAAGGGAAGAAAGAAACTTCCTTAAAACAGCTTCCCCAAATGAAATGCATATTAATAGATCATTGATTCATCTTCCTGTGGCACTGAGGAAAAAGGGAAGAAATAAAGAAAATACAGTGACCACATTAAATCACATCACGTGATATCCAGAAATGAGAGTGTGCTAGGATAAAACAGGATAGGCGAATGAGAGAGAAAAACTCTACAAGTACATCAAATCTCTATACATACATGCCTTGGCAGACTGTGTAGTAGGAAAAAAAGAAATTCTGTCTATTTTAAGAATTAGAAATGTAAAAAATTTTCCTCTTAGTTCACTTTGGCTCAGAATGCCATGCAGGGCTGCATTAATGAAGATTAAGCATATTTAGAGAGAATAATTCAAAAAAAAAAACCTTAATTCAACAGGATATAGATGAATTCCCAGATTTATTGAAATCATTTGGAGTTGAATAAATTAAGTAGGAGTCACAAATCATTTGTCACTGGTATTTTTGATTCTCTACCTTAAATTGAAACCCAAATAACACAAACTCTTAATTCTGTGTGAGGTTCTGATGAGATACGGGTACACATTTTGATATATCTTTCCAATGGATGACATTCCTTTTAACCTTTTTTTCACCTCTTTTTGGAACAAAAGAATTACAATGACAAATGCAAATGTGTGAATTCTTATAGTCACTGGCTGGCTGACAGGAAAACATGGTTTTATATACCTGGCACCCAAAAGTCACATAACTCATTATCCTGGAGAAGGTTAAAAGCAGGTGAGCAGAGACTACTAGGAATGTAAACACCCAGAAGGCAGGAACTATATTATCTTTCCGCTTACGCCTGTATGTGTGATCACAATTAAGGTTCATATGACTGTAGTATGCTACTTAGCCTAAAATGAAAGGGGGATGATTTCTATAAAAACCATTATTCCTGCTTTAAATAATTTAATCACAGAAGAGGAGGAAGAGGAGAAGCAGCAGCAAGCATTGAGCTTTCACTACATACATTCTATGGACTAGGCTCTGTGTTAATCATATTCACACACATTGTTCTGTTTATTTCTTTACCCCCCAAAACAACAAAACCCCTTCAGGGCATCACTATTTGTTTCCCCATTTTACAAAAGTGAAAACTGAAGCTGCAGAGATTAAGCAATTTTTCCAAAGTCTAAAAACTCATTAATGACAAAGTCAGAAGTTGAATTAGACAGTGACTCTAGCACCCATGCTTACAACTGTTGCTGCAACGATGACACTGCTGGGTCCCTGTCCATTTTTCTCAATTAAATTAAACCTAATTTCATTGCAAAAAATTTCACAAGGTTATCAATAGATGGACCATTTAGCTTTGCCTCCTGCTTGGCTCAGTGACTTCCAAGCATCCCTCAATCTCCCTCTTATTTAGTCACAAACATTGACTGATACTCCATATATTCCAGATTAGTATTTGGGGTACACTGCACCTCTAAGCTTGACCAAGGCCCTGGTCAAGTCCCCCCGGGGGACTTCTTGCCACCTTGGGGTGCTCCCCTGGGGAGAGACACGCACCCTGGGAGGGAGCCCAGGGCTCCCACACCATCTGTGTGATTCCTCAGCAGGACCAAGCGATTTGCTGGTAGGCAAAGAACCCTTCAGATACTGGCTGATGGTTTCGTAATGCTAAAAACAACACAATGATTTGGAAGCTTGCCTCTACTAGTTCTCAGAAGGCCAGCAGCATCTCCATAAGGTCAGTATAGAGGAAGAGGCTGGGCTAATGAACAGAGGAGCTGCTTTGGCATCCGCGGAGCTGAAGAGCAGCTGTACTTCTTCCCTGTCTTAAGTGCACACTGCCGTGGCATCTAACTGCATTAACGAGTTTCCTGGGGATTGCAACTGGTGCTGTAGAGGGCTTGTTAAACTGGGGTTCAGAAACCCTTCCTTCTGAAATATTGTACTCTGGTTCCCAATGGTGAGCTCTGCCGCCAGTGCCATGTGGGTCTGCCCTGCAGCATCCAGTGATCATCCACAAACACGGCTCACTCCTGCCCCTCACTGCCCAGGCCTGGCCCTTACCATCTCCCAGATGAACATGACCCCTTCTCCTTGGACTTGCTAGGTGGGCTGAACCCGGTGTGTGCTGCTGAACACAACCCTCCTGGGGGAAGGAGGAAAAAAGACACAAACAAAAACAAAAGACAGAAAAAAAAAAAAAACCTGTTTCTAGTTGAAGCCAATCAATGTTTCATCTTCCACAGTGAGAACAAGGACCTGAGCTTTCACTCAAATTCAGATGCACTGTGCTTTAAAAATTAAGCAACCCCTTCCCCACTTTTAAGTGGCAGAAGCAGCAAGTTGCCAGACGATTGTAGAAAATATCAAGCCAAGTGGAGGCATGCACCTGATTATTAGAAATAAGGCTGAGGAAAGCCACTGCTTCTAGATTGGGGACTTTTGTTGTCCAGCAATAACCTGGCTGCTGAGCTGGGCGAGCAGGCCTGTGTTCATGGAGTCTGACAGCTGCCTGATAGTCTCACCTACATTTGCTTTTTAATCCAAAGCAGCCTTCCCATAATGTTCATTTCTTTCCTGCCAGCACTCTTTTAAGCTGAGGTGGGGAAAATTAAAAGCTACTAATTCCTTGGTGAAAAGATCAAAAAAGTACCCAAAAGGCAGCTAAGGGGACTTTTTGTCTCTTTAATTGCTCTCTTTTCTGTTTGACTGCTCCCTTGTAATTTTTTTGTTTTTACATCTTTTGCTCCAAGTGCCAAAAACCTCCCTTCTCTTGCATTTACAATAAAGCCGGTTGAAGGACAGTGTGACGCAAAGAGCTGAACTTGGAAATGATCTCAATGACTTGACTGAGGGATGGTGAGAGCATCTTCCCATCTCACCTTCCCAGGGCTGCACATGGGGCATCTTTATAAAACAAGAGGGAGCCAGCTTGCTTGGGCCATCTAAAGCAGGATTTGCTTTAGAGGCCAAGTTTGATGAACAATGAGCTCTATTATTAACAGTAACTCAGAAGCCAACTTTTATTTTCTTTTTAATTTTTTTTTTTTTTTTTTTTTTTTTTGAGACAGAGTTTTGCTCTTGTTGCCCAGGCTGGAGTGCAGTGGCACGATCTTGGCTCACCGCAACCTCTACCTCCTGGGTTCAAGGGATTCTCCTGCCTCAGCCTCCCGAGTAGCTGGGATTACAGGCATGCGCTACCATGCCCAGCTAATTTTATATTTTAAGTAGAGACTGGGTTTCTCCATGTTGGTCAGGCTGGTCTCGAACTCCCAACCTCAGGTGATTCACCCGCCTTATCCTCCCAAAGTGCTGGGATTACAGGTGTGAGCCACTGTGCCCAGCCTATTTTTATTTTTTTATTTATTTTGGACACAGGGTCTCATTCTGTCACCCAGACTGGAGTGCAACGATGCAATCATGGCTCATGCACCTTGACCTCCCATGCTCAATTGATTCACCTGCCTCAGCCTCCCAAGTAGCTAGGTGTGCCCCTTCACACCCAGCTAAGTTTTGTATGTTTGGTAGGGACAGGGTTTTGTCATGTTGTCCAGACTGGTCTTGAACTCCTGGACTCAAGCCATCTGGCCTCCCAAAGTGCTGGGATTATAGGTGTGAGCCACCACGACCAGCCCAACTTTTAATTCTAAGGAAACTTAGGGCCAATGCAGGAAACTCCTAATCTTTTCTGTGATTTTCATAAATTCTAAACTCTACGAGGCCTATAGCCTGAGTTTAGAATGGCCACATACTCACCTGATCACTTTCATTTATTCTTTCTTTTCTCAGCAAACGAAGTCACATTACCTCTGTTAAACTCGCTCTCAGCTATAGGGCTAGACTCTAAGGAGGCAGTAAGTAAGAAAGGAGAAGAATGAATGCTCTCTCCAATCCCAGGGATCATAAGCTTATTTCTTGCCTACTTCCTTCACATATTATTTTGGCTTTAATACTGTAGTACCTTTATTATTATTTACTTAATATTTTTTCTTTGTATTAACACATTTTGCTCCAATAAAGGTATTTGGAAATTTTGCATCACTATTTTGTAACATGGAATTTACAAGACCTTGTCTCTATGTCTTAGGGCCTAGGCTGGAGTGCAGTGTTGCAATCATAGCTTCCTGCAAATTTGACCACCCAGGCTTAAGCCATCCTTTTACCTCAGCCTCCCAAGTAGCTGTAACTACAGGTGCATGCCACCACACCCAGCTAACATGTGCATTTTTTGTAAAGATGGTGGTTCACCATGTTGCCCAGACTGGTCTTGAACTCCTGAGCTTAAATGATCCTCCCACCTCAGCCCCCCAAAGTGCTTGGATTACAAGCGTGAGCCACCGCAGCAGGCCTGTAACATAGGGACATTTTAAGTGCTATTTGTGATATAAATAGAAGGTAACAGCAAGAACAAATAATAAAAATGTCAAAAAAACAAATAAATAAGTGGAAACAAAAGTGTTGACAAATTCTTACAAAAATACTATTGCCAGTGTGTTATGTAAGTGTAGTTGGGTCTCAGTATTTGCAGTAATTATGTTTTACAATGTCAGCAAGGGTGAACACTGAATTAGAGAATACTGAATCATTGCTCCTAGAGGAAACACAGAGTTAGGTGCCTGTGAGTCTCTGGGCACAACATTTTTATCAATTAATTATTACATAGCTTTGTTGTATGTGAGCTTCTGTTTAAAGACACCATATTTAATATGCAATGCTGATTCATTAACAGTGAACTCATGGCCAGCAGCACTGCAACTCAGGCCTGAACGAAACTCATCCAACACATGTATTTCCTCTGTAAGGCACATCATGGCTTTCTTGTGCTTAGGATCACCAGACAGCACTCAAGCAATATGCTCAGGGGCCATTTTAAACAGCAAAATCACCAACAAAAAGTACACAAATGTGGGAAAAATGGCACTAAATAGGCCGTGAAAGGACACTTGTTTACGATATGAGAGCTGACACAATAAGGCAGAGTGTTGCCTTGTTTGGCTCCAGCTGGGACTGTGCACGTTGGGCAACTCAAGATTTTTACCGCTCTGTGCATGCCTGCAAATGACTGTGAGAGCACTGCGGGTTTTGATTTCAGGTTACAAATAAATTTAAGTGAGTTGGCAAATTAGCAAGTAGGGGATCCAAGAATCACAAGGATCGACTGTTATGAAGTAAGACATGCTAGGATCAAATAGAGGCTTTCTCCTTGACAAAGTAAGAAGAGCTGATAGAGTGTAATCAGTGAAAAACATTTGTGCTGTGTGATTCAGTGCTTCTTAATGCCAAGTGTGTAAACCACCTAGAGTCACCCGGAGTGTCACCAGTGTTGTTTATTCCATGCTTTGGGAACTTCTCCCTTCTCTCTACAAATTTGGGATATTTAAGATTTGCCATGAGGCAACTGGAACTTGATCGTGGCCTTATTAGAACATTTGGTACATTGAAAAATGGCTCAACACTGTTCGTGGCCAAATGTAACAGTGGCTGTGTTTCCTTCCTCCCTCCCCACTACCCAGCTCCAGCTGGTTGTAGCCTTCTCTAAAGTTGTGCTGGGAACAGGACAGAATTTGTCAGCAGTATCCATAGGAGATGATTGCAATGCCAGGGCTTATCTAAAATGTTACAGAAAGCCTTTCTCTCTGAGACTTGTTTGTTCTGGTATGTTACTTGATTCAAACACGAAGAGGGGAGCCACTGACTGATACATATCCTAAAACTCAGTTATTTAAGTAGTTTTGCCTTAGATAATGTGATTCTAAGTTAGTGAGTGCCAAGACTACAAACGAAGGACAGACCCTAATAAAGTCATGTGTATAGGACAATATGAAGTAACATGTTCTCATTTCTCACCCCACGTAATTTTGTGAAATTTTAGACACCATAGAAGTGCATTTTGGGATCTCACAATGAATGGTCAAGGTGACTGAGGATCCTCCACCACTCCTCTCACCTAACCCCATTGAAATCTAGAGAGGTTCTTGGTTGGTAGGACAATAAATATATCTTCTAATACTATCTCTGTTGTTTGGTTGCTTCTTGGTTGCAGTCGCTAAAGACTTTTTGTCAATGGAGGCTGGAGTAATGAACAGCCTGTGATGGGTCCCTGTTGCCCAACACACTAGGCCTAAAATACCTTTGTGGCTGTTGGGAAAGGTCTTCACATTAGTCCCTACTTACAACATGCAGCACAAAACACCCTCCAGGAAGGAGGCAGAGCTACCGCTCACCACTGCTGGCCCGCTTGGTGTTTTAGAGGTTGTGTGCTGAGAATACTTTTCTTTTCACTTTATGTTTAGAATGAAAAGTTTCTTCCTTCCACCTCATTGCCATCATGATGTTCTGTACCACAATAAAGGACTCTAAAGAAACTCTGAACTCTGGGTGACAGCCTGATATGCGTTAATGCTGCTTACACCATTAGCCAAGGGCTAAGTAGAGAGCAAGTCAGATCAGACGTTGACAACTGGCAAGGTAAGATCTTACCATTATAGAAGGCATCCTGATGAAGTAAGATAGTTTTCAGATTGCTTCCCCAAACTAAATCTTGTGCAGTCACACACACACACATGACTTTCAAAGAAAGGCATCATAAGCCTATTCTACATTTTCACCCAGATTAAGTATCCCATTTTGTAGTTATCATTTTAATTCCTTTTGTAGGAAAAATTGTGCTATACTGCTAACAATGATAAATTTTGCTGTTGACTATATACTATTGTGCTTATTCCTAGGGAAAAAAACCCAAGTGTTTTCTTCGTGAGACTGTGGGAAATCATTCTTATAAGGATTAAAGGACTATATGAAATTCAATTTTCTATCCCCTCCCACTAACACTCTTGCTGAAACCCTATTTTCTCACAACCATATGACTCTAGCAGGTACCGAGTTACTCTCCAGTTACAGGTTTACAATCCCTGTGCATACCACTGTCAGATAATCTCCTTTAAGCCATGCTCTGTATTTGTCCTGTTCAACACTCTGTAATGGCTCAGTGCCCAACACACTAGACCTAAAATACTTTTGTTGCTGTCAAGAAAGGTCTTCATATTAGTTCCTACCCTACTTGGCCAAACTTTTTCTTCTTTCAGAACACTTCTCCTCCACATAAATGGCTCTTGTTGGTTTCAGCAGAATCCATGCATCCATGATGTGGATTCATATCTCAGGGTTTTCTTTCCTCCCACCTCTTCAAATCTTCTTTAGCTCACCAAGCTTTCTCTTTTTACTGTAGCCTACAAGGAGACTACCTTGATGGATCCCTTGCAGCAGGGGCCAGCACATTTTTTCTATAAAAGGCTAGATAGCAAATATTTTACCCTTTGCAGTCCATGTGGTGCAACTACTCAACTCTGTCCACTGTGGCAGCAAGGAAGCAGCCAGGACCAGCCAAGAAATGAATGGCAGGGCTATGTTCCAAGAAAACATTATTTACAAAAACAGGCAACTGGTGGTTAGATGGCTCATGGACTATAATTTTCCAACCCCTATCCCACAGAATTCGGACAAGCACACACATGCTGTTACTTAATAATTTACTTACTTGCATTTTTTTTTCTGTGAATGACATGAAGAGCTAAGCTTTGGCTCACTGTTTAGAAATTAAGCCCCTTTTCTGACATAAGAAAAATAATACTAAACAAGACCTAGCTAACATATAAGCACTTAACATATCACATGCTCTTCTAAGATTTTTATGTGCTTTATTTGATCTTCACAACAACCCTGGCTGTTAGGCACTGTTACTGTTATCTCTATTTTGCAGTTATACAAACGGGGACACTATAGAGAATTTCAAGGGAACTTTCTCAAAATCACACATGTAAAACGTGCCAGGGCTGAGATTCAAGGCCAGGGAACCCAAATACAAAGAGAGCATTGCTAACAAATATGTCGTACCACCTCCCAAACACTGATTGGATCAAATAGCACAGTGCTAGGCACATTACATCTTTTATTTCTAATACTTATTTATTAAAAAATAAATTAATTAAATGAATAATTTGCTTTTGAAAGTATACTTATTCATTGTATGAATTTAAATAATATAGGAAAAGAGAAAAAGAATACAAATCCATCATAATTTCCCCTTCCAGAGATAAGCACTATCAACATTGAGATTCCATTCTTTCCATCACTGTCTTCTCTCTCCTTTGCTAATATACACACCCAAAGCTGCCTCAGTGGACTTTCATTTGGTTGACTTAGATTAGCTCACACTCTCTGTCTCCTCTGTAAAACATATAAACATATGCATAGCATGCAGCTTGTAGGCCAGTCTTTAATAACCCTCCCCCTTCTACTCCTGTAAATTGTGTTTATTCTCAAACTTATTTATGCCAGTTTTGTTTTAATCTAATTTCACAATTCAGTTAAATATAGCATGAACTCATAAAATAGTGTAAAAACAAAGTGTTTTCTTAAGTTCAGTCTTTTGAAAAACATTCAATGCATGCAAATTGCTACAAACAATGCTGTCAAATTAGGTATGGATACAACTGGAAAAAAATGATGGGGAACATGTAAACATCTAGAAGGAGTCAGGATTCAGACTTCTTTGTAAGCCTTTTAATTTCTTGCTCTATTTTAAAGAACCGAAATAGAAAATCATAGATGCTGCCTAATGGGAGTGGTTTATGCAAGAAAGAAACAATCCCACACTCAAAGAGAAAGGTTGGCCCTGCCCCTTAAGATCAGTGTAGCATAAGGTTAATGAAAAATATATATATATATATATATATAGATACATATATATGGTTTTTTTTTTTTTTTTTTTTTTTTTTTTTTTTTCAGACAGGGTCTCATCTGCTGCCCAAGCTGGAGTGCAGTGGTGCGACCATGGCTAACTGCAGCCTTGACCTCCCAGGCCCAAGCAATCTTCCCACTTCAGACCCCAAGTAGCTGGGACTACAGGCATACGCCACCACGCTCAGCTAATTTTTGTATTTTTGTAGAGATGGGGTCTCGCCTTGCTGCCCAGGCTGGTCTCGAACTCCTGGACTCAAGCAATCCACCTGCCTTGGCCTCCCAAAGCGCTGGGATTACAGGCATGAGCCACCATGCCTGGCCTATTTTTCTATATTTAAGTTAAAACATTTGATATATATAGTCTGAATTTTATGACTCCTTGCTTTACTTTTTTAGTCCAACCATCACTTGATTTAGTCATATAGGATAAGAATGCTTCTCTTCTGTGTGTGTGTGTGTGTGTGTGTGTGTGTGGATTTTTTTTTCCTTTCACAGGACCACAATCATAATTCATATATTATTTTGTAAGCTTCTTTCACTTAACAATATATTTAGGAATTCTTTTTAATGCCATTAAATATTCTTCACAAATATTTATTCCTCCAAATTATTTTAATTGTAGATGTCATATTTAACCAACCCTCTTTGTTTTACATTTAGAATTTCCCATCTCTGCTCTTGAAAATGGTTCAAAATAATATTTATTTACTCAATAAACAGTCACTGAGCACCTATGTAGCTGCCAGTCACCATGATACAATTAACATTCATTTAAACATAATTTTGCACACTGTTTCTCTGGATAAATTCCTAGAAATAAACCTGCTGGGTCTAAGGTAACAGAATTTTAAACTACATCTGACTACACTGCATTGTATTCACTTGTATATGCCTGTTTCTCTCCCAGTCTCTGAGAATAGGGACCATGTCTTGTTTATTTTTTTTTTAATCCGAGAACACTGAACACAGAATGTGCCCAGAGTAGGTACTCAGAAAATGTTTATTGAATCTTGAATAATGAACAGTCCTTGACTGAAGTACTTATTTACTAGAATTACAGATTTTTTTCCTAAACACTTCTAGTAAAGTCAATTAAAAATTATAACTGGTGTTTGTCACAGAAGGCAGAATAAGAGTCAACACCCAAAAGTGAGTCCTGCTTTTGTCAGGAAGCTGAGGGCCCCAGTTAAACCTAGTTCTGCATTACCAGCAGTTTGGAGACTTATTTATCTGTACAAAATCTCATGATATTTTTTTCCAACTGTGATGGGAAATTCTTAAGAGAGAAATTCCATCCGACAAGGGCCACACAACCTGGTTTCCTCCTGCTTACTGGTTTCAAGGTGGTCTTGTAAGACCTCACACCCTGGCCAGGCACAGTGGCTCATGCCTGTAATCCCAGCACTTTGGGAGGCCGAGGCGGGCAGATCACCTGAGGTTGGGAGTTCCAGACCAGCCTGGCCAACATGGAGAAACCCCGTCTCTACTAAAAATACAAAATTAGCTGGGTGTGGTGGTGCACGCCTGTAATCCAGCAACTTGAGAGGCTGAGTCAGGAGAACTGCTTGAACTCGGGAGGTGGAGGTTGCGGTGAGCCGAGATTGCGCCATTGCACTCCAGCCTGGGCAACAAGAGTGAAACTCCATCTCAAAAACAATAAAAATAAAAAAAAATCTCACACCCAAATAAGCCCCAGTGCATACCTTGGACAACTTGCAAATTGGGCAACACTCACTGTCTTAACAGATGCACTGGGGGGAAACTATCATGGACATAGACAGTTTTAAGGATATGTTTTGAGAATTATTTCAGAGAAACCCATGGGCATGGGGACTCAGGCTTGCTGCTGACAGTCCTCGAAATTCCTACTCATCCACCATTATGCACAGAATCCACTGGTATGGCATTTCTGAGACTTTTGTCATCCCCTCTTGACCTAGTGATTGGATATTACCTATAGTTTCTTCTCATTAACTTGGAATTCTCAAATTCCATTTAATAAACCATCTTAGGCAACCCAGGGGTATCCATGTATGAATTAAATGGATGTTCATCTATTAGATATTTGTGTACCTTTTCTAGAGCTGACTATAAGAAAGACTCTCCCTAATGTAGCTGTTGAGATGATACATGGTGAGATGAAAAGGATAGTCCGATTAGCACCTGGGTCAATGCATCCACGTCTAGGTCTAAAGAAGACCATGGAGTAAGGGTAGGTGGCCAGATCCTTGGACTAATTTGGCAATGCAAGTAAACTCTAAGGGGTGTTAACTGTGATCTTGAGCATTGTCAGATAGATAGGCATACATCATATTTTATCTCAAGAAGCTGCCTTCAGGATATTTCATCCACCTGAATTAACTCCACCTGAGAATTAATTTTCCTTCCTTCCTTCCTTCCTTCCTTCCTTCCTTCCTTCCTCCCTCCCTCCCTTCCTCCTTCCCTCCCTCCCTTCTTTCCTTCCTTCCTTCCTCCCTCCCTCCCTCCCTCCCTTTTATTATTGAGATGACAATTGTTTCTGGTTGGCAGCTGGAGCAGCTCTTTCTTGCAGCAATGTAAGAACCAAGCTTTTGCTGTTGGCATGTGGGTCACCTGCATCTTCTAGGCATGCCCTTATATTAGTTAATTTGTTAGCTTGCTTGAATCACAGTCGAGAACCCTTCAGCTTTGGTTTGCAGCAATAAATTCAACTGACAGCTGAAATTTGGAACGCTCACTTAATATTGATTCTGAATGTAATAACAAGCGACATGACCTTTTGCATGGTGTAAAATATGGCCGCCACAACATCTGTGCCACAGTTCTTGCTGTTTAGTAATATGCTGTAACAGCATGGAGCTGGCATTAAAGCTAAGCTTTATTATCAAGCAGATCACTCCATCTCTCTGGCTTCATTTAAAAAAAAAATGCTTTCAGCTTCTGGAGCCGAAATCTTGTCTAATACTCCTTGCCATTTTCAGGACCTAATTTACCCTGCAATAAGAGAGAGAATGATATCTGATGACCAAATAGCAGGACAGGAAAGAACAACAAGGGTAAGAAAGGCCACCCAACACCCCAAATTCCAAGAGACTTGAAAATGACACAATTATCCATGACAGTGGCAGGGACACTAAGAATTCTCAATTGTAACCTCAGAAAATATCTATGAAGTTGATGTCATTTGGTGATTCCTACAAGATAGGAAAATATATTTTCTTTTCTCAGCCACCTCCCACCCCATAACAAAAACGATGATTACCAGTGGTACTTGCCCTAATGCCTGAGCATCATTCTAATTTAGCATCGCCCTAGGAAATACTAAACTAATTTTGCTAGGATGGATACAGGGATGTTTGCATCTGATTTACTCTCACTGTTTTTCTTTGAAGTCTTGATATCTTTAAAACATTCTCCAAGTAGGCAGAACATCAATTTGTGCACTTTAAAAAATCCAATTTAAGCAGGTTAAAAATTGTCAAAATAGTCTAACCATATTTCTCAAACAGAATTTTCAACCATGGAGCACACACACACACAAATGCTAAACTTGAAAGCATTCTATCATTTCAATATATTCCATGGCTCAGATTGGCTCTTGCTTGGTGAGCAGTGAGAATTTAAATCTCTTTATCACAAGAGACAGATCTTGAGTCTGAAACAATATAGCATCTTTTTTCACTGCTCTGATATTTTGACTCTGTTTGGTTGAGCCATTTCTGGAGGGTACAAGTACAAAGTTTTAAATCCTATTTCTCTGGAGGAAAGAAAAGAATTAAATCATATTTAGGAAGTCTCCTTCCGTGTAAAATATACTTCCAAAATAAAAGACCTGTCAGTAGTTTCAAGGAGGTTAAACATATGGAAAACTGAGAATGGTTTTATTTGTTCTTCTGGTTAACAGAATACTGATTCTATTTAACATGCAAGCCTGGCTATTATAGGTGCTTAAACTTGGCATGGTGACAATCTATATGAAGCAAACTATTAATAGGGTGCTTTTTGTATTATAAACTGCAAAAAAAAAAAAGTGGGTCTGATACTTGGTAAGTGTTTTATTCAAAGAAAATGTCGGGCCTGGTATGTAATTGAAAACGTCAGACTTCAAAGTCCTAACATAAAATGAGAGAAGTTGGCCTGTACCCTTTCCCCAGGGAAACCTAGGAGAATGCCCACTGGGATAACTTCCACAATGAATAGAGAGCCATGCTGCCTAAAAAAGCTAATCAAGCCATAAGTGTGATGTCCTGACAGTGATACATTGGTCAGAGAAAAAAGCTCACCCAACTGACATGCTTTTAGGTAGATTTCCAAAACTGACCTGTAGCTTTCACCCATAATCTCTGCCACTTTTCTCCATTAAATTCCAGCAATTATTATAATATTTTTGATATATTATTTTCTCAAGTGGTATTCATCTTAGGAAAGTTCAGAAATACTGAAGACCACTCCTAAATTCCAGGGAACACATATTAATTTATAAAGACCAAGTTTACTATTCATGCAGAATCATGTGGGTAAAATGTGATTGGATTCTTTTATTGACAGCAGCCCACAACAGATGGCTGAAATGCCACTTTCATTTCAGGAAGAAAGGAAGCTTTCACAGAAGAAAAGGAAGCCTGGAGTTGCAAGGTAAGATCATCCTTAATTATAAGTCCCAGGTACTGTATGGCCACCATATTTATATAATTAGAAAGCGCATTTCAAACTAGGGCATTCAGATACGTAGTTCACCCTCAACAGCAAAACACACATGGCGCTAGGTTAGAGGGTCTGTGAAGGGGAGCTGGAACCAGCGAATCAAAAACATTTCAGCTTTAAGATGAGTTTTTGGCTCTGAGTTTAGAATGAATCAATCCTTAAACTTGGCAAGCAATAATTAATTCCAGCAGTGTATCACTCATCTGTGTAATGGCTGCCCCCTCAAATAGAGATCTTCTAAAACTCTCCCTGGTGAAATTAGCGAAGCCATCAGATGCAGCCATATGTTCAAAGCTCAGAGAGGATTGGTCATGAGACTGTTGCCTATGAATTGAGATGTTAACTGCCCAACAAAATTTTAGTAGCGTAGGATGAGAGCCATAGAATTGTTTCAATTGTTACCAAGAATGCAAAGGAGCAAACAAGCAAAAACAAAATAACAAACAAAACCCTACTCTTCTTCAAACATTTAAATCTACTATTTTTCCTTCCTTTTTGAATTGGTACTTGACTTGTTCTCTAAGATACTGGGGTAGCTTTGTTGCTAGCACCTACTGAGTCCAACGGAAAAGATAAAATGACTAGAAAAAAAGTGAACACACAGACAAGGTAAACAGGCATGAACTGGATTATTCCAACATCCTCTGCTGAGGTAGGATTCAAAACTAATCTGATTATATGAATATTAGGATCCACTAAGTATCTTTCTGCAGCAATTACCAAGCTTTTACACATAAAAGAGGGCATTTTCTTTAGTGCTGGGCTAATCTATCAAGTGTTTAGCTTCAGACTAAAAGTTGAGAGAGAGAGAGAGAGAGTGACCGATTGAAGTAGCCTTATAATGTAGTGATGTTGCTCTCTTTTTCTCTCTTCTCTCTCCCCTCTCCTTTCTTCTTTTATTCTCTTCTTTCTTCTCTTCATATTAAATCTCAGGTTATTTTTATTCCTTGAGTGCATTGAAACATTTTCTGATACACAATTTTTGCCTCCTTTAAATTCTAATTTTGGGCTTTACAACTTGGAACCTGCCAAGAAAGCTGTACTATCCTCTCTCAGCCATGGTCCTCCCCAGTGGGACCAACAGCCCTCAAACCCTCATTTTAAGCCCCCCTCTGAGTCTTAGAGACCCAGGATTCAGTGTACAGATAACCAAAGCTGTTCAGAAGTTTACTGTGTTGTATCCCGTTTACTCTTCCAGAAGTTAGATTTCTTTTTAATGAAAAGCAAACCAATGGCAGACTTACGTAACAGACCCTACAGGAAGACCACATTGACACTGGATAATAATGCTGTGAGTCAAAACTCCATAAAAATTTTAGGCATGCATCTTACAGACGAAGTGCAACGTGGTGGTTACAAGAGCAAGTTCTGGTTCAAATCCCACATCTGCCACTTCCTAAGTAAGGAATGAAGTTAGTTTACCACTTTTGCTTAAACATTGGAAAACGAATATCAGTAGTACCTATTATTGCACTAAGGTTGGTATAAAAAGTCAAGACAAAGCTCCTAACATTGCTTAGGTGGACTGGTTCTTATCGCTTCTCCAGAATCACTTTGGACCTTGCTTTCCTTGGCTGCAGCCATCCGTAACTTCTCCTTGTTCCCCACTTGTCTAACTTGCCACCTGTCTAACTTGCCATAGAGTCATGTATATCCTGCTTTCCTTGTCTGGAATACTCATTCTTAATCACTAAGCCTTTGCTGTTCTGCCCAATTGATTCCCACGACTACATCACTCCCTCTTCCAATCCTTTGAATGGATTCTCCATGAGGTAGGGGCTGTGCCTACCTTTGTTCATCATTCTTTCCACAGCCAGGACTGGAGAGCTTGACACATAGTAAGAACTCAACAAATATTAGTGCTATCCTGATGCAATGTGTTAGGTCCTTGGAGCACATGTTGGGAAAATAAACTTCTGGCAGATGGGATCACTAGACACTGGGAAGACAGAAAGTAGCTTTGAATTTCCCATGTGAACATTCTAGCCATACAATTGTGAATTTAGTGAACAACAAACTCTGTCTTTACTGGGGAAAAAAAAACTAGCAAACTTCAGGTTTAGACCCACACCAAGCTCTAATAATCCCACAGGCATCCTGGGTTCACTGGCCATTGTCTTGAAAGCCATCCCTCAATGGACACAATCCTTGTATTCATAGGCAATAGCCTGGGTATTACTATTCAAGTTTGATCATTTCTCTGCAAGTCCAGTGACTAAATACATATTTTAATTGAGCCCAGGAGTGTTGATTTGCAGACATAGTATAGAAAAAAAATCACAGGAAAAATGGGAAGTTGAAGGAGCCTTTTACCTTTGAATGGAATACGATACTTACAAAACACCAATAACAATTTTCTACTGGGGAAAAGCCTGCGGCAAGAATAACCAGTTTAGTTTTTAAGTGGCAACTGGACAGAAAAACAAGAAAACAAAACTGCCATAGTAAGCCAGGTAAGGTAGTTTAACTGGATAAAATCTAATGCAATTGGTTTTCTGTGATGTTAACATACAGAAATTATCATTAGCCAATGAAAAGGCCCCAGTGTCCAAAATGATGTTAAATGTTATCATGGTGACCAAAATGTAACTACATACATTCAATAAAAAATAAAATGACCAGAGTGAGTGAGGATGAAATGTTATCAGTTAAATGGCACAAAACTTACACTGACGAGGTTCACACATGCATGAACCACATTTCTAAGTGCTCCCCAAACAACCAGATTGTTATTGACAATCTGTGTGCAAAGCACCATAGTCATCACTATCATTTGCCTTCAATAAACTTGTCTAGATGAGCTGCCCCATGACAGAGATGTCAATAAAAACTAAACAGAGTATAAAAACTGAGAGCATTAAGAGGTGGATCATGAAAGTTACCTTTTTAAAAAGGAGATTCCATAGTTTTCAACATCAACTGAACAACTTTCTGTTGATTTAACTGTAAAGTAACACTATTTCAGATTTTTGATACCAAAAACAGAGCTGCTGTTTAGGAGATGTGGGGAAGAAAGTGACCATGAGCCGCACCCTCTAGAATCTTCCTCCTTCTTACCTATACATCCCGTCTCCCAAGTTACAGGGAACAGAGGCTGAGAACTTCTAATAACAGCTAACATTTATTGAGAACTTACTCTAAGATAGGCATTGTTGCAAGAGCTTTACATTTATTATCTTACTTAATCATCACAAGAATCTCATGAGAAAGGCATGGCTAATGTTCCCATTTTATAGAAGAGGGACACTGAGGCTCAGGGAACTTAAGTAAATAATCCCAGGTCACACAGTCAGTGGCTTTGTTGGTATATAAATTCAGGCAGTCTAACTTTAGAGCTTGGGATCCCCACCACCACTCTCTACCACTTCATAACCATTATGAGCTCCTGATGGTTGAGATAATCGTGGAAACATCCCAAATAAATAAAATAAAGCTTCTAAGGGCTTTGGAGGCTCCATAGGAAGCCCAAATGTGGCCCTTTCGTAGATCGTTAAGTCTTATATGGAGTGTTTGCACATAACAAACGTTTTCCTAATAATCTACATTATTTTTTTAAATTCCAAGGCACTAATGGGGGATGTCACTAAGTTTGGTGGATTTTCAATAGTTTAAAAATAAACCTTACCAACATTCTTAACCTTTCTAGTGGGCTTTCCCATTGCTTGTTTCTATAGCATGTAATCATCACATAAAGAACTATCTACTTATGTGGAAGCCAGAAAGGGAAAACAAAACCAATGGAAAACACAAACATAGGCATGTTTGTTGTTTCATATTGAGGGTTATTTAGCTTGGATAATAAATCATTACAATGAATGTCAACACAGCACAGGGGAACGGGAGTAGTTAGTTGCATATGCTAATGGAAGACGCGCATTACTAATAAGGGAGAGAATGAACAACTCTAGCCACATGCTAGTTATCACTGCAAATCTCAAGACAAGCCACGTTCACACTGAGCATATGACTGCTGTATGACAGTTCAGGCAAATATTCACATGTCAACAGCAATAGCTCCCATACTCCATCCAAGACTACTGAAGAGTTTAAAAATAAAGCTCTCCTTGTCATGCACCAAGACATCAAGCTTAAACACATCTGCCAGTCAAAGGGATTTTGCCAGTCTTTTACCCCCACAAGTGTGGTCTACAGACTTCAAGTATATCAGAGTTCAAAATACAAAGAACTGGAATGTTATCCACAAGTAAGTCCTGCAGCCTCTTCCTTTAAAATGTTTTAAATCCTGAGATTCTCTGCCTCTCTATTGCCACTAAGTGATCATAGTCTTAATAATAAACTACAGCAGTAGCCTCTTCTCTTTTCCCTATTATTCTTTTGCTTCCTTTCTATCTAGCATAAAATATAGTGGTTCTCTTTTATTGTGTTGAAGTATATGTAAGATTTATATTTCTAATCATATTTAGGTGTACAATTCAATGGCATTAAGTACATTCACACTGTTGGGCAGCCATCATCACCATCCATCTCCGGAGGTCTTTTGTCTTTTCAAACCAAAACTCCATACCCATTAAACAATAACCCTGCAGTCCATCATTTCTCTAGTACTTGGTAACCACCATTGTATCTTCTATGTCAATGAATCTGACTACTCTAAGATGTCTCATTTAAGTAGAATCATACAATATTTGCCATTTCATGTCTGGTTTTTTCAATTGGCATAATATCGTCAAGGTTCATCCATGTTGTAGTATGTGTCAGAATTCCCTTCCTTTTTAAGATTGAATAATATTTTGTGGTATGTGTATGCCACATTTGTGTATTCTGTCATCTGTTGACCAACACTTGGGTTGCTTCCATCTTTTGGCTATTGTGAATAAAGCTGCTATGAACATGGGTGTACAAATATCTGTCTGAGTCTTTGCTCTTTCATTTTGACAAGTATACATACAAAAGTGGATTTGGATCATATGGTAATTGTACGTTTAATGTTTTGAGGAACCACTACACTTTTTTCCACAGCAATGATATCATTTTATATTCCCACCAGCTATGCTTGAGGGTTCTAGTTTTTTTGTTTTTTGTTTTTTGTTTTTGTTTTTGTTTTTGTTTTTTTGAGATGGAGTCTCACTCTGTCTCCCAGGCTGGAGTGTAGTGGCACGATCTTGGCTCACTGCAACCTTCGCCTCCCAGGTTCAACCGATTCTCCTGCCTCAGCCTCCCGAGTAGCTGGAATTACAGGAATGCATCACAACACCCAGTTAATTTTTTTGTATTTTTAGTAGAGATGGGGTTTCACCATGTTGGCCAGGCTGGTCTCGAACTCCTGACCTCAGGTGATCTGCCCGCCTCAGCCTCCCAAAGTGCTGGGATTACAGGCATGAGCCATCATGCCTGGCCAAGCGTTCTACTTTCTCCATATCCTTGTAAACACTTATTTCCTATTTTTAAATTCTTTTGATAATAGCCATTTGAATGGATGTAATAGCCATTTGAATGGATGTAAAAATATACTTTGTAAAGACATAAATTGAACTAAGAAACATCCTTCGATGGCTTCTAATTGCACTTTTGATAAAATAATAAACTCTGCCATGGCTACAATGCCCTGTGTGATCTGTTAACTGCGGGAATCTCTTTAATTCTGTATCATCCCACTGTGTCCCCTTGTTTTGTGCTAGATATGCTTAGCTCCATTTAATGCTCTAAATATGTAAAATTTTTCCCCAGCTTAGAATACTCGCACATATTAATTCCTTTGCCATGAAAGCTCTTTCCCTCTCTATTTTCAAGGTGATCTTTGCCTCACCCTCTCTGAGCTTAAATACCACCTGGTCATCAGCTGATCCAGTGGCTCCCCTCCTCGTGATTTCTTCTCTCTTCCTGCAATTTGTCCACATAACACTAACATAAATATTCAGTTATAATATTTCTGCTTGTTCATTTATTTTATTGTCTCTCTCTCTGTGTTTCTAGGGATAAATCCTATGGCAAAAGAGCCCAGATCTTGCCCACTGTTGCAACAGTGTTTGCTTGATCCCCAAAGTCAAACAAAATGCCAGGCACACAGTAGGTCTTCAATACATATCAATTAAGTTTACAAGCGATTTACAGAAAAATGTAGACCTGTGAAGAGTATATGGTAGCAGGCACCATGATAACATGACAACATCACTCGGTTCTGAGAAACGGTTAGAAAGAATGTGTCCGGTGCATATATTCATCAGCCCTGGCAACAGGCTCTGTGCATCTTCGGCCTGAAAAAACCACACATCTCAATAACAATGGGATCAATTTTGACATTAACACGAATATTACCAAAGCCCAAGAGATACATTTAAATTCACCGAGCTCCGCGGCAGATAATATAAAAGCTCTAACTTGCTCTCTAGAAACAAGAAACTTTCATTTATGGCTTCCCAGCTCGTGCTAATCCTGCCCATTAGGCCAAAATATTGCATTTTACACAGGATGCAAGATCATACAAGAGACTGATGTAACACTTAGGCACAAAACCAGCTGGCAGATTTAACACTGACATCCCCTTTATTCAGAAGGTACAAATCAAGCCCATGATGCCTTTTTTGACAGATTCCTGCATGTTCCTCGTTATGGATAGATGAAAGAAGACAACTGCACCTTCTGGGGCACAACTCTAACCCCCTGCATTTGCATACCCAGTCATTTGTAAACGGAAAGAAACACATCCCTGCATTTGCCCAGAGGTAAATGTTTACTCAGAAAGGTGACTTCTGACATTGACAATAATGTCAGTTTTCCATCTGCATATTTTAAGGTAATGCATCCTCCCTTTAAGTGCTTTCTGTTCAGCTTCTTGATTTTGCTCTTTCAGTGAGCATAGTGACACCCAGACCTGTAGGTCTCAATTTGAATAACTTTCTGGGAGGAGTGAAAAATGCAATAAGGCCTCTCGCCAGCCCAAGGACAGGCACTCGGGTTGCAGAAAAGTGAGAACTGAGACTGTAGTCCTTTCATCTTCCTTACTCCACCATACTCAGCTTGCTAAGGGCTAAAAGGCTCACCCCAGGCTGGGATGAATCCTTCTCTAAAATGTGGTATATCCCTGGAGATCTCTCTGGAACATTTGCTCAGGTAGCTGAGCAGTTCATCAGCATAGCAATTTGCCCAGTCAGCTCCATCCATCAAAGCACAGGAGTGTGTCTGGCAGAGGGGAGACTCAGGGGAGAGCTCCCCGTGGGCAAGTAGGGAAGGCACATTCATTCAGAGATCATAAATATGCAACTTGGCCCTGATCTTCTCTGCATACGGGTGATAGACTGGGACAGTAAAGAGTCAATCCTCACCGGCCCACCGTCTCCAAGTGCCCCTGTTCCACCTAAGAATGCGCTCTATTTAGATCTAAAGAGGCAGGTAAAAATTTGCCACATGTAACTCAATGCACTGTCTGAAACACAAAGGCAAGAGTGGGAACTCTCTCTAGCTTCCAGATCACAGAGCTTACAAATCATATTCAATAGAGGTCTCCTTCTTGAGAAGCTATGATTTGCCAGGTGAGATATGACAATAAGACAGGCTTTCTCGCTCCTTGGAGAGCTGACAATCCAGTCAATTTAAATTAAATTGCTAAGTTAATTTAAATAGGATATAAGAAGCACTATGATGGAAAAAACAGATGGTGTTCTCAGAGCAGGGATGAGGAACCTTACTTAACTGTGGGTGGTAGGGGGAAAGGGAGGGTCACTGAAAATTTTTCAGAAGTCAAATTGGACTAGGACATAAAGAATGGATAGCAGCATGTAGCTTAAAATTGGGGTATAAGCAGTGGAGGGAAGACTCAGCAGTCTCCCAAATTTATCCCTAACAATATATTTTTTTTTCTCTTTGTCACAGCTGGAATGTTAAGTTGAGAATTTTTCAGCATCTCCCTGTCTGCCAGATCCTATCTGAGATGCCTACGCTAAGAAGCCAACACAGAGACACGCAATGCACACTATCAGCAGGAGTGGCTTGGAAATTCTGACTTGTATTGATTGAGACACCTTCCCACGAAGAAAGATGGGATTAGTAATAAGTTGCTTGTCAGTTACTCATTGGGTTCTTTGCCAGGCAAGGATGAGAGGGCTAAAGTTGAAAAAATCAAAGAAAGAAAAAGGAAAAAAAAAATGCTCACTGTAAATTAATGCTTGTCAAGCTCAACAAGTTGGAGAGCCGGAGGAAAGCTTAATTAAAGTAAACAGACAATTTAAAGTGAGGGAAGTTCAGCCTACCTAGAAGAAAAATTCTAGGTATTAAAACAAATTCATGAAAAGTTAGAAGCGCGCACTGCCATTTATCATTTATTCAAGACATAAGTGGTAATGAAGTTAGCAAACTCTCCCCAGATTTGATGTTAGAATGACTTTGGTTCTTAGACAATGCTGGGCAATTGAAGACAATTGAGCTTGTGTCTGTGAACAGCATCTTTTTTTCTTTTCTTTGACTTTTCTATTCCCCGCCCCACCAGAAACATTACACTACTAATAATACAATCTTCATTCGGCAGGCAGTGGCTCAGTATCTCAGATGGTTGCAGTGCTTGGGGACATTTGACATTTGCTGATTGCTTGGGAGCTTGAGGCTGCCATTTGAAACTCTCAGCATAAAGAATCTAATGTGAAGGAATGAAATGACTTAGACTTGTGAACTGGGAAAAGCCTGTTGGTAAAAGTTGT
The DNA here is from genome assembly GCF_000001405.40 of Homo sapiens. Classification (NCBI taxonomy): domain Eukaryota; kingdom Metazoa; phylum Chordata; class Mammalia; order Primates; family Hominidae; genus Homo; species Homo sapiens. The sequence goes on along the minus strand of NC_000005.10, from coordinate 167,763,301 downwards.
GCTCTCTATGGTCCACATAGGTAAGAAATAAAAAGACCACACCAGACAGGATGGAATATGAACCAAGGTATCCCAAATATTACTTCTTAAAAGATCTTTTAAAGCATTCACTTGCTTTGACCACATTTTTCTCTAAGCAGTGAGCCTTGCACCAGCTGCCTTCAGCAAGAGAGCTGGAATACACTCTTGTGACTTTGAGTGCCAATATTTAATAGTGTGTGCATTAGGGCCACAGTCCCGGTTTCCGGAATTGCTCTACAGGGAGAAGTCAGGTCAAAGAGAAAGTGTGAACTGGGAATTTATAAGCTGGGTAATCAGTGATAATGGAAAAGGAATAAAGGGTGGGAAAAAAAGTCTGACAGTTCAATTGAATTTTGGTAAAGTATTTCCTGCACATGGCAGATGTTCTGTAGCCCCAAAGACAGCAGCTTTTGGAGCGGAAGATGTAGAGGACTTGTAGAAATTCTTCCAGCCACAACTGCAGGAGGAATCCTGATTGCCTTGCAACCTCTATGTAAACTTAATGAAGCATTTTTAGCTGGATGTTTTTAAAACTGGGTCAAAGAAAGGGGAAAAACACCCTGCATGCTGATGCTACTTTATAATAGATTGAGTAAGTTGTGGTGGTAAATCTGTAAAAGACTTTGCCTAAGCACAGAAGTGAACTGGCACAGCAAAAGCCTTTCTGATAAGCAGAGATCAATACCAGGAGAATATCTAAAATTGGCTTTTCATGCCTAACCTCACCATTGCCAACTGACAACCAGAGCACTGCAGACTGGAGCACCTGCTTAAATCACCCAGGTTTTCACATGGGCAAGAGAAATAGACGAAAATAACGAGAGGAAGGGAGGGAAGCATCTCTCTAGAATATGATTGGCCATCACAAATATTATGTGTTCTTTTTGATCCTTAATGTAGTTTAGTCTACCTGATAAAGAAGCTTTGATGCTTTACGCAGTTGAAAAGCAGAAGATTAGACATAAATAAGTTCTCCCACACCTAAGAGTGAAACAAAGGTCTTTGGGGATGTGCAGGAGGGGATCTTTTGTCCTCCTAAGGAGCCAGGGATATTCTTAGCTCACTTGTAGAAAACCTTAGAGCTGCGTATCCATGCACGTGCACGTGTGTGTTTATATGCATGTATGCATGAGAGAGAGAGAGAGGAGAGAGAAAGAGACTAAAAATTAGTCACTTCACTTTGATTTTTCTTCCAAAGAGCCATCTGAGAATCAAGAACTATGTGTTTCTCAACCTAGCCCCAAGTCAGGCAGCGCTTCTGCATGTACTTAATTCTTTCTAGCTGAGGCGCTGGTTCCAATGGCACTCCTAGCTCGTTGGTTGAAGCTTATTGATGATTCAAAGTTGAGGAAACTTTTTCAATCAGCGATATTGCTGGAAGTGGCCCTTCTGGCACTACCTCTGTGCTTCTATCTCTGGCTCAGCAGATACATGATAATTGCTGAATGTGTCTATGGAAGGAGGAATGGCAAGGCCACAAGAGCTCTGTACAGCTGCTCAGAAGCTTGGGGAGTGAAGTGAGAAATTCCAGTTCCCTTGGAGGGCCTGGGGATGAATTCTGTGACTTCTCATTAGGCCTGTGGTCCTCAATCCATGGTCTGCAGAGCCATTTGTGGGTCTGTGTAAGTGCTACTTGATGGTTTTCTTTTTATGCTTTCAACTTAATAATTCAAAACTAAAACAATGACCAGTTAGAAAGCAAAACTTCCCTTTTGATATTTTCCCTTTTAATATTTGGTATTTTGATAGAACATGATTTTAGGATGATTTTTTTTTTCTAATAGCAGTCCATATTTCTCCATGTGGAGAAATATAATATTGGGTCTTTTTTAGAGGTTGAAGAATTTCTTGGAGTGGCCTCTTTGGGACACTTGTTTCCTCGTTTATTCTGCCTACCATGTATCAGACGGCATTCTGGGTTGATGGGGTAGATCAGTGAATAACACAAACACGTTTCCTGCCCTGGTTGAGCTTATATGTTAATGGGTAGAGGCAAACAGACAATCACATAATCAATAATTACATAGCATGTTAGAAACTCAAAACAAAAAACAAAAGTAAAAGTAAGAAAATAAGCAGGGGAGAGGAAACTGACAGTGAAGATGGTGGATGAGACAGAGGATGATCTTTATTTTTAAACAGCTTGCTCAGAGTAGGATTCATTTTTACAAAAGACAGAAGAGGAAAAGCAGAAAGTTTAGATAGGAGAAGGCATTCACTCACTATCTTAGTCACCCGTAGACCTGGACATTTCCGCCACAGAGACATTTAGTGGGTCACTTGTTGGGCAAGGACATGGACATTGCAGCAGGACATGAACAGAACAGTAAGGCCAGGTGCGGTGGCTCACCCCTGTAATCCCAGCACTTTGGGAGGCCAAGGTGGGCGGATCACCTGAGGTCAGGAGTTCGAGACCAGCCTGACTAACATGGTGACCCGTCTCTACTAAAAATACAAAAATTAGCCAGGCATCGTGGCACGCGCCTGTAATCCCTGCTCCTCAGGAGGCTGAGGCAGGAGAATCACTTGAACTTGGGAGGCAGAGGTTGCAGTGAGCCGAGATCATGCCATTGCACTCTAGCCTGGGTGGCAGAGTGAGACTCTGTCTCAAAACAACAACAGCAACAACAACAATAACAAGGCAGCTGCTTGTGGAACCTGTTGTTGACACTTACCTATTTACAAGTCCACCTAAATCAAACTGGCTGTCCACTCTAGGGACAATTACCAATGATCAGAATCAGGCCAACAATAAAAATTCTAATAAAGGCAAAAGAGAAAACAAGGAGAAAGGGAACAAGTGGGAGAAGCCTCGATTGCCTGCAATTGGATGTTAGGGCCTAAGTCTAACTCACAGAGGCCACAGAGCACCATGCACTTCCTCCTATGTCCAATGCCTTCCAACAGTGTATTAAATTCTTTCCTTGCCTGACCTAAAGTAATAACAGAAAGTGTCACCATCCTGAACAACAAAAGATGGGATGACTTAATTTCTCTTTCTTTCAAAGGCATGTGACAGTGCCCTATTTAATGATAGAAGAGAAGAAACTGGTTCTAGGTAAGAGAAGCCACAATTTATTGCACCCTTAGGAAGACCAGGAGCAAAGCCATTGAGGATAAAATGTACCATGCGGAGTTTTAACCAGTGAAGAGCTGGGCATAGCATTCCACTTAAATAAGTCAGTTCAGAAATTTAGCTCCTCTCTCCAAATACCTACAGTGACTACCCAGAGATGTAGAGCTTAAGTACAGCCACCGCTCTAGTAAGCTCAAGTAAGACCATGCTCAAGTATAATCAATTTCACATTTCTGAATATTTATCAAATATGCAAAAGAAAGAATCAATATCTGAAAAACAGAATCTATGTTTTTTTAAAAAATCACACCTTATTTCACACTTCGGAGCTAAAGAAATACTGTCTCCAGGTGGGGTTTGTCAGCACCTTTGTAAACTAGCTCTTGCATAATTATTGTTGTAGGAACATCCAGGCTCATGGCTGTATCTCTCAACAATAGATTGATGGGGCAACAGCTTCCATGGCCTCCTCCCAGGTCAACCAGCCAGAAACTGGACACCTACCCTGCTGGAAGGGGGCTGATTCACAGCCCTCCCAGGTGGATTAGAGCTTCCTGGCACATCCAGGCTTGTCCATCATGATGTTGTCTACATTCCTTTCCCATCTCTCCTCACGTCCCTCTGGTGACTCATATATACCCCCACTTACCTGCACCTCCCCACTTCCCCTGTAACTCTTCAGTGTTCCTGGGAACTGATGACTTTATCCTCATGAAATTTTATGACAGCGTGCAAGGCTTGAGAAAATCTGAAAATTTTTCCACTTACAAAATCAGAGTCCTGATAAATGTTTCCATGTACAGAATGTGAGTCCTAACAAACAGCCAACACTCATAAAAGCTAACATTTATGGAGCACTTACCATGTGCTGAGCACTTATGAACATTTAACACCCTCATATGTGCTAAGTTCTTTGAAGGAACTGATATGATTTAATCTCCACAATAGCCTTATTGTTATGAAAGAGGATACTGAGACACAGAGAAGTTAAGCAACTTGCTAGTTAAGTAATCTAGTGTCAGAACTGGGATTTGAACCCAAGTAATCTAGTATGTGTCAGAACTGGGATTTGAACCCTAAGCAACTTGCTAGTTAAGTAATCTAGTATGTGTCAGAACTGGGATTTGAACCCAAGATGTTGAGTCTATGTTTTTAACCACTGCATGCTACTGTTATCTACTATCAAAATTGTGTGTTTATGAAACAATTATTATTTATTCAAAGTATCAAGGTATCCATAGTAAAAGCAGTATGGTGGAAAAGCAAATAGAATAGGGTTAAGGAGACAGAGAACTAGCTGGGCTATAGTTTTAGCTTTAGCTGTTTCTGTATCAATCAAGGTCCTAGCATGAAAGCAGATGACACCCAAACCTGGCAATATGAGAGAGTTTAATAAGGGGACTATTTAAACAGTTGTGGTCAAGGTTTCTGGAAATCAGAAGTTATGTCAGTGTGCATGGCTCGAGAAAATCAGCGAATTTTTTCACTTACAGAACCAGAGTCCTAATAAATGTTTCCATGTACAGAATGTGAGTCCTAACAACCAGCAAGTGCTTATAAAAGCTAACATGCAATGATCTAGAGCTAAAAAAAAGTGGAAGTGATTAGAAGAATCCAGAAAGAGAAGACTGTATGGAGAGGGCTACCTGGGAATGTCTGTCTCAGATACAGAAAAACAGCCTGCTATAGCACAATGACAAGGAGGAAGCTGGTAGGAAGTGCTCCTGCCTCTCTCTCTTCCAAGCTGGTAGGAAGTGCCCCTGCCTCTCTCTCTTCCACCTTCTATCTTCTGATCTTCGATCTCTTCCCATTGAGCCAATCAGCTAGAGGATAGAGCACCCACAGATCCAGTCTATAGGGTCAGCTTCCAAGGCAGAGAGCAAGATATTGATGGAATGAAAGAATGTGAAGGACAAACAGAAAATATGCAGCACAGTCACCATCATGGTAAACTGGGACAAATCTCAGCCTCCCTGGGAACTGATTTCTTGGTCATCATAATGACACTATAGGGACCACATGCAATTTAGACTGCCTTCCAACTCTGACACTGTGAGGTTTTATGAACCCACCCTCCATCAATTTCCTAAGAGATTTTCAGGATTACTTTAAAAAGGAAAGTATAAAAGACAACCCCACAGTGCAAACTCTGGTAGATTCTACATCACTTTGCACTTATGTATTGACAGATGCATGAAGGCAAACTGTGGCTGAGGTGGAAGGGCATTTGTCCATGCCACAGGGTAACCAAGGCATACTTGAATGCTCTAAGAAAAAGACTTCAGAATATTAAAATTGTTCCAACAAAGAATTCTTCTAATGTGAAACCCCTTGTTCTCTTTCTGAAGCAAAAGAAAGGGTATATGAGATTAGAGAAATGCAAATCAAAACCACAATGAGATACCATCTCATGCCACTTAGAATGGTGATCATTAAAATGTCAGGAAACACCAGATGCTGGAAAGGATGTGGAGAAACAGGAACGCTTTTACACTGTTGGTGGGAGTGTAAATTAGTTCAACCATTGTGGAAGACAGTGTGGTGATTTCTCAAGGATCTAGAACCAGAAATACTATTTGACCCAGCAATCCCATTACTGGGCATATACCCAAAGGATTATAAATCATTCTGCTATAAAGACACATGCACACGTATGTTTATTGCAGCACTATTCACAATAGCAAAGACTTGCAACCAACCCAAATGCCCATCGATGATAGACTGGATAAAGAAAATGTGGCACATATACACCATGGAATATTATGCAGTCATAAAAAAGAATGAGTTCATGTCCCTTGCAGGGACATGGATGTAGCTGGAAACCATCATTCTCAGCAAACTAACACAGGAACAGAAAACCAAACACTGCATGTTCTCACTCATAAGTGGGAGTTGAACAATGAGAACATATGGACACAGGGAGGGGAACACCACATAGTGGGGCCTGTTGGGGGGTGGGAGGCAAGGGGAGGGATAGCATTAGGAGAAATACCTAATGTAGCTGATGAGTTGATGGATGCAGCAAACCACCATGGCACATATATACCTATGTAACAAAACTGCACATTCTGCACATGCACCCCAGAACTTAAAGTAAAATTTAAAAATATAAAAATAATAAAAAAATAAAAAATATAATATAAAATTTAAAAATATAATAAAAAAAGAAAAAAGAAAGAAAAGGTATATGAGAAAGTACTGCCAAGCATATTTGGAAAACCCAAAAAGAGATGTCTCACATGATTTCATGGGGGTCTATGTCAGGGCAATTTAAAACCCACCCTGTGTTCTCTCAAAGAACCAGTGGCCAACTGCAACTGGTCACTGAATGCAGATGTTTGGCAATACGGCCTTGGTTGGAAGAAAGCTGGGGGTGGGAGTGGGAGGGGTGACTTTGTCTCCCTGGATCATGTGGGGCTTATCTAAGTTGTCCTACAATGTGTTCCTAGGTGCTTGGTGAGGTGCTCCTAGTTCTCAAGGTTTCTCATTGGCAGACTCTTGAGAGAACACTATGCTTGTTGAAATAGAAGACACAGAGTCTCCATGAGGGCATCTGTCCTCCCTAGCTTCTGGGGATACATGTCCTTGTTCCTAACTTCTGAGATAATTGAAGTGTGGGGTTTCAAAGGATGAGGGGATTTCCTCCTGGAGCCTCATATCTCTTCTACTCAGATTGAGGTAAATGAAATTGCACCACTGTGGAACCATCACTTTGTTTTCTCTGGACTCATGAGAGGTATTATAAACCCTATCAGATTTACTGATGATTTTCTCCTTAAATGAGGAGAAACCCACAGCATCTCAGGAACCCACGTTCCTAAACCAAGGGAGCAACAGAAGTCTGTGTATGAGCTTGTGTTGTGGGGTTGAGTTGTGGAAAAGAGAGGTGGGGCATGCTGAAATTAAACTCATTCTGCATCATAACTGTGCCTAGTGTGGCTTAAGGAAGCAAAAAGGAAGTGGGATTACATATATATATATATCATACAACATGGAAACAGCAACTTAGGTTTGTTTGGTTGTGTCTATACTACCCACAGTTCATATACATAAGAAAACAAAGCTTGAGAATTGAAGTGGGTTGAAATACCAACATGTCCAGTTCTAACGGTGTGGCCCTGGATGAGTCTTTTGCCTTGAGTTTCCTTGTTTAAAAAATGGAGCTAATAACAACTGGAATACCTGCCACACAGGGCTGATGTCCTAATAAAATGAGAGCAACTCAATAATACAGTGAAGATACTTTGTAAAACATACGTTGCCCTAGAAAAGTGAGGGGTTATTACCACTCCATTTATACTGATGAGACAGCAGCACCCTCTTTGAAGGCAAATGGTACACCTGAAGATTTGTCAACAAACCCAGCCACCTGCAGCAGAAGACACCAGGAGTTTCACAAAAACCTGTTCAGCATGCTAAATATCACATACAAGCAGCAAGACTAATCCATGTTTTGAAGAAAATTCAGCTAACAGAATGGATCATTTCCCCTGTCTTCCTTTTGCCTATTTTAAAAATGTCTTAACACCAAGCTACAATAAAGGGTAAAGCCAATCCCACGTTTTCATTAGTACACAGAGAGCTACCGCAAATAGGTCTCTGGAGGGTGAAAAAAATGTGACAGATGCAGACAGAGTCACTTGAAAGAGTATTTCAGCAATAGACACAGGATGCTTGACTTAACAGATGTTTACAGTTAATAAATTCCATTTTATATTTATATTTATTTTCACATATTTTTTTTTTCTGGTGAAATACCTGGCAGATATCATGAAGGTAGCAAAAAAAAAATTCAGATCAACAACCTGATAGGAATTAGAAATTAGACTCAGTGAGAAGAATTCACAACTACTGTTAAGACAACTGCGGTGCGAAATCAAATAGTTTCACCGTCAAGTCTCCCATCTCTCCCTTGGTATCCGCTGAAGGGTTAAAGTAAATACTCCAACTACCCTGTCAGTGAGGACAGGTGCTTGCAAAACCCCATCTGCATGCACATCCATCATCCTTACCCAGAGACTCCATCACAACCTTCCCATGGAGAAAACTCACAGACTGAGGTGAGGTACTGCCGGGTCTCCATAAGAGATGATCTGGCTTGCATTCAATTGTGCCAGCAACGCTAATGATCAGGAGAGGTGGGCTCACCATCGGCGTAAGCTGGGAGTGGGCCGCTCTTCGTTTTGTGTTTCCCTCTAACTACAGAAAAATCACCAGCAGTCCCAGTCTGACACAGCTGAGGCCTTCTCCAGCTGGGAAGGAAAAGCATAATAGGCAATATCTGCTCTCTCCCTCCTCCCTTTCTGCTCCCTTCCCTGTAGACAGCCTCAGCATGAGGTTCCTGAGGAATTAGTTGGGGAGGACGCCTCCCCCGCTGCCAGCCAAATGCCAACCGCAAGTCCTGCCCATGTAATGTCTCTGACATTTCTGCATCTTTCTGGGTTAACGTTGTTTGACACAGACTTTTTTTTTTTTTGAAATATCTCTTAAAAAGGTTTGTTCATGTGCATGTGTGTACATGTGTGTGCAGGAATGCACAATTTCTGTTGTTTTCTGACATCACTGTGTATACTTAATTTTTTTTTTTAAATTATTCTCTTAGTTGCTGACACATCTCTGCTCTGGCATTTCCACTTAGGCAGAAGTAATTGGTTTCAGAAGGCTGAAAACCCTTATTTGAAACCATGTGCGCATTCCTGTTGACGGATGCTATAGAATGTTCAAATATCATCTTCCCTCAAGTAAAACAAGCGTTAAAATCCAGAAGGACGAGATGTGATTGACAGCACAGCATAGTTACATTTTAACTACCTGTTGTGAAATTATTTTAAAGCACCTGTATGTGAAATGGGGTCAGTTCTCCTTCCTGGTCGGTTACCTTTAGATAGATCTGATCAAGTTTGAAAGGGATTATTTTTCCTTTCCTGTACTGGAAAGCACTTTACCTCTTTTATTGTGTTTCCTAACGTGCAAAGGGCCAATAAAGCAGAGATCTCTCTCCAACACTCACACAAGGTGCAGTATCTTATAGGGAAACAACTATCCATCATGTCTGGAAGGAAAGTATAGTTGCAGTCTGCATATCCCAAAAGTAGGGCTTTTGGATATTTTTGTAATTTTCTTTTTTTTAAGGGAATGTCATAGTGTAGCTGCTGAAGTGGATATTATCAATATGGCAGACAAAGTAAATTCTACCAAGAAACAATGCATCCCAACTCCATATACTGTGAGGAAGGAAACAGGATGACTATGCATGGTTACAGCAGAATGACTGACGGAGCATAATGGCTCATTACCAAAGACTCTGGCACACCTGCAGGAAGGCACCTCTGCCTGCATTAGGTACTACCACAGAATCTGTCTGTTATGCACCATGGAATACACCATGATCAGTGAGCTCTTCAAAGACCATTCTGGAAACCCGGGGCAGAAATACTATCCACCTATGTGATGGCCACCTGAAGGCAACATGTCAGCATGTTTAAGCCTCCCAAATTGACGATAGGACATTCATGAGTTCAAATCCCAGCTTTGTCACCTACTAACTGTGTGATTTTAGGCAAGTGACTTACCCACACTGTGCCTCAGTTTCTTCATCTGTAATATGGAAATAATAACAGAAGCAACATCAACAGGTTATCATGAAGATTGCATTAATACATGTAAAAACACAACTCACTGCTTTTCACAATCAATATTACCAACATCCAGTCTCTTCCTAATTACTCTTTGCACAAGGGAAATCAGATCCCATCCTATTCTTGGCTACATATTGTTGTCAGAAATTTCTCCTCCACACTGAGCCCAAATTAAGCTCCTGGCAATTTCAATCGATTTACCCCAGGTCTATTAGGAAATACAGAGCCAGGATAGTCTCATTTCTTTTCCTCTGACAGTACTCCACAATATTTGAGACAGCTGTAATGTATCCCTAAATCTCCTTCAGACCAACCCTTCCAAGTTTTTAGCAACTTTTCCGTATATAGCAGTCTTCCTGGGTTTTTCTTCATCCTTACCATTTTTCTTTGCATGCATTCAGATTTGTCAACATCCTTAAATTGCATAATCTCAAACGAAACATAATTTTCTGGGTGTGGTCTAAGAATGCAAACTCCTAGGAAACCATTATCTTTCTAAGTCCAGATATGCCATTTCTTTAATTGTAGAAACCACGGGGTACAGTCAAAATTCTCGTTCAAATAGCCAACCATCCCCTTGGCTAAAAAATGTGTTTCTAGATACTTAGAGGAATTAAGGAGTTCTCTCTACTTTTCTGGCATCAGTATGAAGGACACATTCAAGTACTCTCTTGTGTATAGACCCATATAACTAAATCCTTGCAATGCTAGGCTAAACCTGTAAAATCAGTTCACAGCTCTCCTGGATGGAAATCTATATCTGAAACTGAGTTTGCAGAACATCTGGGGGATCAGTCAGCCTAACCACTTTATTTTTCCAAAGAAACTCAGAGAGCTTAGGTGACTAGCCACGCTCACGTATAGGTGGAGCTGAGAGTTCAGCCAATGTGAATGAAATCATGGGCTAGAATATTCCCAATGACTCCCAACATGACCAGCTGAACATTTTTCTTGCTCATGGTTTCAGTATAACCTAGCCTACTTCTTTTCAGCAGAGATCCATCAGTAAAGCTTGGTAGGTTTTCCATCACAGCTAACTAGTGCACTTTGTTGGCTCTGTAGTCTCACTGAAATAGAACCCTATGTGGGTGTGGTCACTGGTAGATGGTAAGCAGGGTGCTCACACAGGTGTTTCAAGAAGGGGGTTCCAATAGGCCAGGTACGGTGGCTTACACAAGTAATCCCAGCACTTTGGAAGGCCAAGGTGGGTAGATCACCTGAGGTCAGGAGTTTGAGACCAGCATGGCCAACATGGCGAAACCCCATCTCTACTTAAAATACAAAAAAAAAAAAAAAAAAAAAAAATTAGCTGGGCATGGTGGCGGGCACCTGAAATCCCAGCTACTCAGGAGGCTGAGGCAGGAGAATTGCTTGAACCCAGGAGGTGGAGGTTGCAGTGAGCTGAGATTGCACCACTGTACTCCAGCCTGGGTGACAGAGTGAGACTCCATCTGGAAAAAAAAGAAGGAAAGAAGGGGCCCCAAGAGCTGCATGAGAACTTTGTGTAAGTCCTTCTAAAAGCAATTCATTCTGAATTTCTTAGGATGAAAGCATCATACCCATATTTATTTGCACAATCGTGTGCGCGCATGTGTGTGTGTGTGTGTGTGTGTATTATTTTCACAGAAACTACGCGTCCTCAAGAAGACAGACTTGTCTCTCAACTCTTCCTGGCTTTATGGACTGACAGATGACCTGGAAGAGAAATAGAGGAATTCACTTACTCCAGTCTAAAAGGGAATTACATATATAACCATAAAACCTGCTTTCTTCTTGCCTGACAAAGATAATGTGAACTGGAACAGAAAATGTATGTGTATGTGAAGCTTAAAAAAAACCAAAACAGTGGGAAAGCTACTTTTAAAGCAATTTATTAATCTGGAAACAGTTGTATCTAAAAATCTAAATAACAGCAAACAAGCCCAAAACAAAACAAAACAAACCTCAGGCCACTACATTCCTTGGATCCTGTTTGTCATCTAAGAAGCTATTTCCCTGATTTTCTCTGCAAAAAGTGACCTCTCTCTTTCTCACTTTATCTTGCTTAATTCTCATGGCACTATCACATGCAACACTGTAATAATTCTGTGTACACATGTCCACTCCCTTACTAGATTGTAAACTCCCAAAAGACAAGGATAAATTATCATGCTATCCTCTGCCATCATGCCATCTTGCAGTGTGACAACCTCCTATCGGTCCTCTCAATATCACTCTTACTGTCTTTATAATCCTTTATTCACATGGCAGGCAAAATGATCTTTTAAAAACAAATCTGGTCATTACACTCCCTTCTTAAACATCTGTCACTGGCTTCCTGTTTTGTTAAGGCAGAGTCCATAGGGTTCTTACCTCTTTAAGAACCTCTTTAAGGTGATCCATGAAACCTTGTAAGGTCTGGTCCTTGCCCAGTTCCTACCATGTATTTCCCTCCTCTCCCCTGCTTCCTCTCTCCACCCTGGCAACCCTGTCCTTTCAACTCCTGGAATACATCATTTTTCCTCCCAGTTCACATACACTCCTCTCCCTCCCTGTGGCTACCTTCTACTAATCAGTTTACTTCTTTAAGGAAGCCTTTCCTGATATCATATGCAAGTCAGGTCCTCCTGATGTTACATGCTGTCATTCTATTCTATAAATTTTCTTCAAGACCTTCCCAAAGCACATTTCCTGATACACTGGTGGAATATGATATAATGGCACCAGAAAAATGTTAAGCTCTAGGTTTTCAGAAACCTTCTAAACAGCCATGTTATGCTATAAAATAACAGTCCTGACATACTTCTGGAGGTTGGGGGAGAAACCACTGTAATGCTGAATCAGCTACCCACATCATTTTTATTAAAAAAAGAAAACCCCAGGCTGGAATGTGTACATCAGTGGCAGACTGGTTCCTTTGGTTAATGAGTTTAATATTCAAAAAGGCTCCCAGAGGTCTAGAGTGAGGATCAAAGTGTAGGTGTACCACTATCGTGTGTTCTAGGAGCCCCTTGGCCGTCCTTGATTAACTGCTTCTATGGTATACCAATCACCCCAGCAGAAAATGCCAGGTCATCACTGATGCTTCCCATCTGGACTCATCCCCTTTATAACATGGCTCACAACTCCAGAAAATGCGCAGGTCAAAAGAAGAGGACCACTACAGGATGACGAGGACAATGCCTTTGTCAAGAATTACTCAGGATATCAAGAGTCAAGGAGAAACATGCAAACTCTGAGAATCAGACTCCCTACCCTGTCAACGCCTGGCAAACACCTGCTGCTCTCTCTGTAACAGGCCTATATGGACAGCAGCTGCAACCCGTAACAGCGTAGGGCAAGGGAAGGGTGATGGGGAAATTCTATTCATTGAGCACCTACTGTGTGCCAGCTCCTCTACTGTGGGCTTTACACTCAGTTCATCGTTTAATCCAAAGCGTCGTTTGGCTCATTCTTTCCCTCTTTAGAATCCTCGAGGTGGGCCATTAACATTCCCCGAAGATAATGAACCATTCCTGCAGTTCACCCCGGTATGCCTTCTAACCTTGAAAAAATCATCTCCATTGCTTTTGACAAAGTCTAATACACCTGGTCAAAGCAAAGGGAGATGATGATGGTGAAGAGGATTTTATCAGAATAGGCAATGTAGCCAGAGATTGAGCCAGTTCCAGATCCCAAGTTTCTCCTCAATTCTTCTCCCTCAGAAAAAGGCAGATCTCTTTATTGATAAACTATACATGGTTTATAAGATTTAGGATGAAAAGCAAAGACACTCATTTAAAAATATAGGTTTCAAATGCCAGTGCACAGTCATTGACTGATTTAACTTTGCCTCCCCTTCTTCTCATGCTGATCTCAAAGATGTGGGTCCCAGGAATCAGTCTTGAATGTGCAAAACTACTCAGCCCATTATAAATATTGCTCTCTTCCCATTGATTTTTTTTTTTTTTGAGATGGGGTTTAGCTCTTTCACCCAGGCTGGAGTACAGTGGCATGATCTTGGCTCACTGCAACCTCTGCCTTCCGGTTTCAAGCGATTCTCCTGCCTCAGCCTCCTGAGTAGCTGGGATTATAGGTGCCCACCACCACACCCGGCTGATTTTTGTATTTTTAGTAGAGGCAGGGTTTCATCAAGTTGGCCAGGCTGGTCTTGAACTCCTGACCTCATGATCTGCCCGCTTCGGCCTCCCAAAGTGCTGAAATTATAGGCATGAGCCACCGTTCCCAGCTTCCTTGAATTTTTATTCCCTTATGTTCATCTTATTGTGGATATATGAACATCTTTTATTTTTTTCTTAATTACTGAAGTGTCAGTCTTTAAAAGGCAGGAATAATGTCTTATTTAATCTCTCTGTTCATATCCGTTCTTAGTATAATGCCTTGTATAGTCTTTGTCTCAAATAACACTTTTTTGTTGTTTTTGTTTTTCCTCGGTTTCTCTATTATTATGGTAAAAGTGATAATTATTCCAAGAAATATGTAATGAAACCAGTATGTCTAATTTCATTTTTTAAAAAAATGAAGATACAAATACAAAAATAGGCTGGACATGGTGGCTTACACCTGTAATCCTAGCACTTTGGGAGGCTGAGGGGAGAGAATGGCTTGAGACCAAGGATTTGAGACCAGCCTAGGCAATATAGCAAAACTCCACCAATATGATTTGGCTGTGTCCCCACCCAAATCTCATCTTGAACTGTAATCCCCACAGTCTTCATGTGTTGAGGGATGGATCCGGTGGGAGGTGATTGAATCCTGGGGGTGGTTTCCGCCGCGCTGTTCTCATGATAGTGAGTGAGTTCTCACAAGATCTGATGGTTTTAAGTGTTTGGCATTTCCCCTACTTGCACTTCTCTCCCCTGCCACCATATAAGACATGCCTGCTCCACCTTCTGTCATGATTGTAAGTTTCCTGAGACCTCCCAGCCATGTGGAACTATGAGTCAATTAAACCTCCTTTGTTTATAAATTACCCAGTCTTGGGTAGTATCTTAATAGCAATGTGAAAATGGATTAATAAACACACACAAAAAGAGCCAGGAGTGGTGGCATGTGCCTGTAGTCCCATGTAGTTCCAACTACTGAAGAGGCTGAGGTGAGAGGATTCCTTGAGCCAAGGAGGTAGAGGCTGCAGCCAGCTATGATTACACTACTACGCTCCAGCCTAGGTGATAGAACAAGATCTTGTCTCTTAAAAAATTGTCCTCTAAAAAAAATCATTCTTATTTTAATGGAAAACCAGTAGCTTATACAGATAGAAATTTTTTTGCACACTGACACCTTTAATATGGGTCAATGAAACTTGGTGCAATTATAAAAACTTTTCAATCCGTACCACAAAATAATTTGACCAAAATGTAGGGTGGAAGCAATTGTATATGCTCTTCTTACCAAAAAAGAGAAATAAAGACAAATAGGAGAGTGACAGATGGAAAATATTTCTGTTAATGACTACAGGCAATTGAAAGGAAAAAGGGTAACTAATTCTTCAGTAGAAAGTGGTACAGGAAAGTACATGTTCAAAAAGCAGATTTGATAGGATGTGGGGATTATGAAAGGTAAAACTAGACTTTTATCCTAGAGATCTTTCAGGAAAAACGATCACATACCTAAAGGTTTCTGACAACTGGAAAGTAACAGAAATTAACCAGAGAAGCTTCATAAGAAACTGTGCAAAGAATTGAGAAAATAGAGAGAGAGGGACTTGAAATGAAATTCAGTGTGTTACTTAAGGTAATAAAAACAGAGATAAGAATAGGAAGATACACTTATTTATTCAAATAAATGTCAGAAATAAGATTACCTGTTGTGTCCTAATTCATGAAATAATTGGAAAAATAGTCATAGGATACTGTTGACAATGAAGACCAAATTTATGGCAAGTAACAGAAAAAGCAAATTCAGTCCTTAGTCCCTTCAAATGAAAGGGATGTCATTTTCTTCCCCACAAAGAGAAGACATCCCCACATCCCCATGATCAAATGACTCAGAAAAGTCTCGATCAATGTTACCGAAATGTGGCAAAAGTATTCACATTTGAGCTGAGTATCAGCGTGAGGTATTACAACCCAGAGGCATATCTTTGAGAAAGTTGTAGGGGAACATAAATAGATTCTTAGAATAGAAATGGCTCTTTCAGCATAGGTTAATGGAAGATATGTTATCACAAACTTGGGCAGGGAAATGGAGAATTGATATATGAGGTTACCCAGCCTTGATAGAGAAATTGCCAATCTTTATGGAAGATTTGCAGAATATTTTAAGAAGACCCAGAAGGAAGGGCTTTCCATTTATAAACATGTCTATTTCTCTTCATCTCTCCTGCCAGCCTCCTACTCTAAGTCACCAGGATATATCACTTGCCCACTGGGAATTCTTCCTCCCCACATTGGCTTGAAAGGTTCTTTATTCTTGTTTGGCTCTGGGTTTTTCGTTTTGTTTTAATGCAAAGCTAAATATCAGCTCATCACCTTCTGCTCCTGACACATGTGTAAATGCAAATGTTCCCTTGACATACTCTATTTCTTCATAGCACTTCTCATAATTTTAATAACTAATCTCTTTATTTAATATACATCTTCTACATGAAACTGTAAGCTTCAGAAGGGCAGGGAACACCATTTTGCACTATGCTAACACGTTGCACTATGTCTGCAACTAGGTGTTTAATAAAGACTTGTGAGATGTATAAATGAAACAAAATGTCTATAAGCTTCCAGGAAGATTTTATGTGTGTATGCACACACACGCACACACACATAGACGCACACACACACATATCTGCAGATTATCCAGCTGCCTTAAATAATAACATTTCCAAAATGTTTCCACTGAATATCTTCTGAGTAGCTCACTAATTGTGTAGAGTCCAGCTCTCTCTCTCTCTCTCTCTCTCTCTCTCTCTCTCTCTCTGTTGGTAATTTAGCTCTACAGTGCCCACATAACTGAAAAAGGAAAAAGGTAGATGACACACAAGTCGTGAGTGGCTTAAGTCTTGGCACAGATTCTTAAATAATTGAAGCTCTCATTATATGTGCAGTTGGTTCCACGTAATTCAGACATGTGTGTATGAGGCTGGTCATCCCATTATGCTGACCTCAAGGGGCCATGGCTGTTTGTCATTCACCTTTTGTTTCCTCACTTTACCCAACTTGGTTCTAGGCATAAAGCAGATAATTGATACATTTGCATCGATCTATGTATCCATGTCAAAATTGGGTTTGAAGTGACCATTGAGGTTGCTGTAATTTCGAAGAGAATATTTGTACATGAAGTCCTAGGGTGGATTTGCAAACCTCCAATCCATTTAAGGTGGCAACACTCCCTAGTATGGCTGTAGGGTGAGCCATTGGGTTTCGTGTGCAAGCTTCGTGGAAATGCCTGCTTTTTTGTTAGGGAGTAATAGAGACTGCTTGGCATAGTCCGAAGTGTACGGGGTTGAATTTTGGCTCTGGAAACATTGTTTCAAGTGAGTTGCTTCTTTATAAGCTTTGGTTTCTTGGTTAAAATTCCTATCTCAGCAGTTTTTGCAAAGGCTGGAAATAATACGTTTAAAGTGATTAGCATAGTTAGGGGCACAGGGGCATGTAAGAAGTAGCATTTAAGAAGCTTATTAGAGCATACATCCATAGAAGGAAATGCATGTGAATGTCCATGGCATCATAAGAGCCCCAAATTGGAAACAATCCAAATGTCCATCAACTGCTGGATAAAGAAAACGTGGTAAACCTGTATCAGCAGAATACCATTCAGCAATAAAAAGAATGAACTACTGATACATGCTATGCATAGATGAACCTACAAACCATCATGTAATACATTATATAAGCCCATTGATAAGCAATGCCCAGAAACCTCACTTTTATAGAGACAAGAAAAGTAGATCAGTATTGGCTAGGACTGGGGGTAGAGTAGATTAACAGCAAATGGCCAGTAGGGAATTTTTGGATGATGAAAATATTCTAAAAGTGGAGGATGTTGTTGGTTGTTCAACTCCATAAATTTGCTGAAAATTGTGGAAAGCTAAAAATAGCTTCTAATGTGTGGATTTTATGGTATGTGAATTATACTTCAAAAAGCTATTTTTTAAAAAGTGTGTGAGAATACCGAGGGGAACTTCAGCAGTAAGAAATCTCCCTACATTTCATATTGAGAACAGTGTCTCAAGGCTTACGATGGAGCTCCACACCATAGCCAGCATGGAGACACTGGCTTCTTTGGGCAGAGATGGCAGAGCCAACATTCTCTGAGGCTCTTGGGAAATACATTGCTGTCTTCGCAGCACTTGCAACAAGCCAGAATTATAGAGGATGGTTGGAGCAGCCAATGTCCGCAGAAATGCGGGCCTGGACAACATTGCCTCCATCAGGGGTAGCCACCTGGACTATTTTTAAATAAGAAATTTTGGTACTTCACATTCCTGCGTTTTAGCCCTACTTTCCAATTCCATCTCATTGTAATGATTAACAGTCAATCCACCAATTTGAGAAGAATTCATATGACGTGCTGTTCTGATGAGCATCTATATAGGGGCTGTTGGTTGTTGCCTGTCTAGAAAGTTTATTCAAAGAGAGACAGGTGATGTTGATACTTGGTGCTCAGTGTCACATGGAGACAAAAAGATACCTGGAAGACCATGAGTCAGTCACAAACATACAAGTTCCCATAAAAGGGGAATAATTGACATATTAAAATCTATAGGTCCTAGGTCCTAGGAGGATACTAAACCCATCACGGTTTTTTTGTTTTGTTTTGTTTTGTTTTGTTTGTTTGTTTGTTTTGTTTTAGAGAGAGACAGACAGAAAGAAAGAACAGTGTCCACAATACATCAATTAAAACCTGCCATTTCCCCAAAGCTATCAGCTGCAGAGTGGCTGCCAGAAGTCCCCCTTCTCTGAGGGTGTCTTGAAAATGAGCACCTGGGGCGGCCAGAGCTATTAATAGGTGGAAGGAACGATATAAAATGTCACAATGCACCTTTCCAAATAAAAACGTGTCCAGACTTCTCCAGGAGAGAAGCAAGAGAGGAAAATGGCCCAAAGTACTTAAAAATCATTGCATTTTCCTTTTTCTGAACTCCTACTATATATTACAAGGGAGAACTTGTCACTTCTAAGGTGTCTGGCCTCTCTCACTGCAGTTCTGAAGAGTCCCATAACTCAGTCATGGCTAGGAGGGTCTTTTTGCTTCATTCTTTTCACAACAGGGGCCAGAGAGGCACTGTTCCTGTTCCAACAAGAGACTGTGTGGGTAAGAGATGTTGACTGTCATCAAGATACAGCAGTGAGGAAGGATGGGGATCTCCTGACGCTTTTTCTTCAACTGCCTGATGCCTAGTCCAGACAGGGAGGAGGAATTTGGGACCCTGAATCCGTAAGAGCTTAGTAAGTATACTCAGAATCTCCAAATATGCTTGGAGATAGATTTCAGGATAATCACCATGAATTTGTTGTTAGCATGATGATTTTGTAATAAGGCTGAATAAACAGATTCTGTGTCTGGAGAAAATAAGTTTTAGCTTCTGCTGGTTTCTAGAATTTAACCTTGAAATTCAAAAGCTGTGTGAGCACAGGCAAGCCACTTAACTGCTATAGACATGGGTTTCTCCAATTATAAAATAAGAGACTCCAGCATAATGATTATTCAAGCTCACTTCTAGTTTCATAATTCCTGGATTGTATCAATGAGGTAGGAATGTTGCCCCTGGAACAGATTCAAGAATGCTCTCAGTGAGGGGTAAGGTCAGTAGTCATCGCTTCAGTAGGGGCTGATTAAAAGATCTACTTTTTCTTCTTTCTTTTTCTTTTTAATAGCAAAGGTTTCTCTATTTCTCTCCAATCGAACTATCAAGCTTATAGTTGCTATAATTTAACTTTATTACTCTTTTGTCTTGTCAATAAGAACATAATAGTGTCCTTAAAGAAAATGACAGCTTTTTTCTTTCTCTTTGAGGTTTATTTCAAACAATTTTCTCTTTTCCTGATGAGGCTGAGCCGTGTTTGCCATTGCATATTGTGTTCTCTTAATGGGAAGGTTTTCAAACACAGGGAAGAAAAAGAAAAGACTGCTTTTTAAAAACTTATTTATTTATTTAATTGTTTGATAAGCCTTTTTGTCGGTTCGAATAGTTACCCTAAACATCATTTAAGAATCGTGGCCTCTTTGCAACGCAGTGCATTTTGAGAATGATGTCTCTTTTTGTCTTTCTAATGATGTCTTGCCCAGTCACTCAATGCGCTCACATTGCCCCTCCTTCTAAGGCCCTCAGTCCCCATGTTTTCCCTCTGCAAACAGTAGGGGCCAAGCAGCTTTAAAGCTTTTTGATCAGGTTTCATGCGGGGAGACATTATGCATTAACTGGCATATTGGAACTACCACTGAGGCACTATTAGTCAACAACTATTGGACTTTTACACTCTAGCCTCAGCTGCTCTCCAGTAAGTGTAGTCCCAGGTCTTATACTAAAAGACAAAAGACAACCATGTGTAGGTGTGTATGTTGTTTTGTTCGGTGTTGAGAGGAAGTCAAGGATTTGGATTATCGATATGGCGGCTCAGAATGGGTGGTTTGTTGTTGTTGTTGTTGTTGTTGTTGTTGTTGTTGTTGTTGTTTTTAAGACAAGGTCTCACTCTGTCACCCAGCACCCAGGCTGGAATGCAGTGGCATGATCATAGCTCACTGCAGCATCAAACCCCTGGGCTCAAGTTGTGCTTCTGCCTTAGCCTCCTGAGTAGCTGGGACTATAGGCACATGCTACCATGCCCAGCCAATTTTCTGTCTTTCTTTCTTTCTTTTTTTTTTTTTGGTAGAGATGGTAGGTAGGTTGCCCAGGCTGGTCTCAAACTCCTGGCCTCAAGTGATACTTCTGCTTCAGCCTACCAAAGCTTAGGCATCTTATATTCTAATGATCCAGATGGCAAATTTGAATGAATGGAACACAGATACTCAAATCTGCAAACATGAGTTCTTTTAGCCCAATGCCTCCTTCCCTTTTTCCTCTTCCCTAGTTTACTCAACAAAAGCTCTCTCTTAATTCCATTTTGTTTGAGAACGTTGATTGGTTTCTGATAGGAGCTGCTAACATACTAACCACATGGACATATACACAGCAAGAAAAAATGACAATATATTGGGTGAAGAACCTTAAAAATCAGGAAATACTATTTTTAGAATTAGTTTTCTGACTTTAAGCCTGTGAACTTCAGGGTTTTTTTTTTTTTAATTTATCTATGTAGAGGTTGGGTTAAATAATATGTGTGGTTCCATTCAAATTTAAATTCTGGGGTAAGCACTATAGGAATAAAAACAAAAGTTAAGGGGATAAAAATAAAAGTTAAGGGGATAGTGAGCTCCAAATATCTTGGCTGGAAAAGTGGGAATTATTGGGGGAATGTGGGAATTAGTTAAGAGTGAATATCAGATTATGAAAAGTTTCAAAAGCTCAGCATAAGAAAACTCTAGGCTTATGACAGAGTTAGTTTAGGTTCATGAAGATAAAGTAGAGCAATTAATTGCCACTTAGGATATTTCTTTTGGCAATAATCTGCAAGATACAGGTAGGAGGTTGTCTTTGAAGAAAGAGGGACTTGATATGACAAGGGATGGACTCTGGGTGTGGTGTGTACTCATTGTTCCTGCATCCAATCAAAACAGAAAAGGGTGGCTTCAAATTCCATGACAACCAGGGCCCTGTTTGTCCACAGGCTTAATACAGTTTCTAGAAATAATAACAGGTGCCGAATGCATGAGGGTTGATTTTCTAAAAAGTGGCACAGCTCCTTTTAGATACATTGGGAATGAGGGGCTGAAGATGGTGAAGCGTCAGTGAGGTCTGATTTTTTTCTTCTTGAGAAGAAAGGCGGAAGATGGTGGTATGTTAACAAGGCAAGTGAGAAGGTAGACTGAGTCGCTGAACCAGAAGTAACAATGATTTTTCAATATGTTGAAGCTGAGGTGATAGCAGAATCTGAAAATCAGGGGAGATGCTGTGATTAGGGGCCTCCATTCCCGGACCTGTAGATCTGAGAGGAATTTGTGTAGAGGTAATAGCTGAAGACTGTGTGTGAAGCCAAGGCAGACTTGCTGCAGACATTGCCCCTTTTCAGAGATGACCCACAACTGGAAAATCCAAGAGAACAACACACTTTAAGTGCTAAAACCTGAACCAACAAGGCCATTTCTCCACTGATTCCTTTTTGAAGATCATGAATCTTATTTTTCCTCTCTAACTCATCCTTTCTTAACCCTATTTTCCTAAATCTATCCATTCAACACATACTTGTTGAGCATCTAATCTGGGACAGGCACAGTTAAGGATGCTGGAAAAAAATAGTGGCCACAACATAAAGTGCCAAAGTCTGTGGAGCTTACTCTTGACAGTACCAAGTTTAAGAAGAAGAAAGAATTTCACAGTGGAAAAGATAGGGACTGGGTGGAGTGGGCAAAATCACTTAACTTCAGGGAAGGCTTTTTCAAGGAGGTAACTTCTGAGCATAAGAATGAGCTTCTCAGATTGAGGAGAAGGACAAGACGCAGCTATAGGGAAAGAGTGTACAACAAAGAGGAAACAGTAAGTGCCAAGGTTCTCAGATGGGAATGAGCTCGGCACATCTGCAGGGTTGACAGAAGACATGCCAAGGTTCTCACGTTGGAATGAGCTTGGCACGTCTGCAGGGTTGACAGAAGACTGAGGTGGTTGGAGCCCAGTAGCGGGAGGAAGCAGTGGGTGCTGATGAAGTCAAGGAGGGCCTAGGGATCACCAAGAGGGAATTTGAAAATGAGGTTAGGAATATATTGTTTCAGTAAGAGGAAGGATTGTCCTGATCATCAGTCTTGCAGAATAAAGAAGACAGCCAACTACTGATTGAGCTATATCAGATCCCTCTCACGGGTCCCTAGGCCCAGTAACTGAGGCTAAAGTGTTATTCTTATTCTTGGCCGTACCCCATTTGTGTTTGCACAGGTAAGATAAGAATCAGGTAGCACGCGGGATACAAAAGAACAGAGAGAGGCCTGGCATTATTTCTCAAAGATCGGCTGAGCCATGATATAAAGCCACTGGAAATAGCAATGGGAAATCCTAGAAGAAGGAGAATTGAAATTATATAGAAAGGGAAATTGAAGGGAAGTAGTGTCAACAAAATGTCAATTGACTGCACAATCCAAAAACACACAAGAGAAGCATTCTATCAGTTCTGGGTGCACGAGGTTTCCCAAGTTCTATTCAGTGTAGTTCAGAAGCTGCTGCCTTAAGCTGAAATGCAAACGGCTCTGAATTTCTGAGATCACAGTGATTTGGGCACGTTTCTGCATTTGTGTTTCCATAACCCGATGTGACTGGGTAAATGAAGAGAAGGCAGTAACTGGAAAAGCAAAGACATATAGATTTGGAAAGTCATTGTCGATTTGGAGAGGTGATTTCTTGGGCAAAGGGGCGGTAAGTGAAAATGGGAAGAACATATGCAAATCCAAACAATGGCAGCTACAACCCTGCTTTTTGAGTGCAGTAAGCAAGCTGGCAGTCTCCTAGACCAGCACCACTCACTAATGAAACATCGCAGAAACCCCCGCATCTGCTAATTATCCCAGGGATTTTATTTTAGTAGCATCTGTAGCAAGTTCTTACACAGAAAAACAACTATTTCCAGGAGATAACAAGGGGAAGCGAGGGTCACAAGTAATTAGTTATCACATATTGCTGGAAAACTGCACTGGGGATGGGGAGGAAATTCCATGTGTATATTGTGTCATTTCAGTGCTCAAGGTAATGTCTCAACTCTGCACTCCAAACGGGGAAGAATGGGAAACATCAGTGGAATAGTGTGAAAAGTGGTCTTAGTTGGGATTTCACCAGTTTGGTATTCTGAGCTTTGGAGCAAGTCAGCAGGGGAACTAGGGTTTGACTTCCTGTTTTGTGGATTCATGGTCCTTACTGCTTCCTTGAACACTGTATCTCCTAAAGTCCGTCATCACCAAGACAGGAGAAGACAGATACAAGGCAGCACAGACTTGCTCCCTGCCAGCAAGATGGGAACCAGGAGCATTTGCTGGCTTTTTTCCCATTTAGGGAGTTGCTTATTGCTTCCTAGGGTAGAGACTTTTGCTTCCCTGACTGTCTGGCTTACAGGTAACTGGAATCCCACTAAGGAAAAGACAAAGTAGACTTTGGGTCTCTTCTTTCTCTCCATGAGCCTTGGAGGAAAGAGAATTACTGCAGATTATCACTCTTAGTCAAACAGAGAAGCCATAAGGAATATTTCCATTCTGGTTTGGCTTTTCATAGGATCACTGAGTGACTTCATGAGCCCGATTCCCTTTATTTTGTAGAATAAAGAACAAAAGCCCAGAAATAGAAATAGACTATTCCCAAATTACAGAACTAATCTACACCCTACCCATGGCTAGAACACCATTCCTGGCCTGCAGACTGCAAAGCCACCCTGTCCTTTTCTAGCCAAGGGAACAAATGAGGGAGAGGGCTCCTATTGCAAGGAATAACTTTAACTCGTTTTAATGTAGTATTTATGTATATTGTTCTCTAGTTTATCCACTTTAATATGATCCAGTTTTCTGCAATATACTTCATTCTGTTTCTATCATTCATCCCTGTTACAGAATGGTGTCCCCCATTCATATGTTGGAGCCCTAACCCCCAGTGCCTCAGTATGGGACTATATGTGGAGATAGGGCATTTAAAGAGGTGATTAAGTTAAAACGGGGACTTTCAGGTGGGCCCTAATCTAATCTGACTGGTGTCCTTATAAGAAGAGGAAATTTGGACACACAGAGAAACACCAGGGATGAGGGTGCACACAGAAAGACCATGTGAGCATGCTGTGAGGAGGTGGCCATCTACAAGTCAAGGAGAGAGGTCTCAGGAAAAACCACACCTGCTGACACCTCGATCTTGGACTTCCAGCCTCCAGAACTGACAGGAAATAAATTTCTGTTGTCTGAGCCACTCAGCTTGTGGAATTTTCTTATGGTATCCCTAGAAAAATAATATAATCACTTTAATAAATATTTATCGATTATTTCATCACAAATCTGTTTAAGACACTAGGGCTGCAATGAAGAAGAATCCACATTGTGTCAGTGCCTGCATAAGAATTACAGTTTTGCAAGGGGGACAGACATCCAACAAATTATTTTACTAATAATTACTTAATCAGACTTAACAATAAATCTTCTAAAAGCAAATTGCCTAGCTCAAGAAGTCACTCTTCCAGGAGGTGAGAGGATATCAGAAGTGTGAGAAAGCTGATCTAACACCATGTAAGCTCAAGCTCAACACATCACTCCATGTTATAACAGCCCCCCAATGCTACGCTCTTATTATATAAACAATTAGAATTTAACACAGCCAGAAACTTCCACCGTGCTACTGCATTGCTAGATATCAAGCAGTCACGCACAGCATCCTGTCTTCTGAGTTATGACTCCACTGCCACCCAGGCATTTGCTGGAGTGCCAGAACCCTGTGGGTGCCCAGCAAATGCTGAAAAGCAAGGACAAAATAAAACAAGTATCAGCACAAGAAAAAGGAGGCAAATTGGAGCTGGGAGTTTAGCATGGAAGGGTTGATTAACAACACAGCCATGACAGCTGAGGCCAAGTTAGCCTTCCCTTTGACCTCAGAGTGATAGGGATCAGCTCAGTGCCCTATAGAACTGTCTGGAGAAGAATCTTGTGCATCAGGGGAGCCCCATTCATTTTCATGAGCTCTCCCTTTAAGCAGAGGTCTCATTTTGCCTGATATTTTTACTTGTGTCCTAGTGTGAGACAAAGAACCCTGATAGGGCAGAAACAATGTCTTTGGGTCCTTTCTAAATACTGCTAGTTGTCCTTTTGCAGAGGCAGTGCTACATCAACAGCCCTGAACATCCCTGAATTCCTGTAGCCGTGACTGCAGAGCTCTTAATTATGTAGAGCCTTGATGTATCATCTGGTTGCCTCCTGCTTGTGTCTGGACTCCCCAGCATGATTGTAGACCTCCAGAGGGCTGCATACCCCAAAGGACTGGACCCTCAGCGGGTACACATTAAATACTTGTTAAGTTGAAATGAAGGAGAAGATTGCCTGCAACTGGCAGCTTCCCAGCTGGGTTCTCTCTTCCTGGGAGGTACCAGCATGGACCTTCGAAAGCAGCAGCCAAACAGTTAAAGCCTCTGCCAGAAGACAGATTTTGGACTCCCAGGCTGGGGCAGTGGCTCTTTCGAGCAGGCACTGCTTGGTAGCCGCCGGCGCTCTGTGACAGGCATGTTCTGATCAGAAGAAAGATGCTTCCCACCTCCCAGAGAAACTTGTTGATGAGCAGCCAGCCTCTGTATGAACCACAGAACATTTGCAGGAGCTCACGGGGTGAGCCGGGCCAACCAGACAATGATCACTTTAGGCTCGTCCATTTAAAAACGCTTTGACGTACTGGCTCTTGGAACTGGCTAAGTACCCAGAGGTTAACTAATGAACTTAAAAATAGGACATGATCGGGAGCGACAGGAGTTGTCTTTCTGGAAGGCAGAAAGATCTGAATCCCAATCCCAGGTGTGAGGCGGACTGCTTCTATGGCCTTGGGCAAATCTCAGAAACTCTGCTTCATTTTTGCTGCCATTCAGTAGGGAGACTTGTGCTTTTCTGCAGCCAGATCTAGCAGGTGTTCTACCAGGCTAGTTCACTGGCTAGGGAAGGCAGACTTCCCCATCAGAATTGTCTGGTGTGGCTGCTTCAGCCCCTTGTTAGGATGTTCCTTTCAATATCTCTTTCAGCCTATGGGTCTTCAGATAGGAACAAGACTTCTCAAGTTCCCACCGGGGCTCCCTCACCTGGAAGTATGCATTTCGGGGATTCCTTCCTCTCCAAATTCCTCTCTTCAGACCCTCAGAGGATTTTTTTTTTTTTTTTTTCCTGAGCCAGGGCTTCTGTGGAGGTCCTAGGTGACTGGCTGCTAATCCAACACATTTATTAGAGTCGAGTTTTTAAGGTTTCATAATGGCTTGACATCGTTGTCTTACAGCATTATCTTTTACTGAGACCTTAAATACCTTAACCCAAAGAAGTGAGCAATATAGGATTTGTAAACTGGTTTGCCAAAATGGATAATTTTGAGGATGTTGCATTTTTGACCCCTATAAAATCACTAACTATAGGTAAATGACTCTCCTGTTCAAATTCTGTTTGGTTAGAAGCAGAAATTCTAGATAGATATCTCTAAGTCCCTTTGTGATATGATTTGGCTGTGTCCCCACCCAAATCTCATCTTGAATTGTAGTTCCCATAATCCTCACGTGTCATGGGAGGGACCAGGTGGAGATAATTGAATCACAGGGGCAGTTTATCCCCTCCTGTTCTTGCGATAGTGAGTGAGTTCTCATGAGATCTGATGCTTTTATAAGGGGCTTTCTCCCCACCCCTCACTCTGTACTTCTCCTCGCTGCTGCCATGTGAAGGAAGGACGTGTTTGCTTCTCCTTCCACCATGATTGTAAGTTTCCTGAGGCCTCCTCAGCCATGCTGAACTGTGAGTCAATTAAACTTCTTTCCTTTATAAATTACTCAGTCTTAGGTATGTCTTTATTAGCAGTGTGAGAACAGACTAATACACTTTGGTAACATTCATCGAATGTGTAAAACTTTATTTTCCCCCCTAGATTGTATATGCTACAAGTACAATCTTGACCTCACTGCTGTATGGCACTTAGTTGGGTGTACAGTGAATCATGGCTGGATTGGTATGAACCGGTCATAGAACTTTCTTTTCTTTTCTTTTTTCTCTTTTTTCTTTTTGTGAGACAGGGTCTCACTCTATCGCCCAGGCTGGAGTGCAGTGGTATGATCTTGGCTCAGTGCAACCTCCATCTCCTAGGCTCAAGTGATCCTCCAACCTCAGCCTCCTGAGTAGCTAGGACCACAGGTGTGCACCAACATGCCCAGCTAATTTTTGTATTTTTTGTAGAGATGGGGTTTTGACATGTTGCCCAGGCTGGTCTTGAACTTCTGGCTTAAGCGATCCTCCTGCCTTGGCCTCCCAAAGTGTGAGACACTGCACTCAGCCTGGTCAAAGAACTTCCTGGTCAATAGTTTTCACAAGTCCAGCCCCCTCTTTTTATTCTTAAAAAATCTGCTAAGTATTTCTAGTTGTAACAGGTTTTGTTTACCAAATTACATTTATTTAGTATTGACTGATTAGTTTTTCTCATACTAACACAAAGCAAACTTTCTGATTTTCACAAAGAAGCAACTTGACATTTTAGTTAGTCTTTACCAAGCAGGTCACTACTTCTATTTCTTTATTTAAAAATGCAGAAATTGCCTTGGATATCTTGACATAGTTTTTTTCATCTGTAAATTTTCAGACTTCAACATGGGAATCAGTGGGAATGATTTGTTATAGCAAATACGACCACGATTTTCAGACACTGGATGTGGCTGCCAGACATATAACAGTACAATTGCAATGGAACTTCAAAGCAATTGTTTGCTTGTTAGTATTATTTTTCTCTTTATATATAGATATTTGTTGTTTCCACAGGTCTCCAAAAAGAGCCAGATTCACAATGGATGCATCTGGTTAATTTGTCTACACCACCCTAAACATCCAGATACTTGGATATTTGGAGACCCTGTTTGACTGGCATTTTCAATTTCCAGCAAGATAGCCTGATGCCATCAGTTTTTCACCAGTTTTGGAGGTTAAAAATTGCATGTGTAGAGCGTGGAGAAAGAGAGATGAAGGAAGGAAGGGAGACGAAGCAGTTGAGAGGAAGAATGAATAGAACTGATATTTATAATCACCTCTGCTGTGCAGGATCATCTCTGCCCTGCAAAAGAGGGCGGTAGGTCAAGCTCAGTGTTTAATTGCCCCCATATTCTTAAGGGTGCAGTATAGATTATGCTAATCATCCCACTTTAATGCAGACCACAGTACTGAAAGCTGCAGACTCACTCCAAATAATGTAGATAGAACACACTGGCAAACTATGGGAATCATATAGGAATGCCATTCGTTTGGCACAAGAAGGATAAAACGAAGCAGCCTTTGCTTTAACCAGCCTTGTTGTCATTAACTATTAATATATTTATTATATATTATTTATATATAATATATTGCATATATTATATATGATTATATCTAATTAATATAGTTATTTATATTTATTTAAAAGATGCAACCCTTTTGCCTGCTTTTTAGATTTTAACTACTGGTTATTCACCGTTAGTTCTAGAAGTGGATGAATATTTCTCATATTATTTTTTAAAAGGACCTTTGAGATAAGATGTGGGTCCTCTCAGGTGAGTCCTCACAGTTAGCTTTACCAAATCTCAAAGATGAGATGAGGGACGAAGTAGCAGGGAAAATACTAAAAACTATGATCAGAACCCCAAAGGGCCATGGATACTATTAGCTACCTACCTGTTCATCAAACCCTTGCTCCATCTGCATTTTCATTTGGTACAGTAATTTGTTTCCCACAAATATTTCCTAAATTACAGAAAATCCCCAAAGTCCATCAGCACATAGTGGAAATAAGACCTCTCCAGAACAATGCAGCAAGTGCAAGGCAAAGTGTTATCTGAAGTCAAGGAAACCTGGGGTCAAGATCTCACTACACTCCTTAGTACGTATGAGACGTGACCTTGGGTAAGTTTCTATCTCTGAACTTTAGTGTCCTCATACGCAATGTGGAGAGAAAGATGATGCCTTCCCTGTGGGTTCTGTGGCACTATGCATATGGAGTGACTGGCACATATATACGCAATACATGATAGCCGCTTCCATTAAGATACACTGGGATTCTTGTCCAGAAACTGGGCAGCAGAGTCTAAAATACTGACTTTGTGAAACATTGGCTAGTTTTCTGGTCTTAAGCAAAGAACCTAAGGGGCCCTTCCGTTTAAAAGAAATAAATTTGTTTCAGTTAGCAGCTACATATGTAAACATAAGTAAATCAGATCATCAGCTTATTAAAAACTAACTTCAGAAGTTGGGGATAGGTACTCTGGCGCAAGTCTTACCCTGTTTGTGCGATCTCAGAAAAGCCTCTTCACTCCTTTAGATCACAGTTTTCTTGTATGTAAAACAGCAGCTTTGGAATAGAGGTAGTAGTATGCTGGTATTGAGTATTATGGGATCATGGGAGCCAGTTGTTAGTATTTCTTTTTAATTTCACATTCGATGTTACTTTGGTGGCTTGAAATTAGTCATAGTGAGAATACTTACACCATGGAAATCAAATCATCAGATGTTACAAGCAGATCCACACTCAGGCCCTCAGTGCCTGTTATTAACCATTTACTGACACAGCACTGACTAGACATTCTGTCAGAACTAACTATATTTAGTTCCTTGATGTCAAACAGAAAGTGGGCACTATTGGCAAGGAGATGAGGAGTTAGTGGATGTTACAGAAGGGAAGGGGTAGCAGGTGACCAATCAACTCCGCCACTGCCTGGGAATATGCCTTTCTCTTTGACACCAGCGAGTCAAGCTGAGGAATCCTATTGAGGAGATGCTCCTGTTGGAGAAAATGGAGGAAACTATTTTGCCCTTTCTGCTCCAGAAAAAAATATTTCCTGATAGGAAAATAAAAATCTAGTGTCAAAAAATTCAGACTAATGGAGACTTTTCTCTATCGACCTTGCACCATCCACGTCACTACTTAATGAAAAGTGAACACATGGCATGGTTAATGTACTCAGTTACCTGTAACCTTATATACCCAACAATGAACAAGGAAACATCTTCAATTTCAAGGCTCCACATTTCAGTATCAGTTTGTCATATTTGGCACATCTATGGTCTGTTTGTAAATCGGAAAGATTGGTTCAGAGCTTCCCCATTCAATGATGGAATAACATTTTCTTGGAAACTTGAACCATGTCATCTATCTCTGTCAGAAAATCATCCGTGCACAATAAAGTGAAGTGTCACTACATGTCACTAATGAGAAATTTTCTTGTCCTCCCAACACTTCTAGCCAGAACACAATAAGAGAGTAGCAGAAGTGGCTCTGACCAACATCTCAAAAAGCTCCACTGCAATTCAAAAAAGCAAACTGTCAACCATTTGGCAGTGAGACAAAAAACATACTTATCATCTTTTAAGTTTTCTTAAAAACAATAATGTATCCAGTTCTTTTCTTCCCCTATAATTGATCTTAAATCTCATCACATTGACTAAACAGGGCCCTAAGTATAAATTTTACACTTTCCAAAGCCCCTGATGCACTTAAGTTTTACATAATGGACATTGCATTCACAAGGGACACATTTTCTCCCTGGACAGCTTTAAAAAATCTAAAAGAAATCTAATTAAAATAAGCACAAACACAGTAATGGCCTAGTGATTTTTCTACAGCCTGCTTCTGGGAGTACTCTTAGGTGTTGGTAATGACCATTGGATGGAAAACTAACTACAAAGATACCTCACCTAATTGGAATTCAAAAATTTCAGTTTTTGTGGATTCAGAGCTCAGTTCCAAAGCACAAAGCATGTTTTAAAAGCCACCTCTTAGTAGTCAAAATAGTTGTCACAAGATCAGTATCACAAAATAAGTCCTGGCTTTTTACTTTCCAAGGGATTAAAGCCCGCAATTATATACTGTTTAATCTTGATTTGCTCACAATATTATCATGTATGCCTACTTGATTTCCAAAACATCAACAAATTAGAAGTAGGCAATTAGAAAAGGAAGAGAAAATACTATCATCTATTCATTTAAGAAATATTTAATGAGCACCTACTTTTTGCCAGGCATTGTGACAAGGTAACAGCATGAAAGCAACAAATGAGAAGGCTATACTACCAAAGAAAGACATAAAAACTACATGCAGTAGTCTGGAACCATTTGGAGGCAAGCAAATAGCCTTAAATATTTCAAAAAAAAAAAAAAAAAACCTCTGAGAAATTGATGCTTTAGTGACCACCCAGAGTCCATGAAGAGATTCAATTAGACCAAACACACTCTAGGATGGCAGAAACAAAATAGTAGATTTTCAAGTGATAAAATAGGTTAAATAAAAAAAAAATGCTTTTGTTACAAAGAAAACTAAACTACCAACAGGATGACTTTCTTCCTGAAGGGTCTGGAGGACTGAGATTCACCCTCTTCTGACCGGGTTCAACCATTAGGAAGTTCAGAGTAAGATAAAGATCAAAGAATGACCTGGTTTAGATCTCAAAAAGCTGGATAAATGATCATGCACTTGATAAAAGATGTTCTCAGAGCACAGGCCAGAAAAATCTCACTCAGCAGGTGCCAGCAAATTTCAGCTCCAATGCAATGCCTGAAATTCCCTCTGTAACGGAGGCGAACATCTTCCATCTCGCTCAAAACGCTATTGATACAGCTAAAATTGAACTATTTTCCTTAGAACTAAAAAAAAAAAAAAAACTGTCTGGAGGGTAGAAACTCATTTTAGTCAACTGGCATGGGGTTTTTATCTGGTGTTTTAATATAAAACGTGAAAGATTATTTGCATCTTTCAAGGGTGGAATGATCAGGTGTATGTTGCCTTGTTCATGGAAACTAAGGACATGTTTCAATCAAAAGAATCCTTGCATCCACATCTACACAGAAATCAGAGTAAAACTAGGTGCATCCTAGGTCGTATTTCAATAGTGCATGGAGTGTCTTATAACTGAACCAATGATTTCACTGTGAGAAGTATTATGTTGAAACTCTTAGGAACCTAAGTATATTGGTACGCTTATTATCCTGCAGTTCATGTTGCATAAATTTAGTAGAGGAAAGGATAAATGTAACAGCCAGTTTGGTAAATGCCTCTGGGGAAAAATGTGAGTTTAGCCTTTTAAGATATCAGAGTTTATGTCACTAATTTTCAGTTCCAGCAATAAAAAAAGCCAGCTTTTGTTCACAAACAATTGGATTAATAAAATCAATACTCTTAGTCATAAGAAGTCCACAGAACAAACCCAAAACATCTCTGATGTGAACAAAGAAAATTGAAATAGATTAAACCCTCTGGTGATTTAGTTCCAGGATGACGGGGGAGTAGAGTGGGAGGGAGAGTGGAGAGCTGTGTCTTATCATATAATAAAGGAGCACTTTATCATCTATTCACAAAAAGCCCTAGAAATTAAACATGATCCACCACCTACAACTATTACTTTCAAATGCTGGATGACACCAAAAACGGGTGTTTACAGATAAACTCAAATGTGGGCCTCTCCTCTGGTTTTCAAAGCCAATGACTCACAAACAATATACAATTGGAAATGAGCTTAGAGATCTAGAGTATTACTCATACCTTTGTCTTCACAGCTCCAGTCAGAACTATCCCAACATCCTCAACTGACCTCAATTCTGTAAATTGCATAAGTGACCAAAAATTCCCTTTCCTACAACTATTTGGAAACCACAAGATATTTTCATAAATAGGTTTCTGTAGTATGCTCCAATGAGAACAACGGCACTGCAGGAACAGCTATCAGTAGTTCCGGTTGAAGGCTACTGCAAAGACGATGGATTTTTAGATGGTTTCGTGGCAAGCATTATTGTTATTTCCAATGGTAGAGAAGCTAAAAAAACTCAGACCCATAAGAAGGATACTCAATATCTTATCAAGGAGACGCAATAATTCTAACTATCAAGAGCAGAGAGATAGATCTCTTTATAGTCTCAAAATCCTGTTCTAAGAAAAAGGCAAACCATCTCAGGAGAAAGTAATTAGATGTCTCCAACTATTTCAACAAGTGCTCACGGTCTGGTGGCAGAGGTTGCATGTGGCCATTTATTGCCAGCTAGAAAATGACCTTCACAGAGGAGAACTATCCTGATTTTCTATAAACTGCCAAGTTCAAATTTCTATTACTAAACAAATCTAATTTTGACACACCCAGAAGAAAATCCAACAGATCTAAAAACCAGATGGGAAAAAATACTCACAAACCTTCCTTCAGGCCTTAGATAGTCACTATTACTTTATCAGGACCATTTTCCAAACTGCAAGAGAAAATTGATTGTTTAAACAATACTATTTAACAATCTCTCATTAATTGACATTTCCCAGTTGCTGAGTTCACCCAATTACATTAGCCTTTAAACAGCCAGCATGCTTCCATAATTTTTAATAAAAATGGTCATTTTGCAAGGTTTAACTTGCTAAATAAGGGTATTAATTTCAATAAAGCAATTAGCACATTTACATAATTTTATATTGTTATTTTAATAGAACACAAGAGCTTTAAAAAGCAGTTACTAACACAGGAAGGAGAATAGTGGTCTATTCACTTGCAAAAACTAAACTTTAGCTCTGTGATAAAAACTTAATAATAATAGCTCTTTCTATTACAGAAATCAGTGAAATTAGAGAGTTAAGGGCTTGAAAGTAGGCAGTCAATATGCTTCCACGTTAACATCTGGACAAAGAGGCAATGTGGGAGAGGAAGGGAGAAAGGAAGTTCCTCCTAGGAATATTACAAAGCTACTTATGGGTAGAAAGCTGTGCCTAGGTTTTCAACTATACTGCTGTGATAGAGCAGGCTGGCCAACAGGATGTGTTGGTAAGGAGGCCCAGAGCCCAAGAGAAAGGGAAGGAAAAGGCTGTAAAATGAAATTGGGTTATCACTGGAAACATGCTGCCATATTCAGATGTCCCTTTAAATGACAAGTGTTTGCCTTCGTAGGAGCTTGTGTCCACATTTGAATGTAACAAATATCTCCTCCTGACAACTGCCTGGCAGGAACATATGGCCAGCCTGGCCTCGACAGCATACATTTATTTTGATTGAATCTCCTCTTCAGTGCCAGAGATTGGGCATGCCCAGGAACCCTTGTGGTTCCCACCAACATTGTCTCCAGGAGCTGATTGGAGGCTAATTTTTGTTGGGGGGTGTAGGGGGAGGTGCAGGACCACAGAGTTCCAGGCTTCTCGAGCTGTAGATAAAACACAGAATGAAACACATACTCCCTCAGCCACTCTTTCTATTTCATTCATTCATTCATTCATTCATTCATTTATTTATTTATTTTGACAGGGTTTCACTGTCACCCAGGCTGGAGTGCAGTGGTGCAATCATAGCTCACTGCAGCCTAGACCTCTGGGGCTCAAGTAATCCTCCTGCCTCCTGAGTAGTTGGGACCATAGGCACGCACCACCATGCCGTTAATTTTTTTTATTTTTTATTTTTTAGTAGAGACGAGGTCTCCCAATGTTGCTCAGGCCAGTCTCGAATTCCTGGCCTCAAGGGATCCTCTCACCTCAGACGCCCAAAGTGCTGGGATTACAGGCGTGAGCCATCATGCCTGGCCAGCCATTCCATTTAAAATTAGGGAGACTTATCTAATACTTGTGTGTAGGCAGGACTGAGGACCTAGACAAAATGAAGGGAAGGAGGAGAGGTAGCTTGAGTTCATCTTCCCTGGATACCTGAAGATAAATCTTGCCAACAACAAGGGGTAGGGGATGAAGTGGGGTGGAGGAAAAGAATTTCAAGAATAGCAACAGCATATTCCTCCATCATAAGACTGGTCCCAGTTCCCACCAACCTACTCAGCCTTCTTTTCAAGTAACCCAGGCTTGAAACTGTTACCTGGCATGTTACTTGGGGCCAGATTGTTGACACAGGCTGTAAGTCACACCTGCATAAGCTAAGCGACACTCTCAGGATCTCACAGCAAGTTCCCAATGAGACACAAAGACCAGAAAAATAATGGTAATATTTATCCCAAAAGGGCAAAGGGTCCCTGGGATTTATTTGGTAGCACAATATAAAGGAAAGAGTTTGTACTGGAGTTACAATAACTTAGATTTGAATTCTTAACAGCTGTGTGGCATTAAATAAACATTTAAACCTTTCTGGGCCTCAATATCTTCATCTGCATAATGGTGCTGTAGTAAATAAATAACTTTTTCCTGGAGTTTGAATATTTACAGATAAAATACATGTAAAGTATCTAGCAGTGTTCTTAGCACAATGTGTGCACACAAAATGTTAGATGAATCTAAATTTAAACCTTGGCCAGTGATGTCGAAAAGTAGATCAAGGTGAACATGAACAAATATATCTACGTTACAACAGTAGTAAGCTTCTCCATTTCTCTACCTCAGCTGAAAAATTGCAGATGTATGGAGTAGTCTTTGTTTTAGGTGGGACTCAGTAGATGCCTAGGGGAGCTGACACAAGGCATGTGAAAAACAATGTCAAGAAATTAACGGATGGCCGGGCACGGTGGCTCACGCCTGTAATCCCAGCACCCTGGGAGGCTGAGGCGGGAGGATCACGAGGTCAGGGGATCGAGACCATCCTGGCTAACACGGTGAAACCCCGTCTCTACTAAAATTACAAAACAAAATTAGCCGGGCGTGGTGGCGGGCACCTGTAGTCCCAGCAACTCGGGAGGCTGAGGCAGGAGAATGGCATGAACCCGGGAGATGGAGCTTGCAGTGAGCCAAGATCACGCCACTGCACTCCAGCCTGGGCAACAGAGCAAGACTCCATCTCAAAAAAAAAAAAAAAAAAAAAAAGAAATTAATGGATTCATTACTGATTTTGCAAGCTGTAGTTTGAGTAGAGTTGGAGGCTTCATTTTGGTAACCATTTAAAATTTAAAACACACAAGTTTTGCATTTGCACTGCTGGGATTTCATCCATAAAACATATTTATTGACCTATCATGAAGACTTATTCTTTCAATTAATTACTAACAATAGAAATTCAAAGCAATCAATTTTACAGGATAAAACTGAAAGCTAGGGGAGTTGAGGAATGTTGCAGGCATCTGTGGCCAT
The DNA here is from genome assembly GCF_000001405.40 of Homo sapiens. Lineage (NCBI taxonomy): Eukaryota > Metazoa > Chordata > Mammalia > Primates > Hominidae > Homo > Homo sapiens. Next base: position 167,726,840 of record NC_000005.10, on the reverse strand, counting down.
TAGCAAGCTCGTGGAATGAAAGCAACGGTTTGGGCATAGATTTCCAGAGTTTGGAATGCTCCTGCTAAGAATAAGAAAAGGGGGCCCAGCATAGTGGCTCATGTCTACAATCTCAGCATTTTGGGAGGCCAAAGCAAGAGGATCCTTTGAGGCCAGGAGTTCAATATCAGCCTGGTTAACATAATGAGACCCCATCACTACAAAAAATAAAAAAGTTAGCTAGGTGTGGTGGTGCATGCCTGTAGTCCCAGCTACTTGGCAGGCTGAGGCAGGAAGATCGCTTGAGATTGGGAGGCCAAGTCTACAGTGAGCAATGATCATGCCACTGCACTCTAGCCTGGCCACAGAGTAAGACCCTGTCTCTAAAAATAATAAATAAGTAAATAAATAAAAAGGAAGGTAAGGAAAGGGGTGAGAAGGGGCCTCGCCTATTCACATGCAAAAACTAAACTTTAGCTCCATGATAAACAATGTAATAATAATACTTCTTTCTATTATAGAAATCAGTGAAATTAGAGAGTTAAGGGCTTGAGTTAAGGGCAGTCAATATGCTTCCACAGGTAGGACCAAACTGGATGTTTTTGACCATAGATCATGAAGCTAAACTTCAGGTAATGAGGAGCATTATCAACTCCCTTTTCAGAGGCATTTGATTTAAAGGCACCTTTTAAATTCAAGAAACATTTCTTGAGTACTTGCTCTATGCCGTGCAGCGTGCCCAGCACTGGGATTTAAGAGGAACCCCATAGTCATGATGCCTGCCCCTACCATCTGACAATCTAGTGGGATGGCTAGGCAGCCAGTCCTAACAATGGGGTGTGATAATTCTGATACCTCTAGAAGGTGTGTAAGCACAGCGAAGTGCTAATAACTAGACATGTGGGGGCGGGGTTTGTGGAGTGCAGCCCTTGGGAGAGGGCTGAAGCGGGCCTTAATGGATGAGTAGAGATTAGTCTGGTAATGGTGGAGGGGCTAAAGTAGAGTAGAGGAAGGGGATTTCAGGCAAAAGGGACAAGGCAAAGCGAGAGAGTAAGGCTTCTTTGAGGATGGGAGGAGCTTAAGCGTGACCCTGACCTGTAGGAAGTGGTAACAGATGCACTTAGAAAAGTAAATAAGGGATAAAAGCTAAGAACCCCTAAACCACTCAGGGCACTGGCGAGCCATACAAATATTTTAAAGTAAAGAACACAGGATCCAATTTGCATTTAAAAAGATCCAATTGGGAAGCTGTTGCAGAAACAGGGAGGGAGGGAGTGTGATGGACAGTGAGGATGAAAATAAGTAAATGCATTAGAGGTGTTTAGCCTGTACAGTCTACAGAATTTGGTGATGAATTAAGTAAGCATTTAGCATGAGAGGCAGCACGTGGTCAGCGGCATTCAGTAAGTCAGTGCTAGGAGAAAAATATGCCAGATTGATGAAAATAGATTTATTATGTAAACATCTCCAAAGAAAAAGTTCAGATTCCCTTGGTATTCACATAGGCTTTCAAAGATATGCATCTATACATACATATGTTTAGGATCTTTCTCACAACAGATTTTTCTTGAAGATACTCAAACAAAAGCATCTTTAAAAAAAAAGTGTGATTCATTTTACACCATATCATAGGAGTTATGCTTACATAAATCCAGGGGAAAACACTTGACCACATTTGGGGTAAAAAAAAAATTTATTGAATTTTAATAAGAATCCATTTCCCATGTATTTAATTAAAATCATGATTGGTGACAAATGTAAATTAGCACAAGCATACCAAACTATTTGAACATAACTTTGCTCATACCCTTTATTTTAATGGAGAATAAATATAATCCTTCTTCTAATTAGAAAATTGAAATTTGGAAAAGAAAGGACATTTAAATTTATTAGATAATTATGAGGTGCCAGGAAGAGTGGTAAGATGATTTCTGCCAGAAACTTTTTGCAGAGCTTACCTGCCGTAATCCAGCCTGTGCTTATGTCTCTGAGCTCCCTTAATACCACTCTCACTACGACTGCGGGCTCGACAGTCTTCCTTCTGTTCCCCAAACCATCAAGCTACTGTCCGTCTCAGGGTCTTTGAACTTTACTTTTACCCTTGCCTGGAACATTATACCCTAGGATCTTTGTGTGTTTGGTTTCTTCTCAGCATTTAGATCTCAGCCACAAAGAAATGAAGTCTTCTCTGATAACTCAACCTGAAGTGGTGTTCCTATCTCTTCCCTTTCTATTTCATTTCCCTGGGCCTATTTCTTTGATAACACTCATCACTCATGAAAAATACCTTACTGAATTCGTCATCTCCTTCCTACTCTACTGTCTTCCCTCCTTCCCTCCACCCAATAGAATGAAAGTTGGGCATCTTATTTGTCCTGTACATCCCTCTTTCCCTAGCACCTAAATAATGCCTCAACCATAGTAAGTGCTCAATGAAATATTTATTAAATGAATACATGAGGACTTCATGAAGTAGAATTTTTTAAAACCCTGTTTTATACATGAAGAGATTCAGAGACATTAAGAAACTTGCCCAAAGTCACACAGTAAGTACATGGGAAAAAAAAAAAAAACTAGTAATTTATCCACAGATTGTCTTTTCCAAAACCATTTACAAGGCTGCTGTTGGAGAGGAAGGCAAGTCACACTGAGGCCTAACGGGTGTACTACATAGAAAGTTTGCTATTTGTGCTAGTATTTACCAATATTGTACTGATATAAGATGCAATGAGATATATAAGACAAGAATGGGCAAAAGCAAAAGAAACAATCTCTGGTCTCACTGCAACAATTGTCCTGGTTAAATTACAGAGTACCCAGGAAACTTAATTCTCATCAAACAGGTACTGTCAGCTGCACAGAAAGTCAGAAGGGCTGTGGAACTCATATATTTATACCTCAGTGTGTCTGAACACTAAAGTTCACAGCCTTCTGGGACACCATCTTTTACATTAGATTCACGTTCCTTAGCAGAGTGCAAATCCCATTTTGCTAAATAAAGGGTTGTCAGAAAGGGCTCCATGAACAGTAATGCCTGCTTTCGTTCATTCATTCAATAGATATTTACTTGAGCACCTACTACATGCTTGGTCTAGAACCTGAAACTGCAGTAGGATGCAGGAAGAGAGGGAGGGAGCCTTGTGTACACTAAGAGGAAGACTATTAGGACAGGGAACAGCAGCAGCAGAGGTCTTGAGGTGGGAGCATATCCAGCATATTTGAGGCACACAGCGAAGTCCAGGGGTGCAACCAAAAGAAAGTAGGCAGAAGAGGAGGTCAGAGAAGAAACTGAGTTCAAATGGTGGACAGCCTTCCTGCTAGATATAAGAGCCTTGGCTTGTATCTCGAGTGAAATGGGAGGCCATTGAAGACAGATCAGAGCTCACGTGTCAGGCGCCCTCTGGCGGTTTTGCTGAGAATGCACTTATGAATGAAGGAGGAGCCGGGAAAAGACCTAGCCTCAAGTGCAAGGGTGGGGAGACTGGAGAATTCGGTACATTCCAGAAACAGAAAAAGCCCAACATGACTGCACAAGAGTGAGCAAGGGAGAGAGTGGCACTAGATGAGGACTCAGGGGCCAAATCAGGCTGGGCGTCTGGAATGAACTTTGAATATAAGGAAAGTCACCATGCAAGGATGTTTTAATAAAATAAGCCCAGCACCTTGGGCAAAGAATGAACTCCTAACTCTTTCCTTAGCCAACAGTGGGACCTAAAAATGTGGTTTTCAGGCACAGACTAAAAAATAGCCTTAATTTTTTTAAAAGCATGCCAATAGGGTTATAATCACTGAATACACAACCTCAGGTGTATTTAATGACAGACATAGTGGTTATAATGTTAAAGTCCTTGAGGGATATAGAAATCTAACACTATCATTCTAGCTCCAAAGAGGGTTTTTGTAGTTGGTTGCCTCATCACACTCTCACTACCAATAAACTGCCTCATTTCTCCGTGACTACTCATATTGGACAAAGACATTTTCTGATATTTAGGAGAAAGAGACCTAAAATTGAAGTAGAAACATATTTGAGAACTTAGCTCAAAAGTTGTTTTTTTTTGTTTGTTTTGTTTTGTTTTGTTTTTTGAGACAGAGTCTCACTCTATGGCCAGGCTGGAGTGCAGTGGCGCAATCTCGGCTCACTGCAGTCTCCTTGTCCCGGGTTCAAGCAATTATCCTGCCTCAGCTGCCTGCCTAGTAGCTGGGACTACAGGCGTGCACCTCCACGCCCAGCTAATTTTTGTATTTTTAGTAGAGATGGGGTTTCACCATGTTGGCCAGGATGGTCTCGATCTCCTGACGTCATGATCTGTATCCCTTTTTCTTTTTCACCCTCAACAAGAATCCGTGAATTCTAAAAACTAGTCTATTAAAAAATCTCTATTTCTATATATCTATATCTGTATCTGTATCTAAATCTATAGCTGTATCTCTACCTATATCTATGTATCCATCTATCTATTTATCTATCTATCAATCTATCTACCTACTTATCTCTTGGAAAATGAGCAACTCTTTATTCTGACCATAGCATCCTTTGCATTAGATTGCCTGGTTTGATATGCTGCAAGAACAGCTTATCTCTGATGGAGTTCAAAACCAAATATTAACGGCTAATCATGCAGCGAGCCACAGGCACATGCTTGCTGACACCAGTAATTGTCTGCTTGTAGGAGTCAGTGCCTGAGGGGAGGCAGAAGTCACTCAGTTGAGCTTCTCTAAGTGAGCCATGCAGGCTTTGGGTGACACATGGGGATTTATAGCTGGAAGTGGAGAGGGGAGATGTCCCACCAACCTCCACCAGCCATCATTGGCCCTGGGACAGAGCCTACTCAGCATCTTTGGGAGGTTTATTTCTACAGCATGAGTGGGAAGGAAACAGAGCTGAGGATTTCACGTCTGGGTTAATTTCACTTCAAAGCTAAAGAAGTAACAGCTAATGTGTTATAAAACACTTTGAAATAGGTTTTTCTGATTTTGGGGGGAATCATTTGGAATTTCTGTCAAATCGCATTGGAAATGGAAGGAAATAAAGCACGGTGGGCAGAATCATGAATTCCCAACAATGTCTATGTCCTAATGCCTAGGACTTGGGAATATGTTACTTTACATAGCAAAAGGGACTTTCCAGATGTGATTAAGGTTAAGAGCCCTGAGGTGGGGAGAATATTTTGGATTATCCAAGTGAGTTTGAACTCATCCACATGTCCTTCTAAGTGGGGAAATTTTCCTGGCTGTGGTCAGAGGGAAATGTGACAACTAAAGCAGGCTCAAAGAGAGGCTACACTTCTGGCTTTGAAGATGAAGGAAGGGGCCATGAACCAAGGAATGGAAACAGCCTCTTGAAGCAGGAATCCAAGCGAAGAAAGAATCTTTGCTATGTGCTCCAGAAAGAGACGAAACCCAACTAACACCTTGATTTTAGCCCAGTGGAAATCCAGTCGGATCTTTTACCTATAGAACCGTAGGATAATCAATGTGTGTTCGCTTAAGCGTCTGTTGGTGGTAATCTGTTATGACAGCAATAGAAAAAAAGAATATGTAAGGTTTTTAGTTGCATTAGATACAAAATTAAACCACTCCAAAAAATCCTCATCATTTTTTTTTTCAAGTGATGTGGTACGTTTTTTAAAACCTGTTTAATAATGGTAGCTGATTCTATTCACTGACTTCTCTGCAAATGGAAATGGGGATTAGGTATAACATCAAACTAATGAATGATTGAAGGACAAAAGGTCTTAAGGCTGTTAAATCCCTTAATATTGTAGTAAGTAGGATCAAAAGAGAGATAGGATATAAGTTTTCTTTTAGAAAATTAAGTGATTGGGCAATGAGAATGCAGGACTTTATTATGCTAAATACACATGCCTATTTCCCAGTACACTGGCATCTGCAAAGACGACTGCAGCTTTCATTCCAGCACAACACCCACCCAACTTCGTCTTCTGCATAGAGTTCATTCCAGATCCTCTTCTGAGTAATACATTTTACATTCAAGTAGTAACTAAGGGAATCTAAAGCTGCAGTGTAATATGTAAACAATAATAAATTGTCCCCTTCCTTCCTCTGGGCTTCCACTTTCACTCAAATCTCTGATGTCAGTCCAATACCTCTATTTAAATTATGGTCTCGCATTCAACCACGAGTATATATTATTCTTGCTCCCTATTGAATACATCTTCTAAGAAGATGCACTGAAATAAATAAATGCAATATTTCAGAGAAAAACATGCAAATGAATAGAATCCTTTTACAAACACAGCAATCTGATGTGAGCATCTGCTATAACTACTCACTTACAAACAGGGGTGGGGAGAATCACTTAAGTATCTACAATAAATTCAAATATAGAGTGCCTACTAAGGAAAAGGTTGTATTAGCATCCCGGCATATTGATGAGACATCAGACTCTTGTCATTCTTAGTGCTACAGATGGTAGAAGGGAAGTATGTACTGGAACATCCGTTGGTTTCATCACTGCCTGGACTATCCGGATGATGCATTCTCTGTCAGTATGCAATCTTTGTGTGCTTTCATATTTTTTTCATATGCATGGCTAGGTTTTATGTTTAACTGTTTGTTTATTTTTAACAATTTAATGTCAAATATGTCTACTCTTTTTCAAGTAGGTAATTAGTAATATTCTATCAAAAACTAATTAATATGAAATACTAGATCAGTGTTTCCTGTCCCGTGTTTTGTGGAACACTTGTAACTTCAAAGTTATTTCTTAGAAAATTGTTTTTGGAAATGCTTTTTGTTTTTAAGTACTCAGAATCATTCTATAATAAAGAAATCTGTTTATTAGACACAGAGCTTCCTCAGTTTATTGGATCTTAGAACCTCCCTTCCCCAAGCCCCCCCCTCTTTTTAACCCACAGAAAATGTGTTATTATCCTTTGCATGCAGTGGAGTGCAGTTTGGAATATGCCATTCTACAGCAAGGGTTCTCAACCTGTGTGCTTTTGACACCTGGGCCAGGTAATTATTTGTTGGGGGTGGTGGGAGGGTGTTGACTTGTACATTTCAGGATGTTCAGCAGCATCCCTGGATTCTATCCACTAGATGCTAGTAGCACTCACCCACGTGTACAAAACAAAAACATCACCAGACAGGGCAACATTCCTTGAGGTGGCAAAATCGCCACTGGTTGAGAACCACTGTTCTGGAGGATCTGCTCAGTTCTGCAGAAGACTCTCTCGCATGTACTTTATTGCCAATATTCTGGTTATTTAGATTTTACTTTCTTCTGTCCATTAGTCCTAACTCGAACTTCTTCCACAGCTTAGGCTATTAATTGCCTGTCATTCTGCACTCATTCTCAGTTCATCAAACATGCACTTCACCTTTTACCTCCTTAGAAACACATCTTTTCCTGTGGAAACCCCACTCCAGCTGTTCGAAGCTTCCTTCTGGTCTCCAGGATCTCTGAACTCAAACCCTTAGGAATTTTTCTCACATCCTAGTGTTGTCCTAAAATCTCAATTCTTGTCACCAAAGAACTGCCTTCTCTCTCTAGTCCTCTGTGCTATGTTATTGAAACCATGGGTATTGACAGAAGAACAGGACTTGGTCCCGCGGAGTCTTCACAAGTATGTAGGCCAATCCATTTCAAAAAGTGTTTCCATCCTGAAATTTAGCTCGTAAGTTATGCGTGTTTTTAATAGGAATGGAATCTTCAATTTGACAAAGAATTTCCTTCTTCTCATCTACTTTAACTACATTCCCAACCTGTCTTTGCTTTTATGGGTAGACATCTTTTTGTCTTTATTTGCATATAAATGCAGAATAATGCTTCATACCTAAAAAAAGCATTATTAACATATGGATTGAGTTCAACATCAGGTTTAGTTGTATACCTGAAAAACATAAAAACTAGAAACAATAATAAATATGTCTTTTGGGCATGTGTGTCTTCAGGACTATGCTCAGTGCTTTATATATTTTCTCTCTAATTCACACATAAGAAGCTGAAAAATGGGCAGTAGTATCATCATTGTGCTGATAAGGAAACTGAGGCTCAGAGAGGTTAAATGATATGTCAGAGATCACCGAACCGGTAAATTCTTAAGAAAAGAAAAAAAAAAATCCAACCCAAACTATTGACTCAAACTGGACTTTCTTAACTGAAGCCTGCTTTGTTGTGCTTAGAAATTGGCTTATTTTTAATTTGTATGAATCCCGATCTATAATATGACCTCAAAACCCATATTCTTTCCACTATACAATGGATAAAATAATTCAGATATCAAGACTCACTTAACCTGTTTTGAACTATGTATTTGACTTTGGCCCCCTTTAGTCCCAGAGGGTTCTGTAGGATCTGTGCTTTTCAATACTACCAATGGCTCATCCTGAACTTGTTCATCCCAGGAGATTTTTCACACTGCTTTCACGTACATTGTCTCCAGGGAGGCAGAGAGGACAGTGGTGATTACCCTGTTTTAGAGATGCAGACACTGAGCTACAGGGAAGTTGTAACTTGCCCTGGTCACCAGCTCTTCTGTGAGTGGCCCCAAAACAGGACCCAATTTGTCAGACAATAAGCCCAGCACATCCTTTCTACACCACACAGCTTCAGGTGAGGTCCTCGGAGCAGGGCCAGTTCCACAGCAACAGGATGGGGAGTGGAGTCAATTAGGAAGACATGGAAAAACATTTATACAAAAATAAATTGGGTGATAGATCCCCCGAGCTTGACTTTGCAAAAGGAGTTGGAGTTCCCCAAGTCATGTTGCAGGAAGCCAGTAAGTCCCTTTGATTCCGGAAATAACAATGACAGTACAGCTAAAATCCAATTCATATATGCATGCTAGATATTCAGACTTTCAGAACAGCAGAGACCTTCAAAGATCACCTATTTAAAATAAATCTCCTTTGGGAATTAGCAGTGTGAAAATCTCAAAAGAGAAGTCAGGGTATTTGACAAAGGTAGAACTACCAACTTCGAATTCCAACAGGAAGTACACTGTGGTATTTTAGACAAAGTTCTGCTTGCCCAAGCATTTCCTCTGGAATAACACCTGTGAGCAAACAGATACAGTTTCTACCCCACAGAGGTTACAGTCTGTATTTATTTTAATCAATCCCGCTTTGCAGATTCAAAAACAGAGGCTCAGAAAGGTAAACCAAGGGCACACAGCCTCTCGATGCAGCTTTGATTGTATTGAAGAGCTGATTCCAAAGGTCATGCTCAATTCCTTTGCTATAAGTCCTTCAACCAGAAAGGGAAAACACTTACTCAAGAAGCCAAAAAAAATTAATTAATTTTTTTATTCTGAAATTAATAAAATTTCAGAAGAGATGGATGGTATAAAAAGTATAGCATCCTAGCAAAAGTTAATAAGCATTCAAGGAGGCAAAGTGTTCAGAGTATGAGGTGCCTATGTCCATCGAATCTTTCACATACAACCCAGGTTATTTTAGGATACTTGAGAACATGTCCAACCTACTTCTAAGTCATCTCATTTTGAGAACTTAAAGTGAGGCGGGTAGCGGGAGGGTCAGTTCATAGTTGAGGATGAAGCATTCAAAATACTTAATTGAATGCCAAGGTCAGGAAAGCAGGATAGAGTGGTCTTGGTAGTGCTAGAAAGGACCAAAGTTGGCCGGGCATGGTAGCTGACATCTGTAATCCTAGCACTTTGGGAGGCTGAGGTGGGCAGATCACTTGAGGCCAGGAGTTCGAGGCCAGCCTGGCCAACATGGTGAAACCCCATTTCTACTAAACATACAAAAAATTAGCCAGGTGTGGTAGTGTGTGCCTGTAGTCCCAGCTACCAGGGAGGCTGAGCACTTGGATACAGGAGGTGAAGGTTGCAGTGAGCTGAGATTGCACCACTGCACTCCACTCCAGCAGTCTAGGCAACAGAGCAAGACTGTCTCAAAAATAAAATAAAATAAAATAGAATAGAATAGAATAAAATAAAATAAAATAAAATAAAATAAAATAAAATAAAATAAAATAAAATAAAATATAAAAAAAGACCCAAAGTTGAGTAAAGATGGCTTTATGTAAATTTTAGTCACTTGAAAATAAAGTTATAAAAAAGACTTGAAACTGATTTTTTTTCCCTTCGGATTTCTGTATTATAGGCATAGTAATGCTTGTGTCAGAAAGTTTTTACCCAGCTCCCAAATACCACTGCTTAGTATTCATTTGGATTCCTAAGACTTGCATAAAACAGTCTTCTATTTTATTTTTGGCTATTTTACTGGAAGCTGTAAAGCTCATTTTATTTATTAAAAACAAATAAAATGCAACTTTTTTTTCAAGGAAAGGAGCAAAGCTCTGTGCTTCTTGACTTTGGCTCATTTTGCATTCCATTGGCCTCCCTACCCAAAAGCCACAATCTGGAAGGTATGTAAATATTAACAATAAAAGCCAATGAGTGAAACTGCCATTAATTCTAACTGACATGAACCCACTGCCGATGAAAACTTGAATCTTGGTATAAACTCTCAGATGAAAGGCAGGGGAATGATGCACATTTCACAGATACGATGCAACAGCGAGAACTGGGTGGTATTCCAGGAGATGAAAGCTGAAGTCGGCAGACTAGCAGATTGTGGGAGAAGGCATGAATGTTAAAGAGATACCTTGGGATCCTTCAAAATACAGTTTTCCAGTCATCATCAACACCCAAGTGACTTGTTTTCAAGCCTTCGTGACAGGAGTTACTGTTTCCACTACAAAGGACCTCGTCACTTTTCTGCACTCCAGAGTTAATGTGGGCTGAATGGGGGGCCATGCTCCTCCATGGCCTTGAAGAGCCTCGGGCTCCTGGCACACACTGGCAGACGCCTGTGGGTCTGTGCAATGGCTGCAAGGATTATACCTTCACTCCAAACTCCACCACTTTCAGAGCGATGGCAGCAAATAAAGTGTGCCTAATTGCTGGACTTCTACTTTTCCTCTTCATAAAAATCCTATTTAAAACATGTTCAGTCGCTTAAAAAAATATAATTTGTTTAATCCCTAATAACGGAAACTTCTAAAATAGCTGAATCCTCAAACTGAAAAATAGTAGAATGCAGTGGGAATATATTTCGTATTCAGAAGCTTGCATGTTCTATATAAAATGAGAATCCAAAGAGGCAAGTTTTGAACCCACCACTCTGCTACGTGAACTTTTTCATCTGTCATTTTGACTCTAAAGAAAATGTGACCTTATCATTTACTCTGCATAAATGACACTATATGGAAAGGTATATGAAACCGATTGAGCAATTAAATTGGCTTAGTCTTATTGTCCCTAGGAAATCCTGTCTCAATAATAATTTATCAACCTTGGTAGAATTCTGTTGAACATATCTTTGTTCATAACCATAAAATCAAAACATCCCAGGGGTTAAAACAATTGAAAATGATATTTTAATTCCAGTGCTTTAAACCCTTCAATGGCTCATTTTGGATTAACGGGTTGTCATGGCCTCTATAGCCCCTTCATCTGGGCCTCTACCGTAGCCCATGCCACCTGCCTCCAGCTGAAGACTTCTTAAGAAATCCTCAAAGAAACCAGGTGTTCACTATTTTTTTGTAGATATTTTCTCCCCTGCTTGAATTTTAGATTATTGTAACTAACTGTACTCTTTCTCCTAACACATAATTTAAAATCTATCTCCTCTGGCCTATCATGTCAACACAGCTTCCCTCTTGGGATCTTTGCTTGAGCCTTCCCAATCATTGTCCATTGATTATGTACTCCAGATAAGCCATAATACTAATTTATCTGCCTCTTCCTTCCAAGACCAAGAGATTTTTGAGGTCAGAAGCTATGTCCTGTGTTTCTTGGCATCCTTTGAGCCTCACACTAAAATCAGTATAAAGTAGATACTCTTAAGTTCTATCAACAAGAAAGAGAGAGTATTCCATTTAAAGAACCTAAAAAGAAAAAAAGAAATGGGTAGAAGGTTTTCAATTAATTATCTACATCAGTAGTTCAGCCCTTCTAAGCTAACATTTGGAAGCCATTTCCTCACCTATGATGCGTTTCCAGGCCCCACCAATCCTGGGGAGAAATGCTACAGTGTGGGGCTGTCGAGATAGCCCCAGTGGTAATGAGTTTTGGCACAGGGTCTGGGTTGGAGTGATAAGCAAAAGACAGGGAAAATATCCTAAGAACCTCATAGGATTGGTGCTGGTCGACATTTCTTAAGTCTGGCTAATAAATCCTTTCAGTAAATTTGTTTCTTTTATTTGTCTGATTTTCTTAGAAAAGCCAATTCCTATTATTTGTTTATTGTTCAAGGGCTTCCATGCCATTGGTTTGTTGGGCCATACGCTAGCAGGTTGGAAAATCCTGAGCTCAGAGGCTTGGGAAGCCCAGGTGCATGCAAAACAAGAAGGCAGGATTCAATGGACTTGGGTAATTCAGCTAAGAGATGCCACCTTCCCCTTGCTCTTGTTTCCAGTATTTTCTAGAGACTTAGCAGACATCAGACCCAACAATGCCATTCTCAATGCACGAAACAACAGAAGAAAGAGCAGAGATAAGATCTATAGGGAAGGGTAAACCCACTCCCCAATCCATGCGACTTCTTGCCCTTGCAGAAGAAGCAACTTAAAACTCTCTTTCTTCAGTCTAGTGCAAAGAAAACCGCACCATGGGGGAAGTGCTAGAACATGAAAATCAAGATCCCTTCACAACAAAGTAAGAGGGAAATGTGTCAGGAAATACATGGAAATCCCTACTTGTGATCACACTCCTGGCTATAAAGAAGGCTTTGTGAAGTGCTCAATTCCATGTCCCTCACTTATTACAACATGAACAGCCTGAGTCAGAAGGCAAGGCTGAGGTGACCCTCACTTCTTTAGGGTTAAGCTTCAGTGATTTGATGTTTCTTCTATTCAGGCAGGTTATGAAAACTTCCATAGCTGGCACACAGGACTGTTCAATGGTCTTGTGGAAAGATAAATCCAGACCTTGTGAGTAGAGATAGCATATTCTGAACAATGATGAACTATATAATAACCTCAAGCATGTCAATATTGGGAATGCTGAAGGGGAAAAGGGAAATGAGAAAATGGGAGCAGAGGAAAAATTTTAGGTGCTAAAGAGAAAAAGGGCATCAGGTCTACGTGTGTATGTGTGTGCACGTACGCACGAGTATAAGTGTGTGTTGTACATGAATATGCATATGCATGTACGTGCATGTGTGCTCACCAAATTGTGTGCATATGTGTATAAACACATGTATGCATGTATGCCTGTGCTTGCATGTGCGCATGTATGTGAGCATGGAGGTGCACATGTATGTGCATGTCTGCATATGCACATGAATGTGGTGGTGGGGGTGTGCGCATGCCTGATGCTTGCATATGCAAGTGCATGTGGTCAGCATTCATGGAGGTGTTCCTGAGTTTGTGTGTGTGCATTGTATGTATGTACTTGTGTGTTTGATGTATGAGATCAGTACCCATGCCCAAATTCGTGAAATGATTCACCAGGAAGATAGTACCAGCCAAGTTAAATAGGAAGCTGAAGTGAGAGCGCTCTCAGCCAGCTTTGGCACAGAAATCCAAGGGGAGTACTACAGGATGGGAATTAAAAAAGGAGCTTCCCGATTTCTGGGCTGTTGATTTGGCACTTCTCTCCAGTGTTATATTTTAGAAGAGGGGAAAACAGAATCTTCGTAGGGGGTAGGAAAAATGGCAGAGGCTCAAGGAATTTAGTTCATTCTAATAAACATAGATTATGAACTGGCGCACTCACTGCAAAATACAAACACTATTGTATCCTTTCCAAAATGTCATTAAAAATATACATGTGTATACACACTATACACACGCACATATGTATACACATATATGAATGGATGTTCATACATACATAAAGCTGCACAAACTGTGAGCCCACCAGGCAGGAAAATACTTTTGTCTGGGCTCTGTCTTGGGCTTGATAGGTACAATCAGTTGCTTCTAGCAAGAAGATGCTAAAATCCAGACCTAGCATGATTTTTTCACCTAATAAGAAAAACATGCACACACTAACACATATGGGTGTTTGCCGAAAGAAATATACTGCATTTTAGAGCAAGTTAACTCTTTTCTTCTCTAAACTTCTACTGGGGTAGAACATGGAAAAATATGTTCCAATTTTCTAATGTCTAGATTCATGTTTTATTCCATATTCAAAAAAGCTCCCTCAGTTATAGGCTTTTCTTTCCTTTTGATATTTCAACCTTTACTGAAGCTATGCTTATATTTCTGAATAGGATTATTGAGTAATAGTACCACAAAACCAATTTCTAAACTAAGAAAGAAATGGTTACCAGGTGTCTCAGATAGTTCTTCCCTATAAAACAAAAAATGAAGCAAAACTTTTTAACAAAGGGGATTGTGGCATGAATAGGAATTTTGTAAAATGACCAAGTTAGACAGCTACATACTAGACAGACAGAAACATAATTCTAGGGGGAAAACTTGCTGTGTTGTCTTAATTATAAGATCCAGTTTGTTTTTCTCACATTTTCATATTCATATTTCTGAAATCTGGTTTAAATTGACATTTGTACTTTTAATTTTCCCCCAAATCCTCTTATTTAAAAAATATCTTACAATTGATGACATCTTAAAACTTGTTAATGGAATATACACTAAAATACCTCATTTGTAGAGATATTCATGACTTTTGCCTTTCTTTACTTATTAAACTTATTTTTTATCCAGTAATTCACTAACTAAGGCTTTAGAAATGGAAGTAAAGCATCATTTGGGGGCTAATTAAGATCGAGTTGATTGGAGCTTAACCTACTTCATCCTGTCCTGAGATAAAGATGAGGAAAGTCTAGCCCTTCTCATAGTTTATTTTAGGATGATGAATGCTCTGCTAACAAAGACAGTATTTTTCATAGATATGATAAGGATTAAAAATAAGTTTGAATTTGTACCATGAGTAAATTTTAAGCAATGTATTAAAAATAATTTGCACACAATTGATAGATCAAGGTTCAGTTGGTGGCAAGTTACTCTGAAATAAGTTACTCTGAAATAAGAGTGTTACTCTGAAAGAAGAGTGAAGAGAGAAAAATGGGTAAAGATAGAGAAACATGTAGAGAGACCTCAACTTGCATGACCTTGGTATTCAAAGGCACACTGCAAAGAACAGGTGGCTGGTTGGGTCTAAGGAGATGAGCGCAGTGCAAAACAGGAAGGGGGACTGATGGGAGAAGAAGGAAAAGAGATGATTGAGCAAAAGCACCAGTACCTGGCTGAATTTTACAGATATCACTGAATGGCTGCCCAGAAGCTGGCACAGATAAACAGTGGGTTTGATGTAAGGGATGTGATTGGCAAGGTGGGCATTGTGAAAGGCCAGGGGACAAAGAGACTGAAGTCACTGTAAAGCAGATTGCTGGAAATATTGGCCCAGGGGTCCAGGCCGAAAAGGATGGGAAGATTGACTAGCTGCAGAATGTGGAAGGGCCAGTGGGCTAGCGATGTTGCCAGATGACTGACTTTCCTGGTGGTGCAGTGAATTGGAATGAATGTCAAACATTTAAAACAGTTTTTCTGCACTTACTATCCCAGACACCCATACTCGATATATGAGAATTATCCTTGGTGCCTTCTTCTCCCATATTCCCGGAAGTTAGTCAATCACCTAGCCTGGCTAATTTCATCTATGTATTTTTAACCTGTATTCCTTCCTGCTTATAGCTATTATTATTGGATTGGTGGTTGATTACTAAAGTTTGTTGTCAGACTTGGATTTGAATACTGCCTTTGTTCCTTGTTAGTTTTGAACCTTTGGCCAGGTAATTCAGCCCTCTGAGCCCCATTTTTCTCACCAACAATTCCAGTACCTGGCTTCATAGGCCTCTGGGGATTCAGTAAGATGATTCATGTAAAATGCTTAGCACAGTGTAGGACACAGAAGACATGTTAATGACTACTTGTTGAATTCATGAATAATAGATAGCTGTATTGTTACTATTTCTGCTTTAGTTAGCTCTCCATCATCTTTGCCCTAGATTACCGCAGTAACTACTCAACTAGTCTCCCTGTCTCCCAGCTTGTCTTCATCTTAAACCCGTTTTGTGCATTTCTGTCATACCACAGTGATCTGTAGTAGATACAAGCTTGACTGTGTCATTCCTTTGCTTAAAACCTTTCAGTGGTTTCCCAATGCCCTCAGGTTAATGTCTGGATTTATTAACCTGCCCAAAAAGGCTCTTTGAAATCTGCCCTTTCATCTTTCCCTACTGCTTTCCTAGTTTTACTTCCTAATTTATGTCATGGCAAGTCTGGGCTGACCCTTTCCAGAAGACACCATACTATTTCTCATTGTCACACCTTCATTCACATTATCCCTTCTGTCTTGAATGTTCTGCTCTCTTGTCGTTCATCTGGCTCCTTCCTGTTCAGCCTTTCACAGTCAGCTCAGGCACTTGTTCCTCTGGGAAGACTTTCTGTCATTCTCCTTTCCTAGGTTACTTAAGTGCTCCCAGGGCTCCTCTGCCCAGCAGATATAAGAATGTGACTTCTCTGTTTGTGTGTTGTTGTTTTTTTCCCCCATGAAATCGAAAGTCACTTAAAAATAAGGGCTACTTTAGTACCTGGTGTAATTCATGTCAAATAGTATGTATTCACTGAATATGTGTGTGTGTATGCATGTGTATACCTGTATGTGTGTGTACATATGTATACACACACATACCACCACAGAGTCAAACAGAACCCAACAGAATATGTTAACAACATGCTTCTTCTCAAAGAGTGATTGTTACTGGTAAATTTTATGTTCAAAGGAAGTTAAATCATTACTTCTTTTTCTTCCTTTGTTTATCTACCTTTTAATTTCTCTACTACCATCACCAGTAGATCTTTTGGGGGTGGTGCCTGATTTATAATGATTCCCCTCAACTTATCCAGAAGTTCGAGATCCCAACAGCCTCATTTTTACTCCAAAACTCTGCTCTCTTTTCTAGAATTTTTTAGACCAAATGTAGATGGTTGATCAAGTTAAACCAAAAAGAGTCTTCCTCTCTCCCCCTCTCTCTCTTTCTCTCTCTCATTCTTGCCTTTCCTCCCACACTCTCTCACTCTCACTCTCGCTTTTGGTTTCTCTCTCATTTTTTGAACCACTCCTAAAAGAGCCATTTTCTTGAAGAGACAAGGTGTAAAACTTTGGGGTGTCAACAGCCATGTTCTTTCGTGTGGTCAAGGAATGTGGGTCTGAAGAGAGGGGAGATTGAGTACGATATACAGAGACAAAGCTGTCCTGAGAAAGAGACAGAGAACCTGTCCTAAATGTCAGTTCTCCATTCACTCCTGCTGCCCTGTTGCAAGAGCAAAGACCAGTTGGACTGGGCTTCTGGACCGCCACCATCTCTTCTTCTGACTTTCACTCTAGTTTTACTGTTATAAGTGTTGTGGACATTAGAGCTAAGTATATATTTGTACTCTACACTGAATACCCAGCTGTCAGGGAAGAGACAACACGTTTAGAATCCAAAATGGCCTGGATGCACTGGAGGGATTACATGAAATGAAATTCAAATAAGATAGATACAAAAAATTACATGTAGGGAAGGAGAAATAAATTCTATAAAAACTAAATAGAAAAGTGCTGGTGAGAAAATTAGAGTAAAAGATCAAATAACCCGGGGATAAGAGAAGACCACGCAGTGAACTCAGCTTGGAAAAGACAGGACTACAAAGCAGGAAACTGATGCAGTGGAGGATGCACGCAGCTGCAGATGGGGCGGTGGGGGAGAAGTGTCCCCTGTCTGCCCACCACTGAGACTTCCTCCAGAGCTCTGGCATAGTTTCTGTGACTATACTTGGATTTAGATGCTGACAGTCATTATGAGGTAGGACTGTATTGGATAGACAGTTTGAGGCATCTGTGTGATATATGCAGAGGGGAGGGAAGTGCTAGACTCGCCCATTTCATAAAAGGGAAAGAATGCTTTGGGGAGACTTCTTAGCACACATAACAATATAGGTTTGTATAGAAAGAGAAATGGTGTTTTTGCTACCTTATAATTACAATCTCTTATATACTCCCATTGTGCTTTATGTTTTTATAAAAAAAACTTTAACATATATAGTATTAGTCAGTTAGAGCAAACAACTCCAATTCTGTGGCACTGTACGGTAAAAGCATAGTTCTTTTTCACTGTATGACAATGCAGGTTGGCAGGCAGAGGGGGAGAGGCTGGCGGGGAGGCCTCAAATCCAAACAGTCATTCAGGGACTCAGGCTCCTCCTTGTGGCTGCCCTCTCCTCGGTCCTCTACCCAAGTCCTCTCCATCCCTTCTGCCAGTGAATGGAGAAATAGAACTGGGACTCACATGTGGAAAGATTTATTTTCCATGTCTGCAAGTGAGGAATGCCATTTCTACATATCTCATTGGCTAGAACTCAGGAATATGGCCCTGTCTAGCTTCAAGAGAGGATGAAATTGTAGTCCAGTTGCCTTGTTTGCCTGAGAAGAAAGGGAATAATTTGGTGGGCAAGTAGACAGTATCTGCCATCTATATGGTGCAGTTTCACCCTAACAGTGACACTCTCAATATTAAAAGTGCATATATGATTTTGATAATACAGTATATTTGTATCTAAAAGGTATGTATATATAATATAGCCTATCATCTAACTCTCTCTCTCTCTCTCTCTCTCCATCACTTTCTTCCCCGTAGCATACACTCTTCAGTTGTGATAACTCTTCTTTGTACTGAGTCCAGATGTCATGACATTATAATCTTCTTAACTCAACATCTTAGGCAGCTTCTACCAATCAATAGGAATCAGAATTTCAGATAAGATCGATTTGTCTATCCAACCCTGGACTGTCTCTCAATATCAATGAATTTAAACATAGCAAGGCAAGAGGTAAGCCCTGCTCTTATTCATTGACCCAACAAATGCTTGGACCAGAAAACTCCGAGCACCACACCGTTCCTTTTCACCTTGGTAAACCATACCTAATATTCTGACTTTGACATGCCTCTGGCCACCATTCTTCTAAGTGATGGAGAGTCTCTACTAAGTAGAGTTACTTAAAGACCTTTATTAAAGCTGAGGCAGCTTAGAATCCACTGAAGAGACAGTACAGATTTCAGATGTTCAGATGTTTCTATGTGTCTTCAGTCTGGTTCGGGATCTGAGACCACAGCCTAATGAAATACAGAAGGTAGACTTGCTAGGATTCTAGACGGCATTCAGGCAGTGGGTTCTAAGATTTCTAGAATTATACTATGTACAATTCATGCTGTTTTTGTTGGTGCATTTTCAAAACCACTTTATTGAGGTATAACTGACATCCAAAAAGCTGCACAACTTTAATATATACAACTTGGTGAGCTTGGAGATGAGTATACACCCATGAAACCATTACTATGATCCATGCCACAAACACATTGGAAATGGTTTCCATGTATATGACAATAAAGCACAGGCAACAGAAGCAAAAATAGATAAGTCAAATTATATCAGACTAAAAAGCTTCTGTGCAGCAAAGAAAACAAGAAAACAAGAAGGCTATCTTTGGAATGGAAGAAAATATTAGCAAACCATATATCTGATAAAGGGTTAATATCCAAAATACATAAGGAACTCCTATTACTCAACAGCAAAACAAGCAAAAACCATAACAACCTGATTTAAAAATGAACAAAGGAACTGAATAGATATTTCTCCAAAGAAGACATACAAATGGAAAACTGGTATATGACAAGGTGCCCAGCATCATTAATCATCATGGAAATACAAATCAAAACCACACTGAGATATCACCTACCATGTGTTAGGATGGCTACTATGAAGAAAACAGAAGAAAACAAGTTTTGAGGAGGATGTGGAGAAAGGGCAACCCTTTTTTTTTTTTTTTTTTTTTTTTTAGGCGGAGTCTCACTCTGTCGCCCAGGATGGAGTGCAGTGGCGCGATCTCGGCTCACTGCAAGCTCCGCCTCCCGGGTTCACGCCATTCTCCTGCCTCAGCCTCCCAAGTAGCTGGGACTACAGGCGCCTGCCACCATGCCCGGCCAATTTTTCGTATTTTTAGTAGAGACGGGGCTTTCACCATGTTAGCCAGGATGGTCTTGATCTCCTGACCTCGTGATCCACCCGCCTCGGCCTCCCAAAGTGCTGGGATTACAGGCGTGAGCCACCGCGCCCGGCCGGGCAACCCTTTAACACTATTGATGGGAATATAAATTGGTTCAGCCATTATGGAAAACAGTATAGATACTCCTCAAAAAATTAAAAACAGAATTACCATATGATTCAGCAATCCCACCTCTGGGTAAATATTCAAAGGAATTGAAAACCAGCTCTTAAAGAGATATTTGTGCTCCCATGTTCACTGCAGCATTATTTACAATAGTTTAAGACATGGAGGCAACTTAAATGTCCACGACAGATGAATGGATATATAGATATAGATATAGATATATCTACACACAGTATCACATTTTCTTATATATATGTACAGTGTCACATTTTCTTATATATATATATATAGTATCACATTTTCTTATATATACTGTATCACATTTTCTTATATATACTGTATCACATTTTCTAATATATATTTTCTTATATATACTGTGATACATATATAATATATACTTATCATAATATATATCACAGCATAAATAATATATAGTATACTATATAATAATATAATATATTTTTACATACTATATAATTATATAGTATATGATTATACTATGCATAATATATAGTATAACTATATATACACACCATCTATATACTGGTATATATACTGGTATAATTATACATATATACTGGTATAATTATATATATACACACACTGTATATCTATTGGCATAAATATATATTGTATAATATAAATATATATAATATATAATATAAATAAGTAAATAAATAAATAAATAAATATATATATATATATATATATATATAACCCAGCCTTGAAAAAGAAGGAACTCCTGCCATTTGCAACAGCATGGATAAACCTGGAGAATATCATGCTAACTGAAATAAGCCAGATATAAAGGACAACTGCTACATGATACCACCTATATGGTAAATCTAAAATAGTCAAACTCCTAGAAGCAGAGAGTAGGAATGGGAAACTGCAGGGGCTGGGGAGTAGGGGAAACAGGGAAGTATTTGTCAAAGGGTAGGAAGTGTCAATGATGAAACTTGATGTATTTTTAATAATGTCTCTTTGCTTTATAAGCCTAAATTATCACTAAGTTTGGAGCAGAGGGAGCACTTGGAGAACTGCCCTGAACAGGATGTAACTCTAATTGAGTGTTATGATAATCCTTATTTCCCCTCCCCACCACAGCCAATAAATAACAAAGCTTTACTGTACACCCTCTTTTACCTCTATATTCAGAAATAGATAGCAAAGGTAGACAATTGGTAAGGAGGAGTCCAATAATACAGCCACAGGTTAATCATAAAGAACGTCTTCTAAAGTTCCATCCAGATCAACCAAGCTGGGCAGGGTGTGTGGGTGGTGCAGGCACACTCAGGTTTCTATCAATTACTCTACCTTTCCAAGAATATAAGAAGTCAAGATCTTGATAATTATTTTGTTTCCTTAAATATTTGCTCATCCATTAGCTGGTTATATGTTGATAATAACTGATCACCTCGTTTGAGCTCAGCACAGTCCCAGTCATATGCAGCAGGAACATGACAACCATATTTGCTAAAAGGGTTACTATAGGGACAAAGTTTTCCCTTTAGATATTTACCATAAAAAGTTCCAGTCTTCTATCACTTTTCATAATCCAGTGCACAAAAAGCCCAGGGGTAGGCAGAGCACAGCAAGGGGTTTGTCTTTCTCTCCTCAGTTATTCCTGCAAACTCAAAGCAACACAGTTTCTTGATGGTGACTTTTACCAACTTCAAAGTATTCAATCTCCACTGTCAATAATGCATGCCAAGGACTGACAAGAAATAAAGAATCAATACACTCCAGCTCCATCTACCTCTATTACACACACTCCAGCAGACCTAACACATGCTCTTTTCCTATACCCAAGGTGCCACTCTTTGGCATCCTAGAGAAAAGCCTCGAAGACATCATATTTCTTTCAACATCAAGAACCATAGCCTAAAGATAATGCACAAAAATTTAAAGTACTCAAGTAAAAAGGGCTGATTCTTTCAACTCCATCAACACAGCCAAAAAACGCAAAACCAGTTAACCCACATAAGGTTACTGCAACTCAAAGTCACTCTGTGCAGTTCTTATTCAAAGCCTTCTTTTTCCTTGATTTTTTCTGGCCTGTACTGCCCTCTTCCTTCATTGCTATTTCTGTACTCAATCCCATGCCACCTAATATTGGTATTTAAGTCTTCTGTTTGAATACATTTTATCTTCTTAATTATGATGATGCAGGAGGGTGAAACATTATTTTATCAGAGGCATTTACTTTTCCTCACAAGGAATGACTTCACCTAACACACTGATTTTGGTCTTACGCGTTTGTATTAAATGAATGAGTAGGAATGGCTCCTGTTGGATAAGATGTGCCATGGTTGTAGCTCTCAGAAAAACAAAATTCTTAAAGTTGAAATTAAAGTATAGGCTAAGATTACACCCAGAGGAATTATCTGTATTGACAAATAAAAGTCCTCTGTTCAGACAGGGACCCAGAGTGTGAAAAGACTGATTGGGTGGCCTCATGAAGGTAAGTGGAGAAGATGCATCCTCCCTCCAGCTACCTCTCAATATCCCATACCAAGGTGGAACTCAAATGAGTGATTAAAAGCTTTAAGCAAGGTAATCCAACATAGGCTTGTACCACGGCCAATTTCCACCACACAGTTCTCTGAGGAAACCAAGTTCAGAACTACCTAGAAATAATTTTGCACCCTCAAAGAATTTCTTCTCTTATTAAGACAAAAGCTTGATTCCTTCCTTGTTCCTCTCTATTCCTTCCACCTCTTCTTCAGGTTAAGAAAGGGGGCTGGAAAGAGGGGTTAAATAACCACAAAAACCAAACACAAACTTTTGAAGCACAACAAAACACCTAAGCACAATAATTTGAGGAACAAATCCTTGCCTCTTTTTACTTTCTTCTATCAGCCTAGCAGAAAACTAATTGCTACATCACACGAAAAGACCTAAGTTGCTGACGTAGTTTTTCTGAAATCAGTACATCAATGAGACTATACATTTTTGAAGACTAGTACTAATTTAGTATACTACTTCTTGGGTTCTACCGTACATTTCCAGAAAAAAATAAAAACTGTCTTTTTCTAAATGATATAAAGTAATCCTACGGAGAGTCTTCTTTGTTTAACAAGTAAGACTCACACCCAATTCATTTGCTGCTTAAATCAGGAGTTAATGTAGCCTTTTTTTTTTTTTTTTTGAGATGGTTTCACTCTTGTCACCCAGGTTGGAGTACATTGGTGCGATCTTGGCTCACTGCAACCTCCGCCTCCTGGGTTCAAGCAGTTCTCCCACATCAGCCTTCCGAGTAGCTGGGATTACGGTGGTGTGCCACCATGCTCGGCTAATTTTTGTAGTTTTAGTAGAGACAGGGTTTCACCATGTTGGCCAGGCTGGTCTTGAACTCCTGACCTCAGGTGATCCACCCACCTCCACCTCCCAAAGTTCTCGGATTACAGGTGTGAGCCACTATGTCTGGCTTAATGTAGTCTTTTTAAGGCTGTATACCACTTACTATAGGTGTCATTTAGCATATATGGCTATGGATTGGAAATTTCTGGACTAGTTGTAGCCGAGGCAATTGTGGCATATGGAATAATACCATGAGAAGAAAGACTAAAAGGTCTATATGAATGTAGGTATGAGTGCCTCTGCCTGTGCATATGTGAAAGAGAGAAATCAAGAACAAGACAGAAATAGAGCAAGAGGGAGACAGAGGGAGAGAGGTTGTGTGTGTAAGCAAGGACTTTTGAAGAAAATAAAAAAGTGGCTGGGCGTGGTGGCTTACGCCTGTAATCCCAGCACTTTGGGAGGTTGAGGCGGGCGAATCATGGGGTCAGGAGTTTGAGACCAGCCTGGCCAACATGGTGAAACACCGTCTCTACTAAAAATACAAAAATTACCTGGGCATGGTGGCGCATGCCTGTAATCCCAGCTACTTGGGAGGCTGAGGCAGGAGAATCGCTTGAGCCCAGGAGGCGGAGGTTGCAGTGAGTCGAGATTGTACCATTGCACTCCAGCCTGAGAGTCTTGTAACAGAGGGAGGCTGCATCTCAAACAAAACAAACAATAAAAACAAACAAAACAAACAAAAAAACAAAAAAACACAGCAGTTCTTGGGAAAACTTTTACTATGTAAAGAAATATATATATATATGTATATATATATATATATATACACACACACACATACATACATACATATATAAATTAGCCCTTTCTTTATTAAAACAAAGTGAAATTCTATGAGTAATCTGGCCCCATAGAGACACACAAGACCCAAATCATAGCATCAGTGTATAAGCAAGTGTGTTGGCAAGACAGAGATGAATTCAGCTAATAAAGAGAGCACCTAGACACACGTGAAAGGCAGAACTTTCCCATGGAAAGACATGATAGTAAAACCCAAGCAGCTCTATCCTTCATTACCTTGTGTATGGGATTTGGTCACCCATGCATGGAAGTTCAGATGTTATTTCATTTGTGTAACTGAATGAATGGGTGGGCAGAGTTAATAGGATTTGCTCATTAAATGCTTAAATCAGCATGTCATCAGTTATTATATTTGATGTAAACCTTTCTTTGGCGTTTCAGAGTGTTTCCTCTTCTGTATAAAAAGATGTCAATAATCCTTTTCCAGATCTTTTCAAAGGCAGGGAACACATTTTATAGTTCTCAATAGCTTTTGCAATCTTCAAAATGGTTGAAAATTCCTTGAATTGAATAAGCCTGATGGGTTGATTAAAGCAGGATATACCTCTACTTGCCAAAACAAATATTCTCTAGAAGGAACTGATAGAAAATAACATTTAAAGAGACATATTTACTTTTAGTATAGTTCCAGTTTATCACAACATGAACATAAATATCAATAAGGAAAGGTCACCTGAAAAGTTAGAAACTATCATTAAAATAACAAAATACTTATACAGCAATGCAGGCAGATCCTTTCCCAATGCAGACCAGAGAATAATACAATACAGTAATAACAACTACAATTTAGAGTTCCACTAACTAGGAATCAGGCACTTTGCCAAACATTGTATGTATGTATCTATTTAATGAACCCTTAGAACAATCTATGAGGTGAGGGCTTATTATCCTTCCTATTTTTCAAGTAAGACACAGAACCAGAGCTTCAGTGACCTGCCCAAATTATCACATGCAGTTAGTGAGAAGCAAAGTCAATGGTCTCAAATATTACATGTCACGAACCTATGTTGTTTTCTTCTTCTCACTGGAACGTGAGAAGGTATACAGAGTAAGAATGAGTAATTGCTACTCTATGCTAATTTCATGCAAAGTAATTTTAAACTGATGTAAAAAAAAAAAACAAACACCCAAAACCCAACATGACGATAATGCCAACATCACATGGTTCTACCTTTCAAACCAGTTCATAGATTCATAACTTCATGTTCATACATATTTAGCCAAGTCCAAAAGGTGCCTCATTTAACTGTGAATTTGCAACTTATGCAAAAAACCCACATCCTGCAAGAGTTGGGGGAGATGTAATGACTGGGAAAAAATGTAATAGCTAGAATACAAAAATTACATTTTCCATAGACCTCACACATTTCTTGTGTACATTTTTCTAGCAGCTGTTTAGAAAGCACTAGTGGTCACACAGATGAAATGTGGCAGTTGTAGCATATTAACATAAATATTTTTACCTGAATAATTCCTGCTGTTCTTTTGAAACGAAAATTAATTCACATATTGTTTTCCCTGGAGTTCCCCAAAAACTTGCTAGCTTTTTTTTTTTTTTTTTTTTTTTTAAGAAATATAACAACTGTGTGTACTGGGGCTGAACTAAGTATTATTTCTGAACGCAATTTTATTTTTTCAGTGCACGTTATACTAAAAGGAAGGATAATGGTACTGAACATAGAATCGATACACATTTAAATGGAATCAGTTTATCAAAACATACCACTTCAAGATGGACCGAATTGTGATATCCACAATCAACTGATAATGGTACCAAATCATTAACTGCTGGCTTTGAGATTCTTACAGAGAATAATTTCATATAACCCAGAAAAGCATGGCCATGCTGATTAAATTAGCCTGATTCTCTACCCTGAGAGAGGATGTTTACAGGGGCATAGGTGTACCAAGAGCAGTGAGAAGCAAGGACTCTGTGAGTAAAGTGTTCTGGGTTCCAATCCCAGCTCAGTCCCTTCCTGGCTATGTGAAGTCTGAACTAACCATTAAACGTTTAACAATCTCATAGGTCAGGCCACTGCACCACCTAAAGCTACCATGCATGTTAGTCTAAATGAATGGTGCCCCTTGGAGTTCTGCAGTGTACAACCTGAACATGCAGGCCCCTGCCCAAGGGTTGTGGGGATTCGAGTGATAATGTTTGTAAAACACTTGGCCCAACCCCTAGTACTTAGCAGGTCCCCAGAGAATGCTAGCTCTTAATTACTTTCATCTTAATGTATATCATGTATGACCTCTATCTTCACATTTAAATTCTTAAAGGACTTTAAAGGAAGTACTTTATTTCATGTTCCATCTGATCTCTCTATCAAGGGAGCAGTGGGATTTTGTAAATTTTTTGAGTCAGGTACTCTTTAAGCCTGTTCTATCTTTTCAGAGACACTAAGTGTCTTTGCAAATTTTTTTCTGTTTCTATGATATGGCATGTCTGTGAAGAGGTCTGAAGAACTCAAGATGTCCTCAAAAGTGCTATGTAAAAATTTTCCCTGAACCCCAATATATTATTGCATTTACAGAAGTGAATTCAGAGCCAGACTGATTGGGTCAAAGTCCAGCTCTCTCCATTTCTAGCTATGTGATTTTTCCAAGTCAGTTCATCTTTAAAGCCTCAGGTTTCTCATTTGCATATTAGGGAAACTAATACTTTCTACTACATAGGATTGTTGGGGCTTGTGGGGAACCTACTGCATAGTAAACTGTTCAGCAAAAGCCTGGCTCATGGTTGATACTAAATATATCATTGCTGCATTGTTACTAAGTGCCAGTCTGTGTCTCTCAACCACTGGAGGAGGGATGTTCGATTCAGAAGCCACTTAAGCTGCAAGTCAGGCCATAGGAATGTTGCCCCATAAACTCAGCAGGGTTCAGAATTCTTACAAAGATAATCAGCAGGGCAGGGCATTGTTCTAGTTCTATCTGGCTACAGCAGAGACATGCTCAGCATACTTATTCTGAGAACCTTAGCTGCTTCAGCTGAAAGTAAGGTGATTCATCTGTAAAGTAAGACTTGGGGATGTGGAAAGAGGTCTTTTCAAGTACACAATTCTCTGACTTAAAAATAAGGTAAAATAAGCCGAGATTTCGTTTGGGTGTTCCTTTTACATCTTTACTTACCCCTTTAGTTTTAGACACTAAACCTCTGGCCTTCCCTGCTTGATATTCATAGCACACTTTGCTGATGGATCAAATTATTCATTTTATTGGGCTTGGATGAGACTTCACATACTACTTAACGCAGCATTCTAGTGTGTTGAGCCACTATTAATCCTTCCAAATTTTAATTTTAAGGACAGGACATACTCTTTATCTCTGTTTTGTGAAGCATCTTACACATTTAGGACTATCTTCTGTGACAGTCATATATATTTCTTTTTACTAATCAAAGCCAAAAGATATGGCTGTCTTATGTTCCATTTTCTCTAGACTTTTATAACTAGCTAACTGTAGAATTAATTCTCAGTTCTAAGGGGTTTACACTTTAAAAGGAACTTCATTATTTCTTTTAAAAGTACTTATGGGGCCGGGCAGGGTGGCTCACGCCTGTAATCCCAGCAATCAGGGAGGCCGAGGCAGGCAGATCACAAGGTCAGGAGATCAAGACCATCCTGGCTAACACGGTGAAATCCCGCCTCTACTAAAAATACAAAAATTAGCTGGGCGTGGTGGCGGGCACC
The DNA here is from genome assembly GCF_000001405.40 of Homo sapiens. Lineage (NCBI taxonomy): Eukaryota > Metazoa > Chordata > Mammalia > Primates > Hominidae > Homo > Homo sapiens. The sequence continues at coordinate 167,698,825 of NC_000005.10, read as the reverse complement.
TGTAGTCCCAGCTACTCAGGAGGCTGAGGCAGGAGAAAGGCGTGAATCCGGGAGGAGGAGCTGGCAGTGAGCAGAGATCGCACCACTGCACTCTAGCCGGGGCAAAAGAGCGAGATTATGTCTCAAAAAAAAAAAAAAAAAAAAAACAAAAAACAAAACAAAACACACACACACACAGAAAAACTATTTATGGAAGCCATTCTCTGTTCTTCCCACTATGCATTTTCAAGCAATGGAAGGGAAAACCAAATAAACAGGCAACTGCAGTACAGTATATCTGTGCAGTGGCCACCCAGGAGACCAGGACCTGGGTAGGTGGGTCGGGGAGACATCCAGTTAATCTTGGGGATTAAGGGGCTGTTTTTAGGAGACCATTATGGATGACAGTGTTCTAGCACAGGGAACAGTGTGGAGCCTGATGGAGAGACAGACAGCATGGTCTGGTCAGGGAATGTCAAGTCACTCAGAACAGTAAAACATGGTCTATGACAGGCTGGGCTTGTGTGGAGACACATTTGAAAATAAACGTGAGAAAAATGAGAAGGTGATCTGAAGCCATCATCTTACAGAAAGAGATGCAGTACTTTGACCGGAAAGGTAGTTACGAAGGTAAAAACAACCAGGGAGTTACTGGTAAAGGAGAAACTAAGGAAAAGAGCTCAAGTTACTGCACATAGAGGCTGCCTGTTAAGGGTAATCAGATCTGAACACAAGATCAGTGCATACAATGAGTAAAGGAAAAGATAAATTTCTCTCTGTGGCATTTGGAGATAGATTTATTTTCTTGGAAAATAAAGGCAAATACCGAGCACTTGTTTGAACCCTAATAAAACAGAAATTTAATCACTTAGAGGGATACCTTGTCAGGCGATTATATTTCAAGTTCCCGATGACTTATTTTTCTTTGTTAAATAACCTAAGCATAACAGCTAGGGATGGTGATAGAATAGTAGGTCCACAAGATTATGAAATATAAATTTGACTTAAAATTGATAACTCTTGGCTGGGTGCAGTGGCTCACACCTGTAATCCAAGCACTTTGGGAAGTTGAGGCGGGCAGATCACCTGAGGTCAGGAGTTCGAGACCAGCCTGCCCAACATGGTGAAACCCTGTCTCTACTAAAAATACAAAAATTAGCTGGACATGGTGGCGGGTGCCTGTAATCCCAGCTAGTAGGGAGGCTGAGGCAGGAGAATCGCTTGAACCTGGGGGCAGAGGTTGCAGTGAGCCGAGATGGTGCCACTGCACTCCAGGCAACAAGAGCTAAACTATATCTCAAAAAAAAATTGATAACTCTTTCATTCAAAATATATGGATTAATCCACTGCAATGTGCCAGGCACTGTGATAAATGCTGAAAATAAAGCAGTGAACAAATTAGCATGGCTTCAGGGAGCTTATAATCTAGTCAACAGATATTAAACTAATGAACACAGGATGCATACGTGATTACAATTCGAAATAAGTCCTTATAAGGAAAAGTGAAATATAGAATGAAAGGTTCAAATCGGAGGAACTATTTCTAAAAGTGGGAGCCAAGGAGGGCCTTCTATGGAAGGGAAGTGCCTGCTGAGCTTCAAACAAGGAGCGGGTGTCATGGGGGACAGTGTTCCAGATGGAGCAGCCTTTCTCAGGCAGACAGGGGTTTTACCCTTGAGAGGTCATTCAGCACCATCCAGAGGCATTTTTGGTTGTCACAACAGGGATGACTGTGGTGCTATTGGCATCTAAAGACAGGCAAGAACCAGGCAAGTGTGAGAAACTGGAGGAGGGTAAGGGCTGGAAGGAAGAGGAAGCATGCGCAGAGGCCATGGAATGGCAGGGCTAAACTGTGCAGGGCCTGGTTGACGGCCTCAGATAGAGAGTGTAGACGCTTGTTTTCCCAAGTTAGGTGATGAGCTTCTTGAGGTTTTTAAGCAAGACTGTTAACTGGTTGATTCACTTTTTAAGGTCTTACTGGCTGCTGGGTGAGAATGGAAGAGGAGGAGGTGGGAAGTAAGGAATGGTTCCAGGGAGGTGCAAGAGGAGCAGCTGGGAGATCCTCAGGAGGCTGTAGCACGAGTCTCTCCGACAAAGTGTGGTTTTGAGTGCAAGCAGGGCCTTCGCGCTAACGGAGACATTTGAGATCAAAGAGCAACTGGTCATTCCCGTGTAGAAAATACAGCACACTCTCTTTTCAAAGAATGCCTCATAATCCTTTCACCATCTGTTTTTCCTATTTCTGTTGATTTGTTTAAACATATATTGAGTATTTTCATACAAAGAAAAGGGAGGCTCACCATTTTAGAGAACGATAAATAAGTGAGCTCCTGATCCTTCAGTAAAAACATGTGAAGTGTTGAGATAAAAAGTGTGGCAGAGAACTACATGAAATCCACAGACTGTGAAGGGAGACAATGGAACTACTATTGTTCTATGCATTTCAGGACTCATCACAAGTTTTAACCTTACTTTACCTTGGTTTTTATACCTTGGCTGGCTTTGATGAAAGTATCAGAGGAAATGTGTATGTTTCATCAGGGGCTCTTTTTAAATTTTTATAATATCATAAGTTGTAGTGAAAAAATAATAAGCTACTTTTTTCAGAACTACAGATATTCCTCCCAAGGAAAAAACACTCACAGGTAATCAAACCTGGACAGCAGATTCCCAAATACCAACCCTTCAAATATCATAAATATCACCTCATGATTTTCATCATAGCCATGTATCACCTGGCCTCTTCTTTACTTAATATTTTTGTTTGTAAATCAATTGTTGTTGTTGTTTTTTTTTTGTTTTTTTGTTTTTTTTTGACGGAGTCTTGCTCTGTCGCCCAGGCTGGAGTGCAGTGGTGCAATCTCGGCTCACTGCAAGCTCCACCTCCCAGGTTCACATCATTCTCCTGCCTCAGCCTCCCCAGTAGCTGGGACTACAGGTGTCCGCCACAACACCTGGCTAATTTTTTGTATTTTTAGCAGAGACGGGGTTTCATCATGTTAGCCAGGATGGTCTCGATCTCCTGACCTCGTGATCCGCCCACCTCGGCCTCCCAAAGTGCTGGGATTACAGGCGTGAGCCACCGCACCCAGCCAATTCTGTTTTGTTTTTTTTTTTTTTAAATCACCATTCTAAGTAGAAATTCACTTAGTAGCCACAGATAGAGGGTAAAATAAAATGTTTAAAATAAAATGTAAAAAGTTCAACACAATATGCTTTATTTCCAGCTAACTATTTTTGTCTGATTCAGAGACAAACCTGAACCCTTTCCCTCTGTTAAAATGTAAAATTCATATGTTTTAGAGAGGCATTAAAGTCTAGCATCCCACTGAGACTCCTCCAATGGCAGGAGTCTGCAAACTGGCCCAAGGATTGTTTTTATACAAACTAGAGTTAAGAAGGAGTTTTATATTTTTTTAATGGCTAAAAATATCAAAAGAAGAATAACATTTCACATGTAAAATTATATGAAATTCCAATTTCAGTGTGCATAAAAGTTTTTTTGGTGCCACACCCATTCCTTACGTTTTACCTACAGCTGCTTTAGTGCTAAAATGGCTGAACTGAGTAGTAGCAACAGAGACCTCATGGCCTGCAAAGCCTAAGATACTTACTATCTGGTCCTTTACAGATAAAGTTTGCCTACCCCTCATTATGTGACCCAACTTATTTAATGCCACTGCAGGTGCTGTGCCTATGGTATGTGTAGCTCCCATACTCTGGAAAATTCTGCTCTGTGAATAAGCATGGCTAAAAACTGGGGATCCGATTCCCACAAAGGAGGAATAAAGCTTCAGAGACATATTTACCCCATTGGGAAATGACATCAGAAGCAAGAGTAGATGAATGTTGTCTGAGAATATACAGGATACATCCACATGTCTCTTATGTGCAGCTCAACTGGAATGTCAACAGAAGTAGTTTGGTGGCTGTTTGCTCCTGCTGTACCAACTCAAGTGTAAAATAATGGGCTATTTATCTACTTGTGATGACAATTTTTTTTTCTGCATGTAAACATTAAAATCCCTTCTGATGAACAATGTGATTACACGGTCCAGTTTCAGTGAGCTTCTATAGTTAGTTTCACTTAACGCACTTACCACAACTAATGAGAACTATTCATGCACACCAAGAGATTAAGAGCTGGGGCCCGATTCTCAAAAGGATGGGAAAGGAAAGAAATGATTAGCAGGCTCAGAATGCACCAACCAGACTTTTTCCACTAAGCTCATTTAAAAGACAACATACTAAGGAAGCAAAGAAATGACAGAGTGGATAGGCTCAGCATGAAGGAACCTCCCATGAAAACATGACTGTTTTAATTACTATGTAAAAGCAGGAATATAATTTGCAACTAATTCGTCAAACACAGGCACAGAAAATACAGCTGAGTCACCTCTAGTCCTGGGGAAAGGGATGCTCTGCTATTTTAAGGGATGCTCTGCTATTTTAAATATTGGTTCAGAACCTGGGCTGTGGATGAGAATCACCTGGGAAGCTCTTAACAGCCTGAGTTCCAGGCCACACCCTGACCAATTCAATCAGGATCCCAGTTTTGTAGAGATCCCCAGGTGCTTCCAACATAAGGCCATAATTGAGAACCAGCCCTCTCTTACTGTCTTACCTTGTAAGTTGATAGCCACAAGATGTTAAATGGGCTCACTTGGGATGAGAAATTGAGCTGGATAAGTGCAGAGGAGGTAGAGTGAATAGAGGAACTCAAGCAAGATGTCGATTTAGGAGGCTGATGATTTTTGTACATTTCTGATAATACTAAAATCTCAACTTGAGATTTCTGGTGCCTTTCTAAAAATCTTAGATAAGTGGAATTGTGAAAAGTGCATTCAATCAATTAGTCTGTTGTGCATCCAAAATATATTTTAAATAGTTAAAAGGAATGATTGTGCTGGGCTCTTGAGTTCCATCCTTAAGCTAAATCTTTGGGGAACACTTATACCCAGTAAGGAATATTCCAAGTAATTAGCCTTCATATACAGTGATGGTGGCACTACAACATCTTGAACATGCTAGGCAAGGCAGTGGACTCTGAACTGTAAGTGAAACACAGCATTAAGATCTATGTACATATTGGTTTTGCTTCTGGGTATGAAATTCCCTAAGCTATATTTTTTCCACTATCAACTCCAGGCCCTTCACTCTTGCCCATACTTAATAACCTCTGCCTTAATCAAGTGGTTTTTTTTTTTTTTTTTGCCTAGAAATTTCTTAAAATTTAGGTAACAGTGAGGGAGAGGAGCACCGATGTTTGGCATTATGACAGTTACCCAGTCTTCCAGTAACAACTCCTAAGTTTATCCAATGAGACTATTCCTCAGGAAATAAATTTTGAATAGCCCGAATCAAGCTAAAATTGAATCAAGTTCAACATTCTTCTGGAAACCCAATGCATCTTACAGGAAAATTATGTAACTCTATAAAAAGGTATTCATTAAATCCTAACTATTCATATAGCAAGTGTCAAATGAAATTTGGAGAAGGAATTTTTTTAACATATTAAAGTTCCATTATCCTCAATTTTCCATGACCAACCAAACACTTTTGCCTAGCCCCTCTATTGACCAATAGGGGCAGATTTCTTAGTCTTTGGAGATTTGGTACGGCAATTGCGGCAGTGGAATGGTATAAGTCAGTCTTCCCAGAGGTTATGATATTTGCATTTATTGAGCATCGTATATACAGAATGCCAGCCACACTCTACTAATAGCTCAGCACAAACCAATGAATTAGAGAACAGCATTCCTAATTACAGATGAAACATACGAGGCTCTCGCAAAGGCTATGTAAAATGCCCTTTAATCAGTGGCCATTCTGTGATTCAGACCCAGGGCTGTTTGTCTCTAAAGCTCGGGCTCTCAGTTGTTACTCCCTACTGCCAACTCAAGCCATCAAGCCGACCAGGCAGCCCTTTGAGGGACCAGTGGAGGAGCTCAAAATGGCCTCATTCCCAGCATGAGTGCATATGCAACACTATCGTCCATCTGCCACAATTCTACTGTGCATTGATGCCATTCTAGAAGAAAGCCCAAAGGCCATTTGGGCAACCTCTCAACAGTTCACCACTTAATTGTTAATCTAATCGATCTATCTTTTTCTTGGGAAGGAGGCACCTGCTTGAACAGCTGGGTCTCCCTACCTTATTGGATACAGGGTATGAATAAATACAATTGCTTCTGCCAGAAGCACATACACAAACTGGAAGTGGCTTGGAGGTATATATTTTTAAAGTCATGCATATATATTTAATTTATAGTCTGTAACATAAGAAATGTGGTTTAGGTGATGCTGATAATAAAGTTCTGTTTTCAGTAACATTTCCTGTGGGAGTAATTCCCACCTATCAGTCCAGGCACTGGCTGTGTCCAAAATGCCTGAGATGTTAATTAAAAATACAGATTCCTCAGGTTCACCCCAAACAAATGGAATCAGACTGTCCAGGGGTGATGATCTGGAAACTGTGTTTCCAATAAAGCCTCAGGTGACAGTAGTGCACAGCCAGAATTAGGAACTAATTTACTAAGTTAGAGTGAATGGGGGCAATTGCCTTCGGCCAATTCATTTGACCTTTTTAATAATTATTGACCTAATACTATTTGCCAGCACTGTTCTAGACCCTGAGAACAACTTGTGAACAGGGCAGATAAGGTCTGTCCTATGAACTTTACATTATAGTGAGGGGAGACCAGCACTAAGCAAGTAGACATAGGCAGAAATGAGATCATTTCAGGTAGTGGTATTCCGGGGTGGCAAAGAGGGCAGGAAGAAAGAGAAGGCTATCAAGCAATTATTCAGGAAGGCAGAGGGTTTGGTAGCAAGGCAGAGGGTCAAGAAGGAGGTACTCCTCTCCCGCAAATGGTGCTAAAAAATAGGTGAGACTTTAACCACACGGGCAACTTCAGATCTCAGGTCCAAACTACTTAAGATAGTTTTTTGTGTATCACTTACCCTCTGCAAAAGCCAACTGGTTTGGGACCAGGGCTATGCCCCCAACCTCTCTTCCTCTGACTTCTCTTTCCCCTGCCAGCGAGATCCCCCTTGTCCATCAATTTCCTGAAGACTCTCCTGGAGAACTCCCAGTTCTCCTAACCACCAGGAGCCACAGCGTCTCTTCCCTGAAGTCAGGGAGAGTTGGGATTTGAACCAAGTTCTGTTTGAGCGCAATGACCCTACTCTTTCTAAAATACCATCAAGGAATATGTAGTGAAGGACAATTTTCTGGTGGTGATTGCTGAGGGACAGAAGCGGGGAAGGCAGACTGGCACAATAAGATTGGAGAAATGGGATATAAGGGAAAACTCCATCTTCATTTGCACACTATTCAATTTAAACTGATCTTAACTGGGTAAACACCTGCTGGTGGAAGACACAGTGTGACTTGCCTCAGGCTTTACCCAGACTATCGAGCTCTGTCTACTTCCTTCCCTTGAAACTTCCCAGAAGAACAGGAAGAAATTGTTCTTATTTGTTCCAGGTCTTATTTTTTTCTACTCATGAGCCAAGATGCAGAGAGTATTTCTGCAGTCAGAGGAGAGATGGTCCTTACAAATTTTGCAATTGGAAGGATGAGGCAAAATGAGGCCAAAGGTAAATGAAGGTTGGGGTGGGGCAGGGAGGAAAATCACAAGTGTGTGAGACAGAATATATAAGTCATGTTTTTCCAGTGTCTGACACAGTATAAGACATTGGTTGCCCAGAAAATGATACTAAGTGTGACAAAGTGTCAAACAACTTTGGGTCTCCAGAACATTTTCATTAGAAATACTTTGTTTTCAATTTGTCTTCAAAGTTTCTGGTTATATTAAGGAGAAAGTCTCAGTTTGTTCCTAGCATTTCATTGCTTATATTCCTCTCTCTCTCTACACACACACACACACACACACACACACACACACACACACACACACATACTCGCATATACGGATATATATACAAATATATACATATATACGAATATATACGTACATACATATATACAAACATATATGTGTGTGTGATTGCGTGTGTGTAATTTTACTTGTTTATACTGGTATTTCCTTTTAAGCGGTGACAAAATGTTTTTATTTTAAAGACACTTAAGTTGCAAGGAGGAATTATTTTAAATAAAATATCAAGCAATATATTATAGGTGGCATTAAAGATGGGACAGAAATCAAGGTGATAGAAAATGGAAAATGGCTGAAGTTTGATAAATGTTATCTAACCCAATCTCCTTTCTTTACAGATGAAAAAACCAAGGCCTGGATAACTAATTCACAGCCACACAAGTATTTAGTCGCAAAAAATGGTAATAGCATGCAGCTCTCTCTGTTCAGTGCCCTTTTCAGGATGTGAAGAAAGATATCTGTATAAATATGAGAAGTCCTTCCCAAATAAGTAAAGTAACTGGCATAACTGAGGAGCTCTTTGGCAAATCTACTCTGTATACCAACTCAAGAAAAACAGGGAAAAAACCCCAATCTGTTCTTTCTCATTGTGTGCCAATAAAAAGTCACCAGATCTTTCTGAACCTCACTTTCCTCTTCTGTTAAACTTAAAAAAAAATACATAAAAGTAAATAAAAATATAACTTTACTTGTCTCAAAAGAGTTTAAGAATTAAGGATGATAACAATATAATGGCTTGACATGTAGGAAGTGATCATATACAGCATTAATTATTTTTCCTTCTGCCCCTCAAAATATGTTTTGGGGTTTGAATTACTAAAAAAAAAAAAAAAAAAAAAAAAAAGTGTGTTTTTTTCCTAAATTTCGCCTCTTCCATTCCCAGATGATTTTCTTTTCAAATAGGAGGTGAAGTTCCCGGGTCATGGGCCCAAAATTATGGCAAACCAAAAGAACCCTTCACACTGAAAGCAAAATTAACAGCAGCAGCAGAGTCTCTGAGAGTTTAAGAGGAGATGAAGAGCCTGGGCATGGTGGCTCACGCCTGTAATCCCAGCTACTCAGGAGGCTGAGGCAGGAGAATCGCTTGAACCCAAGAGGTGGAGATTGTAGGAGCCAAAATTGCTCCATTGCACTCCAGCCTGGGAGACAGAGCGAGACTCCATCTCAAAAAAAGAAAAAAAGAAAAAAAAGAACAGATGAAGAGGTAAGAACAGTGTTCAGGACTCTCCCCTTTCCCTTCACTGATAGAATTTAGCATAAACGGGACCTACTATTCCAGCTACGCTAGTCTTCTGCAGTGCAAGCCATGCCTGCTAGACCAATGGAGACATTAGGGGAGAAAAGGCCATTTTAAATATTGTATTTTCTTCTTTAAAAAGACATGCAGAGATAAATGAATTCGGTGATCATTTCATTTTTTTGTGTTGAGATTTTTGGTGACCATGAAAATGCACTCCTCGGATCTCTGGCTGTGGGAACAGAGTTGATGGAGGGCCATACTGGCTATCCCCTTCAGATCCACTACTGTGTGTGTACTGAGGTTCCTAGGTCTGTTCTCTGCCAATGACTGGACACAGTGAAGAAACTAATTCATGCCCATTTATGCAGGATGCAGAAAAGCTCGGATGGGCAACTGGGGCTCCAGGACCCCCCAGCGTCCTGGCTGACACTGTTTTAGAATGTGCTGCTGCCTGGGGCTCTTCCTGCCCACTCCTCTTTCCTTCCCACTCTCCCTTCACTGGTGCCAGACTCACATTGCCATCTGAAGGCTGTTCTCGCCTTCTCCTGCACCTCTGCTTTAGTTTTCACAGGTGTTTCCCTCAATAAATTTCTTGCATACCTAATCCTGTCTTGGTATCTGCTTCTCAGAAGACTCAAAATAACAACGTTTTTCCGGAAGTTCAACGACCGCCAAACAGTTAATCCTACACAAGGTTTAAAATGAGTAGCCAGCCAGGCACTCCGATGTGCCCCGTTGCTTATAATGGAAAAGAAAAAAAAATGTTCTGTCAGCATTTAGTGTAAACTTATGACCACATTTAATCACCCAGAGTGTACCTTCACTGACTACCAGATGTGTCATTAACCATTTCTGAAAAAAGTGAAATAAAATCACCCAGCCTGAGAATGCTGTGGAATAAGTCAATACTAACAGATGGTGTTTATTTTGTCACTGCTTGTGTTAAAAAATTACCACCTAGTCCCATCAAATCCATTTCTTTAAGGTGGAAGCTTTATGTAAAAACTGCTACAGAAAATGCAATATTTTATCAGCTGTCATTGAGTTCCTTAAAATATGAGCACTTGTTTTCATGGTTTTCAGTTTTCTAGGACATGGTGCAATACACAGGAGATGGGTTTGTATAAATCTGACACGATGGAGTATTTTGCCAGCAGCTCTGTCTTGCAACATGCAATCTGTTTTGTTTTTCAAACAAAGTTGGTACATGAGTTAGTTGGAACACTAGTGTTTTGAGGATGATGACGGAAATTCTCAATTAAACAACCTCTCCATTGTGGTGCAGTCTACATGCCCAACAATAGGGGATCATTTAAGGATGTGATCACATGCTCTTTTAGATGGAATCACAAGGAGAATCATAAAAAATGATGCCACAGAAGAATACATAAAAACATGGGGGGAAAGTTCACAATACAGTAAGAGAAAAAAGACTATAAAGCAATAGTAAAACGCCACGCCATTGCTGTTTCAAAATACACACAGTGAGAAGCAGTATGACAGAGGGGTAAGAGAAGGTAATCTTGAACCAGTCTTCCTGAGAACAAACTGGGGTCTGCCATTTACTCTGACTACCTTTATAACGTTGCTGAAATCACTTGACTGATCCCTCCCTCAGTTTCTCCATAAATCAAGAATGATAAAAACAATGCACATAGTTCATAAAGGATTAAATGTAAAGTGCCTTTCAAAGTGCCTGGCACAGAGTAACTGTTAATAAATACCGCTATTATTGTTGTAAATTTTATTACAACATTAAATATCATTCTAGAGAAAGTCCTGGAAGCATATTTCTCACAATGTTGATAGTGATTCTTGCTAAATGGCAAGACTGCAGTCTATTTTCAAGTGCTTTTTTTTCTTGGCTTATTTGTTTATTCTAATGTTTTCTCACACATACAAAAATGTACCATTTAAAAAGAAAAAGGGAAAGGAGAGAGACAGAGAGGAAGAAAGAACAATTCTCACTTCCTTTTGCTGTACCAAATTCTGCTACTATAAATAGTGTGAAGTTGGCTGGATAAAGTAGATTTTTTTTTTAAGTTTTAAACTCAAAGTACCTTGATCATTTAGAATTTCTTTTTAAATATCTCAACTGAAACATCTGTGAACTCTCAACGTCAATGCTAGCACAGTAAGTGAGCAAACTTGCATATCCATCAACGTGAGCCTGGAACAAAATGAAAACATTAAGTAGGTAGAGAAATAGTTTTTCCCACATAAATAGTTTTTCCCAGATAACTAAGTTGGACATGTATGTGTTCCCTCTCCCAATGCTTCCATTTCACCTTTCTCTACTTGATGATGAAAATTCAGCCAGCTATTTTTTTCCTTCAGAAAATAAGGGTCTCCATAACCTTTGTGCATATGCATATTTTAAAAAATACATATTGACAATTACACTGAATACTTAGATCATATACGTATATATTCTCTAGATATGCAAATAAATCAAATGTAATGTGACATTGGTACCATTTTGATTTAAAATCTTTGACTTAAAGAAATCAAACTTAAACCATTTCTTGGTGCCCTATAGTACAGCCTGAGTCAATTTTCCCCGAGGTAACCGGAGAACACATCACACAAGGTCAGTAACAAAACACCAGATGATCAAATTAAGGCAGAGATATAACTTCCCCCATACTCTAGATTCCCTTTTGTTAATTACAAGTATTTGGCAATGTGTTTTTAAAGATTTGAGAATAGCCCTTTCAACAGGTGGGGACTCTGGGGATGAAGCTGGGGCTGTTTTGGACGATGCTCCTCCCTCTCTCCTCCTGGATTTCAACATGTGCTCGGTGAATTATTTCACCAATTTTACCTTCAATGGCAAGAAACATAATTACTTTTGCATCAACCTAATAGAAATGGGGCTCCTAAGCTGAGGGAACCCCTGAGGTGTCAGAAGCCTCATTTCTTGAGGTTCCATATTCATCTAAGTCATCTCTAATGGCTCCAGGCATCCCAGCAAACCTCAAGTGGTCTACCCATCCTTTTTGGTTTTTCAAATCCCAAATAGTTAGGTTGACAGCCAAGAAAATTCCAGAACATATCTCTGAACATCATCTCATTCCATGAGATTGACCCTTGTGATATGGAATGGGGTTACCATAGAAACACATCAGGCCTCACTTGTGCGGAGCCCTACCTGCCTTTCTATTTTGTAAACGTTTCCATTTTTAAAGCCCTCGGTGAACCAGAGTGACTACTATGCAGACACTACCTAAAGAAAATAGGTCCCCAAGTAACTACACAGCAAGCAACGTTTGGGTTGCAGAATACAATGCCTGAGAAGAAATGACTCTTAAAAAATGCTCTACAGCTCCTTTGAACATTTTAAGTCATAAAGACATGCATCATTATTCACCTAAGACAGCAGACTTTTCCATCTCTAATCTAAAACATTAAGGATAGGAAAAGTCATAGGCTCCACACAAATGGTCTTTTTGGTCATTAAGCATGAATCTGCATTGCTTTAAGCATTTAGGAAGGAAATAGCCTATCCTTCTCAAATGTATCCTTACAAAGATGTTCTTTGCCACGGGACAAGTATGGTGGATCTTGGAAAATAATAGTAAGTGATCAATACACGCTGTCTTATTATGTGTCAGACACTAGCCTAAGCTCTTCAATGAATTATTTTATTTCATCTTTATGTCAATCTTATGAGAAACATACTTTTATTATTTCCATTTTACTGACGAGGATGTGGAAGTGACTTGCTCAAGGTAACACCACCACTAGGGGTAGTGCTAGATTTAAACTCAGGGTATTTTGCTCCACATGCTGATAACTACCTGCTTCTACAAGCTGGTACTCAACCATACACTGTTGAAAAAGCGTATGAGGCCTCTCACCCAGCCTTGGTGCTGCACGCCCTCTATACCCTTCAATCATTTTTGCAAAGGCAAATGTGCCCTATAGTTAGCAACAGGAACACAGTGTGTTTTTTTTACCACCTACCACAGACTATCATATATCATTACAGATAACCTATTTATCATGAATTGCAACTACATGATTCTTTTGATGATGTTCAGGGTAAACTCTTATAAAAAGATTTTGCACTTCTACACACATTGGGAACAGGTAGACACTCCTAAGTGCAAGACAGGAGTAAACATTCTCTAAAAACTACTGATATATCAATGAACCAGCAGTATCAACCACTGAGATATTGAAAATACATTTCCTCCCACAGCATGTGAAAGATCACATCGGGGATTCTTTAGGAAAGAGTACAATTGAGTACAGAAGGAAAAAGAAGGCCGAGGAAGGCTGAGGAAGGTGATGAAAAGGATAAAAGGATATCGCTTAACTGATTGATTCAAGATGGCTTATGAAGACCCAGAGTTTCACAGGCTTGGGGCCTGAAAACAGGAGGGCAGAGCTTATTTTGGCATGGCAGACATGTGCCATGTAAAAATAAAAGGAAGAGATAACTAAAAGGAAGAGATAACTTTTAATGTTCACAGATGATTTCATTTTCTCCCTTAAACTATACATTTGAGTCACTTTTCAAAAATAGCACTTATATTCAATGATACAAACATTCCACCATTCTCTTTTTAAGTTGCCTTCTGAAAAGGTCGACAGTAATGAGAAGAAAGGCTTAGCAATATTGATGACTAACAATTCCACATGAGGTCCTCAGAGTCTGTTTCTAAAATGTGACCCTAGGATAGGAGCCACCAAGGCAGCACTGAGTACCAATTGAGAGCTGGTGGTCTAGATTCCATAAGATCTTATGTGAGTTCCAATTTAGCTTTTCCACTTACAAGCAATGTACCTTTAGGCTCACGGCTTCAGCTCTGTATGTTGCAGTTTTCTCTCATCTATGATATAGTGGCATTAATAGACCCTGGATATTTATTAACAAAATATTCATAGATCAACTGAGATAGTGCATGTGAAGATGGCTCAATATAGTAGGTGCTCAGTAAAGATGAGTATTCTTATTAGGACAGTTATAACATTACAACAAATACGACTGTTCGTATTAGTAATGGGAAAAAGACTTCTGGCGATGGAAGGAAATAATTTAGTACCCTTAAAATAGCCTATAGCATACTTTATCCTCTCAACAAAATGTTTTAACTAAATTATCTCTTTGTTTCCCATCTAGCAATGTGGAAAAACAGACAAGGGATTTAGACTTAAAATCTTTCTTTACATATTACCCAAGCTCTATCTGAGAGCACAAGATTTCTTTATTTGTTGCATGACTCATTCTCCCCACGTACTTACTCATTTACACCATGGATAAAATGTCAGCGTGTGCCCTCAATCTCGATCAGGTAGATACAGAAAGTGGTGCATTTTTCATGCTGAAGGCACAGAGAATGAACTGAGAGTCTCCAGAATGCAAAAGCCTCCTGCTTTGTGCTTATGTGAGACAAAGGCTACCCCTGTGCTCACCCACATAAGAACCAAGAGCCAGGTGGCATCATTTGGAAAGACCACCAACCAGTTGGGATGGGTAGGCAAGGCTGAGACCATCTGTCTCATGCAAAAGCACCCAGTGGGTATTAGAGACCTCATCACAGAGGCCTGGGTATGTACTTCCTGTTTTTCCTCGTCAAAATAAATTTTAGTGTTGGTCTGCGTCCTTTTATTGAATGACGACTGGAGAAGAGAAGCTGGCACTGGTGGTTCTTTCGCCAGCTGCAGGAGGAGACCTTCTGGTTTCCCCACTGCCACATCCACATGGAGTGTGCAATGTCTTCTTTTTGAAAGCTTGGGGAGCCATAGGCAAGCAAAATGGCCACCCAGCCACCTAAGATGCATTCCTTTTATGCAAGTACTACACGCATTTTTAACTGAAAAATACTTCCAATTACATTACAGTCATCATAAATAAGAGTACAATGTGTTGGAGAGTGAAGCTGGCAGGCCATTCATAGATCGATTGTTATTAAAATTAGCATTATTATGATTCCATCAATTATTTCTACACTTTGGAACATTTCGTTTTCTTCCAAACCTCTTTCCATGCTTTTGTGAGTTTCATTATAATGTCAGGTGCCCCTTTCAGAGAAACATAAATTTCAGGTCTGACAAATATGGTTTTCCCTATCTCAAGAAACCATGCTATTTGGGGCATGGAGAAAATGGCAATGTTATTTCTAACGCTGCCTATGTTTATTCTCCCACATAAACCCAATTATCAGTAGCTTTTGGGATTATATTACATTCAACCAGGTATTTATATAACAACAACAAAACCACACTCTAGTTTTTAACGATAAGCGCAGTGGACATTATTCTATTTTGCATGGACAGTATTCTTCTCTTAAGAGGTTAGTGACATTTGTGCAACCGGGGGAAGGATGACATCATAGGAGCCATCTTTCTTTTCAGCAACTAGGACAAACTAATATAAAAATGGCAGCCAGGGCCATATCTACTTTCTTGACTTTTTATTTCTGATGCCCAGGGGGGGAAAAAAAAAAAGACATGGTCCTTCATGTCACAGAGATATTAGAGGATACAGGCAATAAATCTCTAACTCAAACAAATGTACACAATTAATACAGATTATAATTGCTGTGAAAGAAATAAGTGTAGTTGCTATTATTATTATCCATTAGTGCAGGAGACTATGGTAACAGACATGTCCAATACATTAAACAGATGTCATGTGCTTTAAAAGCAGTAATGTCTTGAGATATATATTTTTAAATCAAGTCTTATTATAGGTAATTTGAAAGTTTTTCCTGGGGAAAGAAAGGTGTCATTACTGTGTTTCCTCTTTGTTAATTATTTGTCTCCTCACCAATAAAACAACAAAGGACAAAGCCTGAGTATAATTATTCTGTGTAATGTAAACTATGAGAAAGTCTGATTACATTTTATCAAGCATCTAATACCATAAGTCTTGCTGTTACAGCCAGGGTCCCCAGTTTGCCTGACAGTTCTGTGCCTATACCATCTAAAGTTGGGAGTCTCTAATCCCCAGGCCGTCTGTTGGGAACCAAGCCACGCAGCAGGAGGTGAATGGCAGGTGAGCGAGCATTACAGCCTGAGCTCTGCCTGTACATATAAATACGAACGGTTAACAAAGAATCTCCATATAAAAGGAACACCAATACTATGAAAGAAGGGAAACACCTATCCCAGAGGAGTTTGCCAGAATCCAAGAAGAATAATTTTTCAAAATTATTGATAATCATTTTATCAAGAAAGAAATGCAAGAGAGTATTGCATCCATAACAATAAGTTTCTATGAAAAGGCATTCTCATCCAGGCACGGTGGCTCATGCCTGTAATCCCAACAGTTTGGGAGGCTGAGGCGGGCAGGTTGCCTAAGGTCAGGAGTTCAAGACTAGCCTGGCCAACATAGTGAAACCCCATCTCTATTAAAAATACAAAAATTAGCTGGGCTTGGTGATGTGTGCCTGTAATCCCAGCTACTCGGGAGGCTGAGACACAAGAATCGCTTGAACCTGGGAGATGGAGGTTGCAGTGAGCCGAGATCATGCCACCGCACTCCAGCCTGGGCAACAGAGCAAAAGAAAGAAAAAAAGAAGGAAGGGAGGAAGGAAGGAAGGAAGGAACGCAGGCAGGCAGGCAGGCAGGGAGGGAGGGAGGGAGGGAGGGAGGGAGGGATGGAGGAAGGAAGGAAGGAAGGAAAGAAGGAAGGAAGGAAGAAAGGGAAGGAGAAAGGAAGGAAGGAAGGGCATTCTCTCTTTGTGTGTGTGCTTTTTTTCTCAAGGAACACAGAATGCATGTGCACACATGCACGCACACAAACACGCACACACACACACATGCCTAAGAGTAGGACTGGATAATAGAATGGCAGAATGAACATAGTTAAAGAGAAAATAGGTGATTTGGAAGTAACATCTAGAAGTCACCCAGACATATAAAATTGAAAGAGATAAAAATGTTTTTCCTACCTTGGCCAGTTTTGATGAGGATATGGAAAACTGGGTACTCCTACACTAATGGTGGGATAACAAATTGGTACAATCTTTTTGGAGGGCAATTTGGGCATGTGTACATATATTTGTATGTATTATGTATATGATATGCATACATATATACATAATTAGAACATGGGCATATATATATAAACAAATACATAGCTAGAATATGGATGTATATATACACATATACATACACACACAAGCACACATACTCTTAATATGCATATATCCTGTCATTCAGCAAGCCTAATTTTAGGTATCTGTCCAGTAGAAATTAAGTATATATACAAAGTTATTCATTCCATCATTGCTTATGACATCACATAAAATAGGTATAACATAAATGCCTATTAGTAGGGGAATAATAAAATCATTGTACTTCCATCTCTGAAATTAGCTGCAGCTGTTCAATGAGCTAGGCTATATGTCTAAAATGGAAAGATAGCCATGATATGCTATTAGGAAAAAGCAAGGAGCACAACTATATGTAGTGTATAATTCCTTTTCTATTAAAAAAGAAGAAAAGAAGAAAAACAATGTGTGTGTCCGTGTGCATATAGATGCTAGAAAAATTCTGAAATAATTGAAACAATAATATTGAAAATGTGGTTTGAACTATGGGGTTTAGGGAGCATATTAAAACAATTTATAAGCATATATAATTATAGAGTAAAAATTCCCATTTTGAAGGTTGACTTCGTAATTGTTTTAAAATGTGAAAACAGAAAATTAAATTTGAAAACCATTTTGTAGTTAGCAACTCAAATCACAACTTCATTTCTCTTACAGTTTCAGTAGAACTGTTTTCTAGAGGCACGGATACACTAAAAACAACATCATTCAAGTTTATGACACAGCATCAATCAAGGTTTATTCCTTAATGTGCACCAAGCACTTAAAATGTGTTAAGCAGTGAGTTAGGCTCCAGATTTATAAAAAATGCCTATAAAAAACTCAGTTACACAGGGGATCTAGCAAAATAAACAATTGTAATTTGGAATGACGAGGATGCGTGGTAGATAGATGTTTTTATCTCAAAGTCCTGCCATTTCCTAAGCATTATTGGGTTCAGTCCAGTACTTTGCATCTCCACACTCTTCTGCTAATCTGGGCCACCGTCGTCTCTCATCTGGTTTACAGCATCTACAGCTTCTCAACTAGGTCCTGTCTATTTATTTTCCACACCTTGGCCAAACTAAGCTTTCTAAACTGTGCATCTCCTCGTGTCACTCCGTGCTTAAGATATTTCTCGGTCTTTAAGGTAACATCCTAACTGTAACTTAGAGGACTTCCCAATATCTCACCCTTTTCAATCTCCCCACTTCATTTCTAGCCTTCACCCTCTGACCTGTAACTTCTGATTTGTGAACCACCACTCCTTCATTTGCCCCCAGTCTTTATAATGCCTTTTTACCTGGAAACCTTTCCCCCAACTCTTTCTTAGGGATTTTTTTTTTTTTAACTTATTCTATGTTAGGGCATAATTTTTCCCAAAAGTCCCTACTTGTGGCTATTTTTTTTCTGAAAGTCCATAATCGTATAAAGACAGGCATGATTTTTTATCACCATGCCCAGTGCCAAGTACTATAACTGGCATTAAATGGGCTCAATATTGGTTGGAAGATGGAGCGATGAATTAAATAGTTCAGCTGCAAAGCCTATGGGAGCACTGAGAAGGAAAGTCCACTACAGGCTGGGAAATACTTTCTCCAAAGCCTGTGTCTTAAAGACACAGGGTAAGGAGTTAACAAGGAAAAGAGAAGGTAATGCAGAGACAGACTGATGACACTTAACCAGATGGTTATAAAAAGTGTGTTCACTTAAAAATAAAGGTTATCTTGGCCAATGAAAAGAGCTGACTTAAAAAAGCATTACCACCATGATGGACCATAAGCCATAAATGCTTCATTCATTCTAGAAAAGCTCCCAGCCTATTCCAGGTGAACATTGCAAGAAGGTTCAGCCTTCCTTTTTTTACATGTAGGGACACTGACTATACTTTAGATTTTTCATCAATAAAATGTAACTCTTTCTGCAAAATACTGGTCCACAATAGAAATCTACACTGCTTATAATGCCAAAGTATCAATTTCTAATAACATGTTTCAGGAAAACTGCCTAAGAAATTAGTTTCAAAGGTTTTCCTATTAAATTACCTTTTTAAAAATAAAGATTTGCATGCAGTACCAAGAGAGAAAACTGGTAAGAGTGGAATTATGAATATATTATGTTGAAATTAATCACTACCGCATACCCGCTTAACTTTAAATAAATCAAATTACTCCTAATCTAAAGTGAATAAAAATAATGTACATATTTTCAAAAGAAGTTCATCTATAGTACTAGCTGATAACATATGAATTCATGCCAGGATTTCTGAATTGAGGAAATGCTTTTATTTTAACAGCCAGAGCTTTGAAATCTAATGAATTACCTACTTTATTTTTATCATTTGAATTTTACCATATGAATATGGAAAAATAAGAATCTTACAGCAATACAGCTTAGAATGTTATTAGTACTATTTATTCCTAGGTAGATCTTGAAGACTGTATAAGTAGATGATAACAGGGTAAATCACATTTTAAAGTTATAGAGAAGTCAGAAAGTCCTGTGGCAGCTGATATGAAATTATGGGTACTTCATCAAAACCCAGCCAGCCACAGCTACCTCATAACTCATGCTTAGAGCTCATAATGTGATTAGGTTTTCAAGAGGGTGCATTTGTGTTTGGGTTTTCTTTTAATTACTTTATGTTCAGCTTGGCTTCCAACTGACTCCTGATTGACTACAGTCATCATGGCGAGAATAAAGAGATCGTCAACTTTGCCGAAGAAAAGTTATTAAATTTTAGTTTTCCTAAAGGGAAACATTCTCTGCAACAGTAATTGAAAAAAATAAAATCTTTATTGACATTCTTTGAGGGAAAATACAATATTCAACATTTAGGCTGGAGCTAGATAGGTAGAGAAAATACGGATTTGAAGCAATTATACTGACAAAGTCAGCCAAGAAAATTGGCTGTGAGAGAAGGCGTCTTGTCTGCTGCTATTCTGGCCTGATTGGCACCAAGGGTTTCTTCTTTTTTTACTTTCACTCAGCCACACACTCACTCACTCCACAAACATTTATGGAATGCCTAAAAAAATGTGATTCATCTTTGCCCTCAAATGAGATGCAGTCTAATGGGTGGCTGGGGCTGGAATCAAAGGATAATAAGCAAATAACTGGACTTTTAAGTAACAAGTGCTGTGACAGAAACACAGACTCCGGTGGGAGGACAGAGGGAAGAAAAGGATAAATCTGTGCACAGAATCTGCTTATTAGCTATTTTTACCAATCTTCAGGCACTATATACCATTGCCACTGAAGTAAAAAACGCCCTGCATTGAGTATATAAGAATCCTTTTTAATGGCTTATTTTAAAAGGAAGAACTAATCTGTTATACGTGATAACAAGAAGTGTTTCGTATCTTGCTTTTTCAGACATTTACTTTTCCCTGATTACAAATATAACATATGTTAATCGTAGAGAATTAGGAAATACAAAATAAAAATCACAAAAATAAAATAAATAGAAAAATCACCTGTAATTCCATTATCTAGAGACAGTCATAATTTTATGGCAGATATTTTTAATCTTTTCTGCATGTGTTTGCATATGTATTAAAATCTATTCTTGTGCATAACAGAAACAGTCATAGACTACTCTGTGACCTGTCATTTTAAATTACAATATACCACAAATATAATTCCATGTCTTTAAGTATTATTCTATATCATGATTTTAGCAGTCACATATTATTTTATTACATCAACATATCAATATTTAACCAATTGCCTATTGATTAACTTTTAGACTATTTCTAGTTCTTCTACATTATAAATAGTATAGTAGCTTGGATCTGTTAAATTTGGGGAAGAGAAATTAATAATTTGAACCACATTCTATTCAAACTTATCTTAGAATCTCTGGTATTTTAATAAATAGGTTTATAGTATTTTCTGTAATTATCATATATAAATATATAATAAGTATATAAACATATAATTATCATATATAAATATCATTAAAATATATAAACCATATTTTGGAACTAAATGGTCGCCAAAACCACTTGATACTTCCTATAGAAATCTATGTTGAAAGCAAGATTTTACAAAATGATGATGCTTTTTGGGTGGTGAATAAAAGTTGAAAAATAAAAAAATAGGTAAGGTTAGTACACAGAATACATGCCATAATGTATTCTGACAGATTTTGATGGAAGACAGCAATCACAGCAAACCTTTTGCTCTGATTTGCCTACCAACCAAGAGAAACCAAAAAGTTCTAACAAATTATAATGTCTTAAAAAGAAAAAAAAAAAGCAGTTGTTCTCTACCTCATCTATTCCAGTACTGTCATAAGAAATGTTTCCTTGCAGATCTTTGTAAAGAAGATCTTTATGTGTGGTGTGACAAGCAATATGCATAATAACATATTCAAAGCAAATGTGATTCTTTGCTTTAAAGAATCGTTTGGTAAAATTTTGCTTATCATTAGGAATAATTAAAATAAGCTGTGTTTAGGGAATCATTTCAGGTTATATTATTCTCTTGGGGTAACTAGAAACACTGGGATATTATTAAACAAGGGTTCGCTGTTAGACTAGGAACTGAGAAAGAGACTTGATGACATTCCTTTGTCCTCCACATGTGGAAAGGCAGATGGAATAGTCTGCATGGAGCGCAGAGGGAAAGGCCACTGACCACCTTGTGCCCTTATTGTCCAACATGCATACATTTAGTTGAGAGAATTACCTATAGACAGCAGCTGACTTCAGGAGGTCATTTTCAGGTGCACTGTCCTCATATAGTTCAATTAGCTTGACTTTTTCTTGATGACAAAACACATAAGAGTCACAAAGAAAGACCCAGTATAATCACAACGTTTTCAAGGGCGTTTTGAAAGTGAGGGAAATGTGTGTTTAATTCTAGGAAGCATTGTTCCAACAAAAGATACAGTGGCTTATTAAAAACATATTATTTATAAGAGATGAATGCAGAATAAAGCAGCAGGTAGCAGTCACTTTGCATAAAAACTATCATCCCAAAGCAGCCTTTTCAGCTTCTGAAACAGACACACACACTCTTTCTCCAGGAAGTCTTCTTTCTGTGAATGAAACCCCTTAACCGTGATCACTCTTCTCTGGGGCAGACACAAATGTATATATTCTATGTGTGACAGGATAGCTTTATACTTGCCATATTGCTTTGTACACATTTTCAAGTTCATTTTCTGATTTGTCAAAGTACTCTTGAGTACCAGACATTAGAAATAAGAATAAAGAGCAGGTGCATTGAGTTTTCCCTTTTCACCCAGACTGTATGTTCCCAATTAAACCGGGAACCACATCTTGCGTTTTGACAGCTGGTTTATGGGATAATTGTTTAGCGATGGATGAAGAAGAATGAGTAAAGAAGGGGACTAATGAGTGAGATAAAGGTAGTTAATTTCAAAGCAAAAAAAATCTGTGTAAAGAAACAGGCTGCAGTATAAGTTGAAAATAGCAGAGGTAGAAAAATATACTAATAATCAAAGATTAATAGCATGGACCTGCCTCTAAAACAATGACACCTATGACATCCATATTCTGGAAAATTTGACCATGTGTGGAATGAATGTGCTGTGTAAATAAGGAGTTGTTACAGTGATCCAGGGCTTAGATAATATGGCTCCTTGAATGGGCTTGAGAGTTCATGTTGTCTGTTCTAGGTCATTGTCAGGCTTCATGGGGTAGGTAAATTTTCCTAAGGTTTTGAAAGTCAGACTGATCTTTGACATTCATGTACTACCCAAGCAACCTGAGCAGTGTACAGTAACTGGGATAACATGGGAAAATGGAGGGAAGATAAATTTACTGTGTTATTATTTGGATCTAACAATATTTTTGTGGTACTGTCTACATGAAAATGCGACTCTCTGACTTAACATAACAATTGCTTCTGTTTTCATTCTGGACGTGTACCAGATCTCATTTACTCCCTTTGAGCTAGGTACTATTATTTTTCCCACTATGTTGATAGAAAGATACAGACCCTGAAATAAAGCCACCAAATTTTAAGTAGCAGAGCTGGGATTCTAACCTCCTTATCCACTGTGCAAGACTACCTCCCATATAAAGTCATTAAATCATGTGGTCAAGAAAATGTCCAAAGTTTCTGTAAATAGTTGTTTTCAAATGACCCCAGGGATGCTTTGATTAAAGCCAGGCAGTCCTGGTGACACGTGAACATAGCAATAACAAGTCGTTGAACACTCAGACATAGCCTTTCAAGGTGTGCATCAGCCACATGGTACAAAAATGTACTGTGGGTTCATATAATTTTAGAGAGCCCAAGATTATTAATGGAAGCAGAGGATCACTGTTATCTGAAAATAGATTCTCTTCTTGAGAATTTCAAGTGACAATTTACTATCGAATTCTACATCCTTGGGTTCATTTAAATATCAGCAGATATCAAAAGTCTTTGTGTATCACACCAAATCACAGGAAACAAGACATTTTGTCTTCCAAATTCAAAGGAGGCACAGCCCATTAATAAACCATGCCAATTTCATTAGACTATAAGCACTTACAAACTCTCATTATATTATATTGGCATTGGGCTTACTTGATATTTTTGGAGAGCTTACATATTCCTGGGGTGATGTGTTTCTTTTTTTCTCACCATTCATCAGACAGCACATCAGTTTGACAGAATGGGTGTTCTAAGTTGAAGATTTACTTTCTTGCATTTGTTTTTTGAGACAGTGAAATGAAGAAGGCAAAAGTGAGAAATGCAAATTTGGAGTTGTCTGGGGCTAGAGCTCAGCAGAGCCCAACAATGTAAAAATTGTGGTGATTTGCTAGAAGACATTTATAAAAGCTTCAATGCTGACAATGTGACCAGCTAGTATAGAAACACAACCTAAATTCTGGCTTTAGAAAGATAACATTTCTGTTAACTAATGCTCCTCTGATAAAAGTTCACGTACAGTTACTCTTGCACGATCCACATTCTGAATACTTACTAAGTACTTTAAATCTTTATCTCACTTGATCCACCCCAAGAGGGGGGTGCTATTAATGCCCCCACTTGACAGGTGAGGAAATTGAGACACACGGAGATGATATAACTTGTCCAAGGCAAGTTATAAGCAGTAGAAACTTGGTCTCGAATTTTTAATGTCTGTTAAAAATTATTATTATTTTCCTTTACTGCAATTCTGCCTTTCAAATAAATGCTTTTGACTGTCAGTTTTGCATATCTGCCTCCATGGGAAAAAATGTGAATTTGTTAGAGGCATCAGTTATGGGTTTCTGTATTTGACTTGCATATGTACTTTTACAGGAATAAACATTTTGGGGGCACCAAATCAAAGGTGAGCACCTAAAGAATAAACGTTCAAAGATACCCAGGTAGAACAAAGGTGATGGCATGACTGTATAATCAGTTTTTGACCTAAGGTGACCTGACCTGCATAATCCTGGAAATTCATTTGTCTTCATTGAAAGGGCAGCTGAGTTGACTAAACTGCACGCAAGAAGGTCAGCCAGTTTCAGCAGAGTGACTGGAGGCAGCTATTCAACGTCAACACCCATGCATAGCTACACACCCTGGAGTTTATTCCTCTTTTAAAGAGAATGTAATGGAGAAATTCTAGTCAGCAATAAGTTAGCTTTTTCAGGAGTTTAATGACATCATTACAGAACATTCAAATTTTGCTCTGTGGATACAATGTCATTAGTGCCCCTGGGGTTTAGCCCATGCTATCTCAGTTATTCTACACAGCCTCTCACCATGTTGTATCCTCTCCCAGTTGCTGGAAAAATAAGAGCCGTTATAGACACAAAAGAGTCTGCAGTAGCCCCAAGAGCACACAATATTATTTTATTCATTAGTTGTCAAGTGCCTGCAGGGTTCAAATAGACAGGTCAATAGAAGGGTGTATATAATATGAATTGTTCTACACTCAAAAAAAAAAATAAGGTATTGGAGAAAAGGTGTCCCTAGGGTTCAAATTTAATAGAAGCTGTAGATTCAATTGGGGTCTCTAAACTTGACCCCCTTTTCTGAGACCACCAGCCTGAAAGTGAGTATTTGAGCAGTGATTTGGATTTTCTTTTCAATCACAGACTATTATCCTCCTATGCTACTACAAGCATTTGGTATGCTAAATACTGAACCTGGCCATCACATTCTCAAGTACTTGACATATAGTTTACATAGTGGATGTTCTATGCATCTTAGTTGAAGGAACAAATGTCAAGGGCTTTAGTAGAGACAAATGATGTTTCAGAGAACTTCCCCATTGGACAACTAAGAGGACCAGCATCCTTCTCACTGAGTACTGAGCAAACTTATTTTGGCATAGGGGTCAGGTCAAAACGGTGTTAATGGGAACCATCTTTTATGCTAAAATTAGAATCATTTTATTATTGTTATGATTATTGAAACAGTATATACACATTGCAAAAATTGAAACAATACTGAACAATACACAGCAGACATTTTCCATCGCCCCAAACCTGAAAGATTTTAAATAATAAAATATAATTTAAATTACTTTATGGAGTCTTACCTACAGGTACGTGTATAGAAATGGCCATATAATAAGTGGCATCTACACATTGGTAGCACTGCTATCAGCCATAACAGACATGATTGTTTAATGCTTTTTATACAAAGCCTTAAAGATATTGGAATCTTTTGGAATTCTGGGTGTGTTTTGGGGGTTGGAGGGTAGGTTGGGCTGGTATCTCCAGAGAAACTGGCATGGCTCCTCTTATGAGCTATTAAGAGTTCGAGAAATCATCTTTTTTTTTTTTTTTTGCTTTGCCTGACAGAGAGGGTAGAAGAGTAGAACTAATTTTTGGCTTACTTTTCATTAGCTATCCTTAGCAAAGTTTTTCTGTTGGAATGATTTGTCACACCACTCTTGTTCTTTTGTCCTTGGGTCAATCTTTTGTCAAAAGTCCTCTTCTGAGAGAAATAGGTGCCTGCGTGAACACCTGAACTTACATCTTTTAAAGTAAACTTTCATTTAGGAATCCACCGCGTTAACACCCAGTTTGATTTTCAGATCGCACAGATCTATTTTAAATAACCAGTGGAATATATTGCAATGCCAAACCTTCTTCAGAGAGTATCACATAAGATTATTTGATTCTAAGCTTCTACTGAAAGCCTAAGAGGAATGATGGGTTAGGAAACTTGCCTGTGGGGTATGTATGTGATCCATTCACCCCTCTAGTACTTGAGGTTAGATCACCAGAAGGCCACAGGCATGGATCTCAGTTTTATGTCAAGGGGAGTGAATCTATATTAAATCAGGTTCTAATCAATTTATCTTTATTTCATTAATGTTATATATTAAATCAGGTTCTAATCAATCTATCTTTTTTATTAAAGGTACATATATTTATAAAATAAAGGTATATATATGTGTGTATATATATGTGTGTGTATATATACATATACACACAAACACAAATGAATCAGACATTTATGATACTCTGTCAGTGTGTTATTTTATAAAATTGTCTTTTGTTATTTTATGAAATTGTCTTTTGTTTTGTTGATGCCCTAGTTACCAGTTTGTATAGGTTTTGAATGGTCTGCTCTAACACAGATTTACTATAAATCATCTTGGTTTGTTTTCACTGCATAATTTTGCACATTGCAAGATTTTTAAAGAATGCATATATTACATTAGAGCAGAAATGCAAGCACTAGTTTCACAGGTTTGTTGTGAGGATTAAGTGAGATAATGCAGGAAAAACATTTATCCCAGCACAGTGCACATAGAATGAGTTCCATAAAAGATCATTACTATGACTATTGAAATGTTTATAGCCCAGAGAATTCATAACTTCCATATTACAAGCAGAATGTATCATTCAGGAATTGTGTATAATTGTTAGGAAAATATCTGTGCCTATTCTATATTTCTGGAGATATATAAATATATAATATATATATATAATCTGTAGCTATAAATATATATATATCTGTAGCTAAAGATTTTATTTACGTAGAATATACCTATATTATAGGTGTTCTAAAGGGATTAACATGACATGGTGATAAATGGATATTTATAATAGACACACACTTATTCATAAAGACATACATAATAGATCACTATAAAATACAATATTTATTTGTATAAGTCTGGTTTCATGGTTCTTATGCCTAACTCGATGTCAAATCACTTGGGAAACTAAAAATATCTACCAGCTTGGGCCTTACTCAAGCTGTCGATGAGTCTTGCAGTGGGGCCCAGTCTGTGTAGTTCAATAAAGTCTCCAGATGACTCTGACTTCAGCTATGCCCGAGAAAAATGTTAAAACATCAGGTTATAAAATTCTACTGTTCAAAATAATAGTGTGAGTGACTGATACCTAACCTGTTTTATGACTATGCTAAATAAATATGAGCTTACTCCTTGGCTGATGGGACTCTCAAATGCTTCTCCATTTATGTCAGGGCTATTATACAACAGCAAAATAGTCTCAACATAAACTTCATTTTAATTCACATTATCCTCATAAAGCACTGCTACGGAACTATGGGGTGGGGTAGGTGTGTGTCAGACCAAATCATATTAATGATGCCTTTCTTCTATATCCTCTATACTTCAACAACTATGAGTCTAAGGCTGAATTCAAATGGTGGGGAAAAAAGAAACAAGTCACAAGATTACACATTTATTGTCATATTTGGGTGGGTGTAGACAGGCAAATGAAAGAGTCCCTTTAATTAATTTGGTGACAGGGGACTTCATAAACTACATACTTGGGATAGTGCCAGGGTTTCCCAGTCTCTCCTACAGAGCTGAGTAAATGCAATGGCTTGGGATGCAAAAAAGAAGCAAGGATGAACTGAATGGGGAAGGAAAAATGGCAAGGAGGAATGCAAAACAGACTACTTCTTTGGAACCTGATAGATTTGCCCAGCAGGCTGTTGAAAACAGCATGTGTAATCTAGAGGGCACTGACATAGGAAAATCTAAAAGAAAATACCTTCCAAGGAAAAAAGTGGAAGGATAGAGACAGGAAGTGGAAGTCAGGCTCACTGTGAACGTGCATGTCCCAGGAGGTAATGAAGACTCTCAGTATCGTCTGTGCCATCCTGTCTGAAGAACACTCTTGAGTAGTAACGTTCATTGCAATTTGAATGATCAAGTCTGTGAATGATTGTTTCCTGAGTCTCATACAGGTCTTTCAGTGCACAGAAAAAAAAATGTGATGAGAGAGAGGGGGAGAGAATTAGAGAGAGAGACAGAGAGAGAATAAATATCTGGCCAAAGGAATGAAATTAATAAAATAAAACAAAAAGGACAGGATATGGACACACTTTCATTGACATTGGATCACATTGCGCTTTATAATGTGTATATGTTTAGTAAAATTGCAGGGCTCCCTTTGTACTTATCTCTGGACACCTTGGGAGTTTTGATCCTTAAAATTTCAAAGAGGACAGAGAAGGATCACAAAGCGCTCCCTCTTGGATGCATTGCCATCCATCTTTTTGATGTGAAACATCTAAAACCAAATTCTCAAAAATAATTTTCCACTGAGCATTTATTCAGAGCTCTGTTTCTCTGGTGATTCTTAACAAAGGTTTTGTTGCAGGTGCCCAGAGGAAAGACTAATTTAAATGTAGAAAGAGATACTTAAAAAATAATGTCATCTGTTGGCAAAATCTCTGAGGGTATTACCTTCCTTTCACACATGCAGGGAGCTAAACCTGATTGCATTTAGGGTTATCTTTAGCAGCTATACTCAGAATCAAAACATTCTCATGAGGACTATTGTTCTAACTAATCTACTTATTAAGCTTTTATTCCATTTTAATAGTCTTTTATTTAAAAAAAAAAACCTCAAAAGTGGCAGCAATAGATTTTGCAATTATTAGCAAGTAAAGAGCAGCTATAACTTACAACCACGGTTTGTCTAAGAAAGCTACACTTTAAACCGTTTTGCTTAATTACAGGCACTCCCTCCCCCATCTGCCACCCTGCCGTCTGTCCCCAGTAAAGTACAATCAGTATGAAGCCAACTTTCCTCTAATTTGGAGTTGGAGGTGAAAAAGTTCAGCAGGTGTGATGTGTCACTGCTGTTTACAGGAATGAGAAGCAGGAGCCAAGGGGGGGATATCAGAAAAAAAAAAGCACAATATATAATATTTGTGAATGAGAGAATCATAGCTTTGTTTAAGCTCATTCTTTGTGCTCATACTAATTTGTGTTTTTCTTTTTCTTTACGCTTCCTCCATCTTAACTGTCTTCAACGGATAGAACCATCAGTCTGATGAGTTTCCCTCTTAAATGCTGCTTTTCTTGAGCAAGACATGTTCACACATTTATTTTGAACAAAACTATATACACCAAATCAATTAAATGAACATTTTCTAATTTTTTACTTCTTATTAAGAACTTTCTCCACAATCTACAAACGGTATAATTTTAAAATGCATCACTCTTTTTCCCATATCTATTATCCTTGCACATCTGAACACAAACACAAACCACAAACTGCTAGAGAAATGTATAAAGCAGCACATTCAAGGATGCATGTAAACACTGAGAACCGTGAGCCCACCAAAGTCATACTGCATTCCTTAGAAATGCTCCTCCTCTTTTATTTTTAAAGTTCGTTTTGGAAATTCCAAATAAAAGAATCAGCTTATTGTTATGCCAAGTGTGTGCTCAGTTAAAATGGCGCACCTTCTGCAGTTAATTTATTCTTCGACTTCTGTTCAAATATTTTATTTATTTATTTATTTTTGAGACAAGGTTTCACTCCCGTCACTCAGGCTGAAGTTCAGTGGGGGATCTCGGCTCACTGCAACCTCTGCCTCCTGGGTTCAAGTGATTCTCCGGCCTCAGCCTTACAAGTAGCTGGGACTACAGGGGTGCACCACCACACCCAGCTAATTTTTGTATTTTTATAGAGATGAGGTTTCACCATGTTGCCCAGGCTGGTTTAGAACTCCTAAACTCAAGCGATCTGCCCGCCTTGGCCTCCCAAAGTTCTGGGATTACAGTTTTGAGCCACTGTGCTTACAATAAGCCTTTACTATCAGAAATTTCCACATCATTCTCATTCATGGTCTCTCAGAACGGTTTTAGGAATCATTTAAAAGCAAAAAGGAAAATTAAACCTTATGCTGCACTGGTATCTGTTGATTCCTAAGTAGCCAGGGAATGTCCCTGGAATCTGCTTCTCCATTACAGCGTATGAATGATGCAGGAAGTTATATTAAATGCAAACAGGGAGTGACCCAAGGAGTAATAGCATTTAACATTTGTGGAACGTTTTTAAAAAATATTAAACTCCATAATCATTAGTTCATGAAACCTCATAACACCCTCACAGGAGTCATAAGCAGTATAAATCAGACAACAAACCTTGATATCACAAGGTAAGTCTCTGTTAAACAAGGATTTGATCATTTACACAAGAGCTAGATTTCTGTTTCTTCATAAGGGGACTCTTGGTGGAGCTGAGAAAGATTTTCTTCAGTGACCTTGAACTCTCATCCTTAAATAAACGAAGCAGCCCCAGGAAAGAGGGTAGAGTATACACATTCAGCTCACTTAGAGGGAGCAACTTGGGGAGTGGAGGAGATTTTCAAAGGTGAGAACACCAGATTATATTTTCTTTGTTGGGGACTTTGTTATGAGAATTGTGCCATCAAGGGCCAATGAAAGACTTTCTCCTGAGATGAAAGATCAATATCTTATTTGATTTGCAGGCAAGAAACAAACTTCAAAATGAAGAGTTCTTTACTGTGTTTTCCTTGGTTAGATGCCTCTTCTGGTTTAGGAGGCTGCTGGCCATATCTTAAGTGCTCAGACAGAGAAACTGAGATATGTAGAAGTTTCATGTGAATTCCCTGGCCTTCACAACACACGCCATTCAATAGAAGGTGGCACATCTGCCCTATTCCCATTATACCCAGGCACCTGGGAAATCAACAGCAAGAAGCCCTCTTATCAGCGACATACATGGCTGCCTAAAGAACAGGAGTGGACATTAGTGAGACGACTGTCTCCTCTCCACTGCCCATGGCAGATACTGTTTGTCTGCTCAGTAGACAGCAGTTGTTTCTCCAACCTCCCTCCTTCTTTCCTGGCCAAATCTCATTTTTGTTCATATTAACAGGTGCTCAGAGAAGCTGTGTCCCTCTCTTAGACCAGAGGATGACCTATGGTTTGTCTAAATATCTAATAATTCCATGCACTTGGTTGATTGACTGATGGGTGGACTGATGACTCGGCTTTGTCTAATAAAGCATGAGAGAAATTTGAGTGATTCTTAGAATAATTTTAGTCCCTGATGAAAAAAGAGAGATGCTGGAGGTAGATTCTCCCCTGACTTGCCTTTCCTGGTTTGGGTGTCACTGTGGCAGAGAGAGGTGCTTGAAGATGAAGCCTAATGAAACTTCAAGGGCAAATACGGCCAACACCAATACAGAGATTCTTTAGTCCTCAAAGGCATTGTGAACTATTGAACCAAGCCAGAAACTATCCACCTCCAGACTCAAGGGCCTTATTCTTAAGCCAGTTTTAGTTCAGTATTGAGCTATTTTTGCAACTGAAAGCAGATGTAAGGATACAGCTCTCTCCTTCTCCACCAAAGAATTTTTTTGCATTGACAAAAGACCTGTGTATTTTTAAAAGTTCATCATATTTGAGTGTCTTACATTATTTACAGGGAGCTATAATGTATAAGGTAACTCATAAAGTTTGCCTAGGATTGTCCTAGTTATATTGCTGAGAAGTGCCATATCCCAGAAACCCCTTTCAGTCTCAGGCAAACCTGGATGGTTGAGCACCTTAAATGTATTCAAAAATCCAACATAGGAAATTTATTCTCCCCCAAATTAAGGAAGTATCCAGATAATTCAATATGTTTTTTCCACCTCAAACATCTGGGCATATCAAGTGCAAATAGCATTTGGACTGAATTTATATAATGTCTTCAGTAGGCCACTTTGCTTTCCAGATACAGAAGAATGAATATTTCAGACCATTTGTGAAAAGAAACCTAGCATAGGCTTACATTAGGATTACTACTATGAAAAGCTAGTAATATATGAAGAGTACATGTAAATATGCCAGGCCCTCTAAGTACTGTCCTTGAGTGATCTCAGCCAACTCTCAAATAATTCTAAAAATATTAATATTTAATATTAGTAATTTTGAGATTTTTTAACTTAGCACATGTAATAATGTAATGTTTTTATTCAATATCATAATTAATGTTTGTTTCCATTCTGCAGATGAAGCAACTGAGGCTTGGAGAGCTTAAGTAAACTGGGAAGTTTACTCGTATGGTAAATTTTTGAAAAACTATTCCCAATTTTGCCAGTAAACATGAGTGCACTTCGTTTGGGGTTGAGACTGTCACAGAACACATCAACACTTATGTGAACTGAGTTAGAACATCCTAAATGCTCACCACCATTTCTTAGAAGTTTCACTTCAGTTCCTTTCAACCTGCAGATTTAAGCACAAGCCCCTGGGGAAAAATGTTAAGTGTGTGCCTGGGAAGGTCCGTGCTGGCACAGGCTCCAGTTGGTACAAGTCACCCTCAGGGACCTGCCCATTCACAGAGTCCCTGTACCCAGCAAAAGGAAATTAAAGGCAAATGCCACATCTTGCATCTTTGCTGACGGGAATCGCCTGTTTTACACAAATACCTCTGCCTCTGGTCTAGTAGAAAACCACACAAAGCATTTCAAGTAGTGGAATCAGAGGTTACTGAAGTGGAAGTTATCAGCTAGACCCTGTCTTGTATTATCTGCTTGCAGGAGAGGAATGAGAATGATGTTGGCGATTTTTGATCTGATTGTATTTAGAAGATAATGTCAATGAAAATTGAGTGTTGTTACTAGTGCAAAGTAAATGTCGAGGCAGAATGGGACATTTAAGAAAGAGTGGAGAGGCCACTTTCCAGGGGGAAAAATAAACATTCAATTTTATTAACATTAGAGCTATTACACGCCACATTATTTTTGTTTTGTTTTTTGGCAAAAATAAAATAATTGAGGAAACCCAGCGACCAAATATCAGAGTCAATTTATGTAAGGGTAAAATACAGAATGGAACCGCAAGTAACCTTATTTACTTGGTTAGTTTATATCTCTCTTTTTCAATATGAAGCACTCCCACAACAGCACATCCAAAGATATTTTAACAATTGTTTCCTGAAAAGTTTGTGATTTATTTAGTACATACTGGAATCCATAAAATTTAAAATTCTTTCACAGTATAATAATTCATTTTTTTTTTGGTCTCTTATATCCTCTTCTGCCCTCAGCCTCCAGATGTTTTAAAACATATGAAATGGGATCGCAGCCACTTTTTTGGTGAGGTCTGTGACCAGGATGACACTAATGACATCTACCGACACTAATGACAATATCACTAATGGTAATACTGAGAATACTTTCATTTGTTTACTGTATGCCAAGCCTTGTGCTAAGTAATTTTATGTATATTATTGTATTCATTTTTCCCAGTAACCTTATGATAATCCTACAGTCACTGCCCTTGTCCAGGAGAAGAAACAGAGATTCAGAAGAGTAAAAGATTCTGCCCAAGGTCACACAGTTAGGACATAGGGATAAAGCCTGTATTTGGACATAGGCTGTTTGACTTCAGAGCTCAGTATCACTCTACTGTATTCCCTCCATTTGCAGAGTGTGATTATCCAACAAGATTTATGATACTTGAAATCATATTTTAAAAGGACTTCAGGGTTATTTAGCCCATGTCCTGACTAGTATAAGATCAATTCCTTGTAAAGCAGTGCCTTAAGGTTGTACAAACCAAAAATGTAATGAGAGTTCAAGAAGGCTTTAGAGAAATTCTTGGATGATAGATCTTTCCCAGTTAGGGATGCCCCCTTTGAGGACAATATCACAAAGGGCAACTATCATCATGTCACACCAATGTCCCTTGGTACTACTATAAAAGACAAAATACTGAATAGTGGGGACTATAAGTCTTAGCTCATATGACTTTTTTATGTTCTTATGATTCTTAAAATATATCTAAGTAACCTATTTCTATAATTCATCAAACTTAACCATGAGGAATAACTGAATCTTGCTGTTACTTGTCCAACTGGAGGCAAAGGTGAAGCCATTCTTATTAGAAGAAGGTGATGCTATTTCTGTAGCTTGTTTTGTCGGAGGAGAAAACAACTGGACGATGAGAAGATCTGGGCCCTCTTTTCATTTCTGCTTTCAGGGGCTGAGTGTGACTCCCAGCAAGTTGAACTCTGAGCCTCACTTTCCTCATTAACAAAATGAATAATTGACAGCTGGGCATTTCCCCTCAGGGAAAGATTGTACTGAAAAAAGTTTTGACAGTCAACTAAGACCTAGGCAAGGGGATTTTGTTTATCTAATGCTGAATTCTAGAAGGAGAAAACATCTCTTCTGAAAAATACATAATCGCAGGCCTATCCTCAGGCCAAGGGGCTTTGAAATTTACATAACCAGCATATTTCAGGAAACCCCAAGACAAGAAATCAAAGTGGTCTTGACTCAGTTGTACTTTACAGAGCCTGGCAGAGGTCAACACAAATTTCTCTACAAGGATGGAATGCACCCTCAACTCAGGCCTCACAAAATATCCACAGATCAATTCCAGATAACATAACTTCACTCTCCGCTCAAATTGCAACATGAACAAGAGACAGGTGTTCATGAGCAGTATTGAGCAGAAACAACAGAAAATAACATTAGATAGTGAAATTATGAGATTCAGCCTATAACTATATTTGAATATTTTTTAAAGAATTTTCAAATTGAGCAAGGAGCAAGACACTCTCAAGGAAAAACCAGTCTGATTATAAAATGAACTTCTAGAAGTGATATGTTCTAAATGGACATTCAAGTGAAAAAATAAAATCATGAAATAGAAAAATTTGACGCATATATGTTCACTAAATGATTAGAATTGAAAGATATAATTTATCCATAATACTGAAGACAGAGACACAGAGATTAAAATATGAGAGAATAAGAGACAAAATGGAATAGAAAATGAAAATATCTTGTGCAAATCCAATTAACATTCTAGATAGCAAAGAATGTATAGAAGATGGGACAGTAATCTGAATCCTCAGATTTAGAAACTGCAAAAAATCCTAGATACAATAAGAAATAAGAAATACAAATCTAGTCACAATGGAGTAAAGCTGCATAACATTGAAGACAATAAGAATCTTAGTACTGAGCAGAAATTTAAAACTCAGATTGCCTACAGAGAAAAAGAGTTTATTCTCAACAGATAGCAACAAAAATTAAAGACACTCTTTTCAATCTCTGAAACACTGAGGAAAAATAAATAGCAACCTAGAATTGTATAACTGGCTATTATGCAATAATGAATCATAAGTATTTTTTAGACAAACAGAAAAATGAGAGCATGTCACCAATAAATCCTAACTAAAGGAGCTCTTGGTGTAGTGGTCCTTACCCAGATTTTAATTTAGATGGTCTGAGGAGGAGCCCAGGCATTCATTCTCTCTCTTTCTCTCTCTCTCTCTCTCTCTCTCTCTCTCTCTCTCTCTCTCTCTCCCCATCCCCATTCTCTCTGTCTCTCTATCTCTAAAAATGTGTATACTGGTACTTAGTTTTTAAGCCACCTAGGAGACTACAGTGAGCAGACAGCAATGAAAGATAAGATATAATTTATCCATAATATTGAAGACAGAGACACAGAGGTTAAAATATGAGAGAATCAGAGACAAAATGGAATAGAAAATGAAAACATCTTGTGTTAAGTTCACTGTTCTAAAATGGGCTTCTCAAACTTGACTGTGTCTACTGAACTCCTGGGAATCTTGTTGATCTATGGGCTCTGACTTAGTGAGCCTCAGGTTCTGCATTTCTGATAAGCTCTCAGGTGATGCTGATGGTGGTGTTCGTCCATAGACCACACTTTGAGTAGCAAACTCCCAAAGGAACGGTTCAGAAAGGTAAAAATTTATCCCAGGGAAAAGATTGATATTCAAGAAACAATGGTGAACAAAACATTTGTTAAATGTGGGTAAATAAAAACAAATATTAATTGCATCAAATGATAATAAGTTTCATTTTCATGGGAAACAAGTAAAATGAGAGGAGATGATGAGTTAAACTCTTCCAAGGTTTCATATTATTCAGATGAAACACAGAAGTCTGATTTATGGAAGTGGATGCCTTGGTGGATGTAGATCAAGAGTTTTACAAGTGTTTGGGGTGAATTAACTAATAAAGCTTAAAGAATCCCCACGATCCAGTAACCATAAAATCTATTAAGCAAACCACGCCACTTTTGAGAGTAAAACGGGGTGTTATCAGTAATTAAAATGAACAACACACATAAACCAAGATCATGCCAGGCAAACGAGGAAGGGGTCAGCTTCTCTCAAGAGCTGTGAGATGTGGCTGAATGAGCAGATCTCTGAGTCTCTCTCCACCCCAACTCCCCATACCCAATCTAGCAAGAATCTCCTCTTTTTGTTTACCTTGTACCTCATGGTTCTGTGTGGATGCTCGTTTAAAAAATAAATACAATGGGCACCTGTTGATTTTGTCTGCCAAGCATCAGCTTCTTTTGGTGGCTGCACCTTAATTTCCTTTGCGGAAAACCACCCCACCCCACTCTATATCCTTTATCATCAGTCTCTGCCTACTCCATAGATAGAAACATCTTCCAAACCTGGCCAATCAGGCCCTTCTATTCCCATGACCACAATGATTGGTTGCAGCATAAGCATAAGACCAGGGCAGCCCAAGGAGAGTCAATCCTGAGGATAACTAAGAAGGTGAATGCTTTTTCTATTGAATTTCTAGTTGTAAGGATTATGCAAGCCTGCAGCTTCTGGGAACCAGTGAGTAGACGGCCTGTTTGAGATCCATCTAAGCCAGAGGGAGACAGACAAACATGCCTAAGCTATCAGTGACATGGTTTGCACCACTGACTCTAGGCAAGCCTGAAGCTAATTATACCCCTGCGCTCGGAGGTGAAGTGAAACAATATCTTCTAAATCACTTTTTAGTATTTATTTATTAATTCTTATTTCTGTTGTCCTTATTTACTTAAGTCAGTTTGAACTGGGTTTAGACCAGCCCATCAAAGGAATAATTAATAAGATGTATAGTTTGTGAAAACCACTTGACCAAATTAACTTGGCAATCCCTTTCAGCTCCAGGGACATCACTCAAGTGGCACCAGCTAAGTAAGAATGAGAATTAGAATTACTATTTTCCAGGTGCTAATATTCAAATCTATGGCTTGAAATTGCTGTGAACTTTTTCAATGCTTACTACTTCTTCTAAAAATAGATTTTCTTAACCCAACTCACTCACTTTACAGTTGGAAAAATGAGCCAGAGTGTGAATTCTAAATTCACGTTCCAAGATAGGAAGCTTATAAAATGTTGTATATGATCTGATTTTCAAAACATTTGAAGGGGCTGGTTTAGATAATAGAAATTCAGCTAAAGCAGGAGGCTGGAATTAATGCTTTCAAATTTATTTGCTTCTGATTCTAAAACTCATAACTATAAGCTATTTAAATGCATCATTGTTAGTATTCCAGGGACAGTCACAACAGTAAATAAGGTACATGCTCAGTGCAACGTGCCCTAATGGCATCTAAGGAAAAATATCTACCATTTTGCATTTCTTCTGAATGCTTGACTTAAAATGCTGAGTCTATGCACTGTGATACTTTTATTTTTCATATAACTTGTTATTTATACTAACAACTAAGTTTTTCATACATTTTGAAAATAGAATAAAAATATGCTCTTAAAAAGATGAGTCCCCAGCACCCACAAGCTACTGGCACAGAGAAGTTCTTCAAATACTTGCTGAATAAATGATGAATGAATAAATATGGCTGATACATATAATATGTTAAGGAACATAAAATATGTAATACAGACAGGAGAATGTACTTTCCTTTAGATACTAGTTACTACTTAGGTCAGAACTTCGGAACATGCATTTCCAGAAATACAAGTGCCAATGCAAGGTGTTAGACTTTAAAAAATGATAAGTTACTGTCAGCAAAAAGTTTGAAAAAATAAAGCTAAAGACATTTTTTTTTCTGACTTCTTAGAGCCTTTAATATGTCAGTATACATTATCAATATCCAAGAAGGGACAAAAAGGAAGCAGAGGTTTTTAGACATAATTATTCTAATTTGACCACCACATTTAATTTTGGTGTAATATCTTTTTTTTTTTTTTTTTTTTTTTTTTTTGAGACACAGCCTTGCTCTGTCGCCCAGGCTGGAGTGCAGTGGCACAATCTCGGCTCACTGCAAGCTCCACCTCCCGGGTTCACGCCATTCTCCTGCCTCAGCCTCACGAGTAGCTGGGACTACAGGCGCCTGCCACCACTCCTGGCTAATTTTTTTTTGTATTTTTAGTAGAGACGGGGTTTCACCGTGTTAGCCAGGATGGTCTCGATCTCCTGACCTCGTGATCTGCCAGCCTCGACCTCCCAAAGTGCTGAGATTACAGGCTTGAGCCACCACGCCCAGTCCAACATCTCTTATTAAGGACATTCTACAGCCCTCCCTTTAAGGAATGCTTCCAGGCTGTCACTGCCAGCATCCAGAAAAGGACCTGACTAATGCTTCCTTTGAGAAAAGCACCGTAAAGCATGGTAAAGTCAGAGAAATTTTTGCTTATGAGTTCAGATACATCATATAATTAACTGTTGTCATTTAATTGTTAATTTTTACCTTATTTCAGGTGTATTTACAGAAATGAGTGTGATGTT
Organism: Homo sapiens; assembly: GCF_000001405.40. NCBI lineage: Eukaryota > Metazoa > Chordata > Mammalia > Primates > Hominidae > Homo > Homo sapiens. The sequence continues at coordinate 167,659,940 of NC_000005.10, read as the reverse complement.
TTAAAAATGATTTAAATAAGTTCTAGGCACTGATATGCAACTTACTAATTTGAGAGGAAGAGGTAACATTATCTCATTCTTCTTCTGAAATTAATTATGGCAAACACATCATATGGGGAGGCAGATGTGCTTTTTGTATGAGTAGAGGAACCTTATACCCAGTCAGTAACTAGAAGGTACAATCGAACTCTACAAAAAGATTTTTTTTTCCCTGTGATCCCAGCAAAATAGCTTAGAGGAGCAGAAAACATTACCCTGGATGTAGAACTGATCTGCATAAATTCATCAAAGGACGATGCTGTGGATGCACAGATTATTTGAAAGAGGAAACATATCAAGCATTGCTTTAAAGGAATGCCTGAAATAAAACGAATAGTGTTTCAAAACTCATTGCAGTTCTACATTTCTTATGTATCAATAAAATGTGGATAAATGTATAAAGGAAAGTACTGAGTATTTCATTTGCTTCCTTGTATTCAACCACATTTTCAGTTATTCCTTATTGATTTATGATTTTATGAAAGCCCAGGGATATGTTTTCCTGCATATTTCTAGTTGACAATTGAAAGTGTATTTCATGTTTTGTAAAGGACATGTGGAATGCTTCCTTGCAAAGCTTCACTCTCCTTTAAAACAATACTTATAATAGGAGTTCAATACAACAACAAATAAGCATCATTTGTTTTCCTCTTTATCTTATCTTTGTTCCACAGGAATTTAAATGCAAATGTGAAATAGAATGAACACCAACAAATGCATCAACTGCTCCCGCAATATAATCATTGCAATCTATAAACCATAACAGGCTCTCTTGTGCTGGCTGCTTACTGTCACAGTATTTTGTGGTTGGAAATACATTCTGTGGGTGTTATTTTGCAACCAAATTTGAATAGGAACACTCCGAGGAATCATCCCAGTGTTTATTTGAAAAGAGTGTAATGTTTGCCTGTGCATGTATAGAATGGCTTTATTCTTTATTTAACTTATTTTCACAAAACAATTAAGGGAAATGTATATTTAGCATCAATAATTAAAACCAGGGAACTCAAAGGGAGGATTGATCTGCACAGCCTTATCTAGCAGAGCTTTCTCTCCTTGCTATTATTCTTGCTACATGATCTTTCTTACAGTCTCCTGGAACAATCCATTCTGAATTTGAATACAGGCCATTCCAAACATTAGTCCTTCTACCCTGAGAAATTACCCCATGTGCTATCCTAGGTCAATCAGTTACAATTTTTAATACCTTAGAAAGGGACCTAAGTGGATAGACTGGCTTCTAGACCAGTGGTTCTCAACTTTCTCAATTTTGGCATTGCTGTGGTCTGAATATCCTCCAAAAGTCATGGGTTGAAACTTATTCTTCACTGTGATAGCATTAAGAGGTGGGGGCCTTTAGGAGGTGATTAAGTCATAAGGGCAGAACTGCCATGAATGGGATTAAGATCTTGATAAAAGAGGCTTCACCACTTTGGGAGGCCGAGGTGGGAAGATCACCTGAGATCATAAGTTCGAAACCAGCCTGACCAACATTATGAAACCCCATCTCTACTAAAAATACAAAATTAGCTGGGCACGGTGGCACATGCCTGTAACGCCAGCTACTTGGGAGGCCGAGGCAGGAGAATAGCTTAAACCCTGGAGGTGGAGGTTGCAGTGACCCAAGATTGTGCATTACACTCCAGCCTGGGCGACAAGAGTGAAACTCGGTCTTAAAAAAAAAAAAAAAAGGCTTCGCACAGCATTTGGCCTTTCTGCCATCTGCCATGTGAGGACACAGCAAGAAGGTCCTCATCAGACCTCAAATGCTGTTGCTTTGATATTGAACATCCCAGCCTCCAGAAGTGAAATAAATTTCTGTTCTTTATAAATTACTCAGTCTCAGGAATTCTGTCATAACAGCACTAACAGACTAAGACAAGCATGCAATAACACTTTCTATGGCAACTTATTAAGCACAGACTTTCAGACTTCAAACCCAGAAAGTTAGGTTCAGTGCATCTGGAAGAGGACACAAACATCTGCATTTTTAATGTGCATTGCAGCTAATATAGATGCATGTGGCTCCATGCTCTGCTAGATCAGGGACTGGCAAACTGTGGCTAATGGGCCACATTTGGCCTACTATCTATTTTTTCTAAGATTTGTTGAAACACAGCAACCTCTATTTAAGATTATCTATGTCTACTTTCACCCAAAGTATAGCCTATGTTTACTCAGCCCAGTGAGAGAGTTTAGTAGTTGTAAGAAGTTATAAGAGAGACTATACAGTTAGCAAAGGCTAAAATATTTATTATTCTTTACAGAAAACGTTGGCCCACCTCTGCTCTAAATGACATTGTATTAAGCTTTATGCTTCAATAGCCACTGTGAAGGACAGTATGGAGATTACTAAAAAAACTACAAATAAAACTACCATATGATCCAGCAATCCCACTACTGGGCATTTATCCAAAGGAAAGGAAACTAGTGTATGGAAGAGACATTTGAACCCCGAATGCTTATTGCAGCACTGTTTGCAATAGCCAAGATAGGGAATCAACATAGGTGTCCACCAACAGATGAATGGATAAAGAAAATGTGGTGCATACACACAATAGAGTAGTATTCAGCCTCAAAAAAAGAATGAAATCCTGCCATTCATGGCAACATGGGTGGAACTGAAGGATATTATCTTGAGTGAAATAAGCCAGGAACAGAAAGTTAAACGTCGCATTCCATGTTCTCACTCATGTGAAAGATAAAAAACAAAAGCAAACAAAAACATGATCTCATAGAGATTAAAAGTAGAAGAGAGAATACCAGAGGCTGGGAAACATAGGGGAAGAAGGGGATAGGCAGAATTTGTTAAAGGACACAAAATAACAGCTATATAGGAAGAAATACGTTCAAGTGTTTTGTACCACTGGTAGGACTACAGTAAACAATAATATAGTATATAGCTTCAAATAGCTAGAAGGAAGATTTTGAATGTTTCCAATGCAAAAAAAAAAAAAAGATAAATCTTTGAGAAGATAGATACGTGAATTGCTCTGATTTGATCACTATACATTACATGTGTCAAAATATCACTATGTACCCTATAAATATGTATAACATTATGTGTTCATTAAAAATAAAGCTTTTAAAAGGCAAGAAAAGCCTTTTGATATTAAAGGAAAGGGCTGTTGATATATAATGTAACCAAGTTAACTGGGATTTCTTTAATTTGGAACCTGTAACAGAGTAAATATAAAATATGTTTTCCTTCACACAACTTGTTTTAAAAACGCATATATTTAATAAGTACAATAAAATGAAAATAAGATAAAATTCAAAAAAAAAGTTTTATGCTTCAGACTTAATGTACCAAAATACTATGATGTTATAATAAGTAAGTCATCTTCCCATGATGTTTACTTTCCTACCCTGGCCTAGTAGCCCTTACTTGACACGGTTCCTGGGTCCCTCATAAACTTCATTCTTTCCTTCTTCCACCATGCCTTTGCTCACTGTCCCAGGCATACTGGCCTTCTTTCTGGTCCTCAAACATGCCACGATTGTTCACACCTCAGGGACCTGCAAACAGGCCATGCGTGCTCATGCTTTCATCTTTTTAAAGATTCAATGAGTATTTATGTAACATTCACATGTGCTCAGGAGACATGCTAAGTCAGTGGCATCCACTGGTTCTTCTATGGTTCTTCTCTACCATTATGGCCCATCCCTTACCTCTGCTGCCCTTCCAATGAAGAAAGAGCATTGAATATGGAGTGTGCAAATTCTGGGATTTTTGTACCTTGTTAGAGTGTTAAAAGATGGCATTTATTTAAAGAGTCTCAAAGTTGCAGCACTTTATGGCCTGAGTATTCCCACTAGCAAGTAATTCTGGCTTCCACTGGTTCTGTGTCTTTCAGGATTAGCTGTATAATATACAAGGCCCGGCGCAATATGAAACTGCAGGTCTTTTGTTAACAAATTATTAACAGCTTCAAGAGAGTCAAGAGAGGACAGAAGGATGTTAACCTAAGTGTTCTGAGCACAGACAACTGCACAGGTCACAGATTCAAAAGGTGGCCCTGGCAGGCGGAAAAGAGCTAGTTTAGGATAGTATTTTGTGTTTAAAACTTGTGTCTTAGACATTCTCCATATCTACTGTCAAAAACGTTTCAACAAAACTCACAGTAAGATCAGTCCAATTTGTTTGCTGATAGATGACACCATCATATACTTTGATTAGCCAAATAGTTGAATTAACATACAGAAAGACCAAATATTATTTCCTACCAAATTCACCTACACATCTATGAATATTTTTGAAGCTTCATGCTTCCCAAATTTGAACAAATGTGATGTGACTGATACAGCAAAGTGTCATGATAAAATGATTTTGTGCATGTTCAACACAAGTTGGCAATTGGCCCAGAATATGTGTAAGTAGCACAGTTGAAGCCTTTCAGATTCTAACTGAACTAAAGTAATGGACATCTGTTGTTTGTATACAGTGTTGGTAGGACTTTCAATCAAGGTGGCCTGCTTTTCCTTGGTCAAGAGGTGGCCATATGATTATAACCAGGAATGAACCTATTGTCCTAGGATTTGGTCTTGACTAGAGTAATGCAATGACAAAAATTTAGTGGAATCATATATGGAAAAATTGTTGGTGTAGATTCATTTTATTTATGCCTTATTACTTCAACATATATTCCTGCTACCTAGTTCACTGGAGCTGTCTTGCTTCCTGTCTGTTCTAGTGTTTTTCTTTTGAACCTGTTCATTGATTTGATTCTGATATTTCTTTGTAAAACCTTTTCTCTATTTGAAGTCAGTTTCTGTTGCTTACAACCAGTGAACCAACACTAGCGCAAACAAGATGTGGCTATCGATCGTCTGTAATCTTAAATAACTAACACAATTGCTTATATAATGAAGACATAATGTTTATAACCTATTGCACTTATCGTGTAGGCTTCATTGCTTCAACTGTTTCTATAATTTATTTATTTAATACTTTTACTAATAATAGGTGCCAGCTTGGAAGCAACTTTACCACTGAGAATTCTATTGCAAAAGTAGCACATCTGTGCTGACAGGATAGCTCACTAGATTGACCTAGATAATGAGTTGTATAATTCAGGCTCCACAACAGACACTGAGCTATGAAAATATAAGTAAATGAGTGAAAATGAAATTCACTACCCCATATTCCATGTTATTTCTGGATGCATTGCTTAGCAGAGCTATTAGTTTGTCTTCTTGCTGGGAAATGGGATTTAGAGGTTTTTAGAGTAATACCATCACAAACCCTCCCTGCAATCACTGCATAATGCTAGATGACTCCAAAATGAAGTAAATGTAAAAAAAAAAAAAAGTGAATGAGATATGTCAGATGAGTATAATAGCAAAGAAAATGCAATTCTGGATCATCTCCATCCCCATGCAAAATGTGAAATTCTTTCGAGTTCGCCTAACACGTATTGAGTAGTTACTCCACTACCAGGATCAGAAATAGATAAAGCAAGTGAGGTGCCCAGGGAGCAAATGATAAGGAGGCACTCGCTCTCCAGACTGCTAAGTGCAGACTTGGCACCTGGAAGTGAGTGCTTCTTCATCGTGGACCCCTGTGCACCTCACTTGTCTCACTTTTGTTCAGGCCCTATTTACTGGGCCAATGAAGAGCTTTAAAGAGAAATTTTTGTCCATTCAAATCTGGTAGGAGGCAAGTTTACCAATAACTCTAAAATGAGGTTGAACAGCATACATGCCATAACTGAGAGACACAAAATGGTAGAGAAAAACCGCATTGAACTGGCAGTACCCATAAAGGTAGTAAAAAAAAAAAGTTAGTAAAAGTACTACTATTTGAAATTGGATGGCTGTATTTGTTTTCTCTCTCAGAAAACATGACTCAGACTGATGTAAGAAAAAAACAATATTGACTTATGTAACTAAAAATTCCAGAGGCATAGTGTGACTTGATTTGGAGGAGAGACAGTGTCAAGAATTGATTTCTTTTTTCTCTATCTCCTTTTAGATTGGCTCCATTCTCCAACAGACAAAGTGGATGTGGCAACCCCAGACCTTCCAACCTTTCAGCTGCAAGTTCAACAGGAATAAAGACTTCTTCCCAGTGGTTTCTTCAAAAGCCCTCAGATTAGCTGTTTGCCTAGCTTGTCACATGCCACCCCAGAACCAATCCCTATGGCCAGAGAAATGTAGCGTATTGATTGGTTTAGCCCTAGGTCACATGACCCACCTCTGGAAAAGGGCTCAATCCTCACTCAAACTGCTTTGGCTGAAGGCTTGGAAGAGATGGAGCCAAGGAAAGTAGACACTGGGGATGCAAAAATAAAAGTTCAATAAGTATGCCTTTAAATACGGACCAGATACTGAATATTAAAAACCAGCACATTCTGAAAAGAAGAAATATAAGCAAAAGAAAAAAAAAGTGGGAAATATGAGATAGTATTTAGAATTAGTAAGCTATCCAACTAAGGTCAAGTTCAAGAATATTTTAAGAGTTACTTAAATATATAGAGATAGCTAGGCATGGTAACTTGTGCCTGTAATTCCAGCTGCTCTGGAAGCCAAGGTGGGAGGATTGTCTTAAGCCCGGGACTTCAATGCTGCAGTGAGCTGTGATTTCACCCTTGCATTCCAGCCTGTGAAATAAAGGAGACCCCATCTCTAAGAAAAAGAAAAAGAAATAAATATATAAAATTACTTCCCTGTTACTCTATTTTCCATCACATTCTTTGCTTCTATTATTCCACTTAATACTTGTGTGTGAGTGTGTGTGTGTGTCTGTCTGGGTGCGTGTTTGGTCTCTCTTCTATTTTGCGAAGTTTCACGTTTGTATTGTTAGCATACCACTAGGATGTTGTATACTGTTGGTCCTCAATCATTTTTTGCTGAAAAAAATAAAGAGATGACTCAATAGAATAATATATGAAAAGCAGTAAGCTAGCCTAGAAAAGTAATCAGGGTCAGGTTGCATTAGACTCTGAAAGTCAAGCCAAAGAGTTGAGACTTTATCACATAGCTAATGTTGGGAGCCCAGACATCAAATGATCAGAGTTGTACTCCAGAAAATTAATCTTGTAGCTTTTTAACCTGTAATAAAAGCGAAAGAGGGAGAAGTTAGATGACTCAGAGGAATATTATTTCACTATTTCAGGTCCGAAAGACCTGATGTGAGTGACGACTGTGGCAGTAGAAATGCAAAGGGAAGTACAAATAAAGGCATACATAGAAAGGATAGCAATTAAGGAAAGAGAGACATGGAGAGGAGTCAAATGGAATGAGACTGTGAGGCTGGTTACCTGGAATAATAGGAATACTACTAACAGAAGTCAGAAGCTAGTTGCTTGGTGGTTTGGGGGAAGGATAGGATGAATTCCAGCTTTGACATACTGACCAGATATTCAAGGGGGATGATTCAAGGGGGATGTGTTCCCCTCACTGTTGCAAATGCAAGAAGGGACTGAGCACATATTTGGAGCTATAGATTTCTCCTCCTGAAGGCAGAAGAGGAGGAGGAGACTGAAGTTATAGAAGAGGATAAAAATAATAAAGAAGAAGAAAAAGCAAGGAATAAGCCCAAAATTATTGTTAAATGTGGTAATGAGATTGGATTTTATGCTAAATATAGTACAGTGAGAAACTATTGATAGTTTTTAAACAAAGGCATAATGTGATTTGATTTGCATTTTTAAAAGATGACTTTGGATGCCATAGAGAAAGTGCATTTAAGGTCAAGTAATTTCCAGTCCCAAAGATGAATCCATAATCCATGATTCCTCGCTCTTGGCATAGTCTAGTTTATCAAGGTCTTCTGTCTAGACCTTTACAACAAAAGAAAACCCTACCATTAAGAACTGAAAAGAAGAGCATAAGATAGCAAGGGAAAGAGAAAAAGGTTAGTGAAATAAGATCGTTAGTCCATGTCACAGCTGTAGAAATTAAGGCTAAGACAATTAAGTAGTGGGAGAGAGGTGGCAATGCTGAAAACCAAATATGCCATCTGCATTCTGTGCTCTTAATGACTGTGCTATACTCTCTTCTGGTGGGTTCAGTATATCTTGTTCAAGAAGTTGCAGTGACCAGAATTTCTTGGGGTATTGCATGTGATAGGTAAGAACTTGGAAGCTACGTGTGTTCAGAACAGAAAGAACCTCTTTGACCTATATTGGACCAAAGAGATTAGATAATTTGTCCAAGGTCACAAAAGCACTTAGAGTTAGAGCTGGACACACAGACCAGGCCTCCTGAGTCCCACAGGGCAGAGTGATATTCCCATTCTACCATGTAGCCTCTTTCTATGCTGATACTTAACAAGATCTTAAGTTAACCATTAGACTTGGAAGTAAAAACTAAATTGTGGAGTCACAACTTCTACATATGTCTCGGGTCATGTTACTTATTACTACAGGTACAAAATAGCATGCATGTGAGGAGAATCGGCACCAATAATGCACATTGACAAAAGAACATCCTCATTTTGTAGGAAATCATGTCATCCTACTTGAAGTGTGGCTCAAGAAAAAAAAAATGAGATGGATACTCCTCAGCAGCCTCCAAATAAGAAATACCTTGCACACTAATTTCCATTGTGCAGAACCTAGAAAGTAACTTAAAGAGTGAGTCAAGAGTCAGACAAATATTTTTTCTGAGGTTGAGTATCACTTACCTTTAATCATCATATATTCAGCCTTACACTTTGTTCTTACAGTTTTTGCCTAGCCGTGACATATACATGAATGGCAAATTCAAATAAGGATATTGATGCACAATGGAAATTAGTGTGCAAGGTAGTTCTTATTTGGAGACTGCTGAGGAGTATTCATCTAATTGTTTTTCTTCAGCCACACTTCAAGTAGGATGACATGATTTCCTATAAAATGAGGATGTTCTTTTACCAATGTGCAATATTGGTTCCTGTTCTCCTCACATGCACGCTATTTTGTACCTGTAGTAATAAGTAACATGATCCGAGACATATGTAGAAGTTGTGACTCCAGAATTTAGTTTTTACTTCCAAGTCTAATGGTTAGCTTTATCTTTCAACTTTTATACTGAAATCAAGAAACAGACTGTTTACATGCATTGGTTTATACTGGCTTGCCTTCACAGATCAGAGAGTGTTGAACCATAGACTCAAGTTCTATATAACAAGTCACAGAACATCCAGGTGACGGACTCATACAGCTCATACCTGATTTAGTTCTACTTGTATATTCACAGTAAAAATACTCGCCTTTTAATCTTCAGGGTCACTTCTGCTTCTCAAGTATCAGTTCAATGTTATTTTGTCTCCCAGTATCATCTGATTGTATTTTCTGCAGTTGTTGTTACTTGTAGTTATCTAAATACCCTTCATGTTGCCAAAGAAATGACTTCATTTTGTTTCAGCAACTATTACAAATAAAATCAACTGTATCATAATGAGTCTTAAAGCCCTAGTTAGCACTCTTCTAACAACCTTTCAAAGGTAGATCAGCATTAAAGATGTATTACGGGGATCTCATAAAAGTTAAATATATTTCCTAAGAACCTTAGCTGAATTAGGGGCAAAGCCAGAAAAAAAGAATTATTACCTCTCCTTTAGCCTTTAGGCCATGTTATAAGAACCGACACCCCATCAAACAACTTCATAAATGTGAAGAACCTAATTAGAAAATTAATTTCCAATTATGCATAAAGAACAAAGTATGCTAAATGAGGAAGGGACCACAGCAGGGAAAGTCAAAGCAAAGTGGAAATTCTTTCAGTTTCCTATAGAAGACTAAAGATATTGAGACCCAGGGAATGCAGCTTATTTTATGGAAAAAGACCCTGTGGCTTTATTTCTCTGGCCTTGGGAACTGACATTTTTACTTACAGAAGGTCAGGAAGTTCTAAAACTCTTTGAGGTACAGGCTGTCTATCTTCCAAAGTGGAGGTGGGAAGAGTGAAGCAACCACAATAACCACTTTATCAATCATTCTTTTCAATAAGTAATTCCAGAGTCTCAATGTTTGCATGCTTTATCTATATGGCTCAATTTCCATTTGAAAAACTAGAAAACATACATGCATAAGAATGCATATTTTATCTTTGAAATACTGAGCAGTACTCTGTTGCCAGAGACTTTGATATGAATCTACTACTTATAGGAGGAGGACAGGGGATTCACATATAAGAGGATCAAATATATCACATTTGCTTAGATACCTAATACATTGTTAGCACCCTCAAGGCACACAATGATGACAGTCTGAGTAACTAATGGACTCCTCAAAAACACATCCATATCACTCCTGTCTGTGTTTTCCAAGGGAACAGTCCCATTACAGCACCGCTTTAAATGGGTTTCATGTGCAATTAAAATGAAAATGCCATAATAGGCCATGACATAAGAAAAAAAGACAGTCTCAAAAGACTTCTGTGTGTGTGTGTGTTTTTCTTTTTCTGAGCACTGAAAATTATCTCTTTGTCAGCCCTGTGGTATGGTCACAGTGCAAGCGCCTTAGACTAGGGGAACGTGTTCATTAGGAGAATTCCATTACTAGGCAAGGTGTCAGGTGTGTAGCCTTGTTTGGAAGAGAAAAGAATGCTGAGTTCTCCAGCACCACCTGCCCATCAAACTCCTGAAGCATTTTGCAGCCTTTAAGGTCAACTTGGAGGATGTTAACTTGCACCAGCAAAGGCAAGGCAGGAGATTTGACTTCTAGCCCACTAATTTAATATAGTGCCTTACAAATCAAGGTTGTGTTGCAAGAGATGGTAGCACTACTCAGGTGTTGCTCAGAAAAAGTTCATGGTAGCATTAATCAGGTGTTGCTCAGAAAAGAGAGGTGGTGGTTTCAAATTAAGACCTAAAGAGGGAATTATTAAGCTACATACTCTTTGTGGTGTGACAGATGTTTTAACAATCTAATCCTAAAAGTCATCATTTCACTACCAATGAAACCACAGAGCTCTGAAGAGAAAAGAAGTCTGCTGCATCAGGATGGTACCATGGTAGCACAAGAGGATCAAAATCTGGGCCGCTACTAGGGAGGGGCCACAGACCGAGCCCTTCTCATTTGCCTGAGATGCTTCAGAAAGTTGCCTGAAAGTTCCTCAGAACAAAGTACAGGCATTTTGAGAACAGAGCCTTCAAACTGTTTCCTAGTCCCTCAAACCAATTTTGACTAGTAATTAACTGATTCCCAACATCAAAAGGTGAGATATCCCAGGAGGAGTCAAGGGAGATCAAAGCCTGTGGTGAAGGGTCCCCCTGCACCTCTTCCACCCTCCGCCCTCTTTCTCAGACAGACATCCATCCGACTGCAGCAAGAGAACAGTCGCATCGCTTCTCCCTGGAGACTGACATCAAACAGACTTCCAAATAACTTGCTGGAGTTTCCAGGCCCTGTTAGGAGAAAATGAGGAAGGTACGGGTACGTGACCATATGGTCCAGATTTTCTAGGATGATCTAGGTTTCTAATATTCAGTCCTGTTGTCCCCATCACTGGAACAGATCCCCAAACAGGGTCACTGTGGTAAAGAAAAACTGAGCAGTGCCTGACATATAGTGAGCAAAAGATAATTCCCTTCTTTTGCATATCAACAAATAGTAGAATTCCTAATTATTATATTTTTAAAAATATGTTTTCTGTGTGTATACTTTTTGTAATATAAAAAGAAAAAGCATTACACACTGGCTTTGCATAATGATAAACACCCATGTGTATTTGTCGAAGCCTTTGTCTAAGCCAGGTGCTGGGCATAAGCCTGACAAAGCTGGTCAGTCTCTGTGCAGAATGGGTCATTTCCCATGATGCTCTTACTAAGGCATTTTAATATGACATTCAAAAATGCACTTGATTAGTTCGGCTCACCATGCTTTCATCTATACCACTGCTTGGCTTCCGTGTTTTTCAACAAAGGTATTTGCACATAGGGATACATCGTAGCAAGTCCTGAGGATTGCTTTTTGGACAGAGAAAATCTGTACCCAAAGCTTTTACAGAGCTTGTGCCCCAGGCACTCTTTGAAACAAAACTTCAGGGCGACTTGCAGTGAAACTGTACCGAAAGATTGAACGTAGGAGATAAGTGAGAGGGAAAGTCAAGACAAGGCCAAAGTTTCTAAATTGGGAAGGGTTCTGCCAGTGTCTTGAGCTCAAACTATCTAAAACTGAACTTACAAGCACCTCCTACAGATGGGGGTCAGATCATGGGGCACCTCCAGGGCAGTCGTGCATTATTAATTTCCCTGTTCCTTGAGAATGTTTGCCCCTTGTGAAATAATTCAGTAAATGCTGAATGAATTCAGCACCTTCCCTTCGCAACATCCTCCTTTTCTTTTTTTTTGAGACTAAGTCTCTCTCTGTTGCCCGGGCTGGAGAGCAATGGCGCGATCTCGGCTCACTGCAACCTCTGCCTCCCGGGTTCAAGTGATTCTCCTGCCTCAGCCTCTCGAGTAGGTGGGACTACAGGCACTCACCACCACGCCCGGCTAATTTTTGTATTTTTAGTAGAGACGGGGTTTCACCATGTTGGTCAGGCTTATCTCGAACTCCCGACCTCAGGTGATGCACCTGCCTCAGCCTCCCAAAGTTCTGGGATTTACAGGCTTGAGCCACTGCGCCCGGCCATCCTCGTTTTCTTATGGTCCTGCTTTGTCAGTGGAGTCATCGTTCTCAACAGTCTCTGTCAATGGCTATTTTCTTGGATCTTTAACCCCACCGTGGATCCATCAACTCCACCAGCCTTCCCTCTGTCTGGTCGTTTCCAATGCTATTGTGCTAATACCTATATTTATGTCTCTTCTGCAGTCTACTTCTACCGTAATGTCTTAGGACTGGTTTCCTTATTCCAAGCCACCTTACATAGCATCATCAGAGTCATTTAAAGTCCCATCTTTGGTATTATCACGCCTCAACTCCTGGAACCCATGAGAGTTCCAAATTACCTACAAGAAATAAACAAGGTAGAGGAATTGTCCCACATCTCCAAAACCTATCCGGGTATTTAATGGCTTTTCAATTGCTGCGTTCTCTCCTTTCAACTGCGAACAACTGTTATCCTGCTTTAGAATTTGACCCAAACTTTCAGAAAAGATGGAAGGAGCAATTGGCTTGAGTTGAATTATAGCTGCGTCCTTTTCATGAGCCATCTGGCTTGCCGTAGTCTTTCCACTCCCAATTATACGCCTAATGCTGGGGTTGAATGTCTATGACTTTTAAAACTGTACTTGTGCTATTATTTTTCATTTGATAAGATGGGGGGACATATGGAATTCTCCCTATGTCCCCGGGTTGCTATCACAGCCAGTCTGGTTCACGCATTGATATTACCTGCCTAGCTGAATTTGTGTCTCTTGCCCCGTAGCGTTTGTCCAACTGAAGCAAAGCAGGATCGCCACCAAGAAAAAATTAGTCCCAACAACACCTTTTAGTACCAATTGTCTCATATTCCGAGGTTCAGCTTGGTTTCCTCAGAACTACCTCTTATATTTTTATATTTCTCTTTCCTTTTGGTATTTTAATGGAAATAACCGTATTTCCACAGTATTTAATAACATCTTTCATAAGTAAGCCAGTGCTTCAATAATGACCCATTTCACTGATACCATCAGAAAATAATACCCAAGGATAATAACACAAACCTTTTGCAGAAAAGAATAGTTACACAGTGAAACCCATTACCTGGAGTGACACAGGAAAGGATTTTTGTTGTTTTTCATATATATAAGAAAACAACATATATATATATATATATATATATATATATGAAAACAACATATATATATATATGAAAACAACATATATATATATGAAAACAACATATATATATAAAAACATATATATGCACATATATATGTGTGTGTGTATATATATATGTTGTGTTGGAGCAAGAGACACAAATTCAGGTGTGTACTGGAGCTAGGTGGGTAATATAAAGTGAACTAAGCTGGCTGTGACAGCAATCTGGGGACCTGGAGAGAATTCCATATTTATTCTCATTTTATTATAAGAAAAATAATAGCACAAGTGTAGTTTAAAAAGTAATAGACACTCAAGCCCAGCATTAGGCATATAATTAGGATTGGAAGAACTATGTTGTAATATATGCATTACATATACATATATAGGTGTGTGTATATATTTGCCTTTTGTTTTTCCTTTTACATATAGCTCCTTCAGAAATAACCTTTGTGAAAAGATAAAGATATCAAGGTTTGACTTTTTGACCTTTCCTTCTCCAAACTAACATTGATAGCATACTGTGAAACTCTTATTTACTGGATAACATCCACTGAAAGTCTTACGAAAAAGCATCCTTTAAAAGTGCTGTTGTCTATTTCCCTTTAATCCTTCATGTTTACTGAAAAAAAAAAAAAAGGAAAAACTAGAAAGAACAAATTCTCTGCTTTCTAAATTATATGTCCCTGACAAAGGGAAAGGAACACACAAGTGTTTCCTGTAAAGAACACGAAAGAAGCCTCCGAGATTGAGGGGGATTTTCTGGTGGATTTCCAAACTGGATTTTATTTTTGCTTGCTATGAGTCCCTGTGGCAACTCCACACCTTTCCTCCTCCACCCTTCCTTTGCGTTTGAACATTGCTTTTTCCTCACTTCTAGCACCTGTTTCCATCCCAACAAGCAATTTGCACTGATTCCTCCTTCACCCGGTCATGAGTCATTATAAGAGATTGGGAAAATGAAAATTTGATTGTGCTCGAGAAAAGACACCTGATGTTAGAATGTACTTCTCATCCTTTAGATTAATAGACTAAGTCCTAAGAGGTCACTTGACTTGTTAGTGTACAGTCATGCACCACATAATAATGCTTCAGTCAACTTCAGACCCCATGTATGACAGTAATCCCATGAAATTATAATACTATATTTTTACTGTACCTTTTCTGTGTTCAGATACAGAAATACTTCCCATTGTGTTTCAATTGCCTCCAGTATTCAGTACAATAACATAATAACATGCTGTACAGGTGTGCAGCCTAGGCTATCCCATACAGCCTAGGTGTGTAGTAGGCTATACCAGCTGGATACATGTAAGTACACTCGCATATTCCCACAATGATGAAATCACCAAATGACACATTTCTCAGAACATATTCTTGATGTTGAAAGATGCATGACTGTACGTCACTGAGTACCAGCAGGAGTGAAAGGGACAGGTCTTGTGCCTGTCATTTTGAAAGACAGTTTAGTATGATTGTTAAGAACCTGGGCTGTAAGATTACACAGAGCTAGACTTAAGTCCTGGCTCTGACACTCAGTTTTGTGATTTTGGACAAGTTACTTGACCTCTTTGAGCCTCAGTTTGTTCATCTGCCATATGGGAACAATGGTAGAAGCTATGTCATGAGGCGTTTATCTTATTCCAGCCTCGTAATGTCTGTAGCAGAGTGCCTGATACAAAATAGTAGCTACCATTTACTGAGTGCATGTCACCACCTTTACTATTATTGTTTTGTCATTACAAATCCACCTACTGACTCTTTTTCAACACTCTGGAATTGCTTGAGTCTTGAAATCCACACCATCCTTGGAAGGACTTCTCTCATCCCAGGGAAAGAAAGAAACATTTGCTACACTTAGAAGAGAAATTGGGAAAAGAGAAAAAGCCACATGTTATGTGAGAATAACAAGGGACTCAGGTTGCAAAGCACATTTATGCTGCTTCAGGAATTTCATGTGAAACACCTATTACCAAGTTTGTTTAATTTGCTTAGTTAATAAACTTTATAGGACCCATTTTTATTCAACATGTGTACTGGAAGCTTTTTTAATGTAATTTCTGAGTCCACAGTGGCATGCTTTCCCTGAACATTTATGACATTCCACAACTCAACTTCCAAAGAAGCCCATTATGAAAATAAATGGATCCAGGTGGATAATTTGAGAGGGTAACTATATTGCATGCAGCAAAGACAATATGTAAATATTGCAGCAATCCTTCTGATACAATATTAGAATATGAAAAAAATGAAATCAGCAAAACTATGCGATACTGAATTAATTTACTTCCAAATATTAAAAGTAATGAAGCTCCTACTTATTTTCAGATTCCTATGACTCATCTCAATACTATGATAATTTTTAACTCAATTGCATTACTTAACACGTATTTGCATCATAGCACCCTCCAAATGAATGCCTAGAACTTTGTTTTTTAACCACAGTTGGCCAGAAATTGCTTTTATATTTCCACCATTTAGGGTTCGAATAATCTATTGTGAAATTATTATTTCTAAGTGATGTAGGGAAGCCAACATTGACTTGTTTTCTTCACAAGATGAACAAATGAATGAGAAAGAAAGTGTAATCAGGCAAGTGTTCCTGTGTGATCCAGAGAACAAAACTTGACTCTGAATCTGGATCTTAGTCTTCACTGGAAATGTGTTACCCTTCAGTTTTTATAGAGGTATAAATAAATATTCATTTATTTATAGCCTTTTTTATTTTTAACAGAAGCAGTTGGAATATTATTCAGCAGTGGAAAAAAAATGAACCACTGACGCAGGCTACATCATGTTTAAACCACAAAAAAGATTACACCAAGTGAAATAATCTAGACACAAGCGACCGCATACTGCATGATTCCACTGGTAGGAAATATCCAGAAACGGCAAATTCCAGAAACGGCAAATTTATAGAGACAGGAAACAGATTAGTCATTGCCTAGGGCGGGGTGTGGGAATGAAGATTAACTATAAATGGTCATGAAGGATCTTACTGGGGGGACAAAAATGTTCTAAAACTGATTTGTGGTTATGGCATTTCAGTAAAGTTACCAAAAATCATTGAATTCTACCCTCAGATGGACAATTTTATGACATACAAAATATACCTCTATAAAACTGTTAGAAAACCCAGGAGCTGTAATTAATACATAGATGATTTAACAATAATTCCAGGGCAGGCTGTTTGAGAGAAGCTTTCTGCTGTGGTGTCATTACAAAGTCACATCCCCTTTGCAGTGAGCGGTGGGAACATCCGCTGAGCACTGTGGCATTGCTGTGTCCTGTGATTTACATGTAGGGGCAATTTCCAACACCCTCGTCCAAAGAAGACATGATCCCTGCACTGTTCCCCTTTCTCACATACTATATCCACACAAACATGCTAAGGGGGGCTTGGTGTCTATGCAGAAACTTAGCATGCACATGCAAATGATATCAAGATTAGTCCTTAATTTCTTCTCTGAGTTCACTGAGTTAAGCCAAGCATTGCATTTCCTCCACTGAAGAATTCTGTATGTCCAATCCTTTTACAATTCTACTACACTTTTTCTTTCTCTCTTAAGTCTTTTAAGCTCTGCTATGATGCTTGTATTATACTTCACAAGAATGATAAGAAACAATGGCTTCACATCGTATAGGTAATAAAGGCTCACAATAGATTCAGTTTAGTGCGCATGAGTGTGTGTGTGTATAAAAAAACAAATGTATATGTTTGTGTGTAGGAAGATGAGGAGGAGGAGTGAAAAGGAGTCTACTTGTGTGTCACATATATCTTTGGGATAGCTACTTAAGACTTTCTGTCAACTGTGTTCTGTTGTCTCAGCAGAACAGGGCTCATTTTGTAAATACCATCTATGCTGACACTTAAGTTGCTATATGTTGAGATCATGTCTCTCTTCTCACATTCATTGTCTCCTTCTCATTCCCTGAATACCTGATATTTCAGAAAAATGGAGAGTAAGCAAAGAGAAAAAGCCTTAAAGAGAACTATTTGCTGCTTTTTACCTAAAGGAGGATGAAAATGGGAAGCCACCAGTAAGTGAGTGTTTATATATATATATACATATTTTTTTTTTTTTTTTGAGACAGCGTCTCACTCTGTTGCCCAGGCTGGAGTGCAGTGGCATGATCTTGGCTCACTGCAACCTCCGCCTCCTGGGTTCAAGCGAATCTCCTGCCTCAGCCTCCAGAGTAGCTAGGATTACAGGCACGCACCACCATGCCTGGCTAATTTTTGTATTTTTAGTAGAAACGGGGTTTCACCATGTTGGTCAGGCTGGTCTCGAACTCCTGACCTCATGATTCGCCCACCTCGGCATCCCAAAGTGCTAGGATTACAGGCATGAGCCACCACGCTCTGCCGTGAGTGTTATTTTTGTGCCAGGCATGGTGGTATGTTAGTGGGTCCTTTAGATGCATTTTTATTTAGTCTTTGCAACAATTCTCTGAAGCAGGTTTTATAATTCCCTTTTTACTGACGAGGAAGCTGAAGCTCAGAGAAAGTTAACTAACTAGCCCAGGTTCAGTGAGTTCTAAGTGAAGTGGACAGATTTGACTCTAATACCTATTTGTTTCATGATTAAAATTGATTTTGATGCTCAGTAACTTTTACTGTCTTTGTAAGATTTAGTAAGCCATTACAGCCGTACATTCTGTTCCCTTGTCAATTCCAGAAGGATTGTTTGAGAAATGCAACAAGAATTCTGGGAGAAAACACCAGTGACCATCTTTTCACAAAAACCAAATGTGGTTTTTGCTGTTGTTTTTCCTGAACCATCTTGATAAGTTCCTTACTTCCTCACTGAACTGCCTAATTAGAAGGAGTGTCTTTGTAATTATAATGACCTCCTTCTGCAATCAGCCATGATATATAGGTGATAAATTATTGGTCTCCCATCTCATTATAGATAACTACTCCCCGTGGTTTATTTGGTTCTGCGAGCCTTCTGCCATGAAAATAAGTAGGCGACACGTATTGATGCAATTTTAATTTTTTAGATTTTGAGGCAGTATTAACTTTTAGGTTTTGCAATGAACTTCTATAAACATGCATGGACACAGTAAGGCTTCATTAATTACAAAAGTTATTTTGTTTGCCTTATTCAATCATATAAGGCAAAAGTTCTCAAACTTGAGTGGGCATCAGAATTCCCTGGAGGGCTTGATAAAACACGGATTGTTTAGCTGACTCCTAGGGTTTCCACTTCAGCAGGTCTGAGGTCGGTCAGGATTTTTGCATTTTTGACAAGTTTTCAGGTGGTGGTGATATGCTGATGTGAGGACCACTCTTTGAGAACCACTAAGCTTAAGAGAAAGATATATATATATATATATATATATATATATATATATATATATATATGGATATATATATATATATGGATATATATATTTCTATTTCTATTTTTGTTTCTATTTCTCTATAGGTAACACTGCCTTATGTGATATCTATGGAATTTCAGTGTCAGAATCTATTTAAAAGTGTACGTAACAAGAATTAATTTCTGCTTTATACTGTGTTACTAAGTGGTATCCGGGTCTTAATTATTATCATTGCAAGGTATATATTTCCAGTTTACCAAATAATTTTTTTTTTTTTTTTTGAGATGGAGTTTCGCTCTCGTTTACCCAGGCTGAAGTGCAGTGGTATGATCTCGGCTCACTGCAACCTCCACGTCATGGGTTTAAGCAATTCTCCTGCCTCAGCCTCCCGAGTAGCTGGAATTACAGGCATGTGCCACCACACCTGGCTAATTTTGTATTTTTAGTTAGAGGCAGGGTTTTGCCATGTTGGCCAGGCTGGTCTTGAACTCCTGACCTCAGGTGATCCACCTGCCTCGGCCTCCCAAAGTGCTGGGATTACAGGCATGAACCACCGCGCCCGGCCATACCAAGCAAATCTGCAATTTGTTTTGTTACTTCGTTCTCACAATCACTTGCCTGGTGGGGCACAGCTAGTATATGACTACTATCCATATTAGAAACGAGATAACCAAAGTCCGGGGAGGTTACGTGACTTGTCCATATAGCTAGAAAGAATTGAAGTTGGTAGGGTTTTGATTCTCAAAATCTTTAAATAGTGCCCAAGTACATATTGTGTGTAAACATATATCTCAACAACCACAACCAGACAGATTGAAAAAAAGTGAAGGCAGGCAGCAGGATGACCAGTGCATTGGACCAGGAGTCAGGAAGCTTGGGACATAATTTCCTAGAACTGCACTATCAGGCTGTGTCATTTTGGTGACAAATCATAGATGCAAATATATGTCAGTTTACTCATCTATAAACTGAGTGGTAGATCAGACAGCTGACATTCCTTCCTGCTCCAGCTATCCATTCAACAAATCATTCATTGTAAAAATATTCATTAAGAATTTACCATGTACCAGGCACTGTTTTAGGAAAACAGTGAAGCTTAGAGTCTAGGTGTAAGAAAGAGGAGTGAATAAACCAACTAGCTCATTTAAGAGAGTGATGGGTTTTTTTTAAAACAATAAGATTGGGTGAGATGATAGAGAATGGCTGGCTAAAGCTCTATTGCAGCTAAAAGTCAAGGTTTTCCCTGATGAAGTGATATCTGAGTGGACCCCTTTTTGATGATAAAAGGGAGCCATCTACATAAAATGATGGGAAAAGGATATTCCAGGCATAACTGTCCTAAGTTCAAAGACCCTATGATATAAACCAGCTTGGCCTTTTTGTGAAGCAGGAAGAAGGTCAGTATTCTGAAGCCAATTGTGTAGCAAGTGGTAAGAGACAAAGTCAGAATGGTATTTGAAAGCCATGATAAGAACTCGGAGTTCTTTAAGCAGGGAATGACATGACCTGATTTAGGCTAAGATGACTCATTTGCTTCATGGGTATTGAATAAGTGTATAAGAAATGAGCATACACACACATAAAATCCTATTCCAAAAATTTTGACCTTTAAATGAATGTTTTCTCCTGGTTTATTTAGCATATGAATAAGGAAATACAAATTAATACACCAGCCAAAATTGTGTCTTCACCATTGATACTTTAAGGATATTACTAAGTATTATAAACATGGGCAACTCAAATAATAATTAGGAGGAAAATCATATGGAAATTACTAACAAACTCATTAGAGTGTGCTTAATTATTGCAGTGAAGGGTTAGCAAGAGGATTGGAGCTTACCGAATAAATCTGTTTGCACATGGATTGATATGCTTGTATCATAATTACTCACAGCTGTTGGACTTTCTAAGTTTATTAGGAACTTAATTCCAAAACTTTCATGCTGAAAAGATTTTCTGAGAGACAAGTGTTAGCCCAGTGCCAGTGATGTGAGCAAGGAGTATTTTTCTAGCAATTCTTTTCAGCGATTACTTAGAGTAACTACAGATCTCCTCATTATACATAATGAAGTGGATCTGCTCATTTTTGATTTTCACACACTTTGCAGAAAGAGCAAAGCCTCCTGATTGAAACTGCTTGAGTCCTGTGATGAGAAGTTGTGTGTAATATGTATTCCAATTACAAAACGATCTCAGAGAAAAGGCTTGATGCCTGATGTATTCATTTGAAAGCAATTCGTGGCTAAATTGATCTTTAAATAATCTATCTATATGCTTGTTAATTTAATAGATCAACTGACATCAGGGGAATACAGGAATGCTTCATCCTTCACACTCTGTCTTCTAATCCTTCTTGGTAATTCATTTATTATACTTTATAAATTAGAAGAAATGTACAGGTTCCCTGAAATACAGCTGAAGCTCAGCCCAGTAGTTTTCTCTTACTCACCATCAATCAGAAAATTAATACTGTGCTTGGGCTAGTAATTTTGATCTCAGTCTAATTTTTGGTCTATTTAACTGATAGCTGCTGTCCAGACTTGGGGTGCTATTAACATAAATTAAGTGATTATTTGTGCCTAGGTGATGTCCTTTGTTCCTAAAGCTCCTTTTCAGATCAGCTTTTGGTAAGTGCTAAGATTATATGTGGACAATTAAAGAAAGAAAATAATAACTTGAGAGTCAAACTGTTATCCTGGTCAATGAATTTTCCAGTGTGAATGAATGCATGTGCACTTGTGTATGCATGCCCCCTGACACACACACACACACACACACACACACACACACACACACACACACACACACACCTGCCCTGTTCTGTCTTTATAGTCCAAACCATAGAACTTTATAATCTGGCCTTTGTATTCTTATTGCCATATACCCTACATGCCAGACTCCCAAATTCTAATATTTTTTTTTTTTTACTTTAAGTTCTGGGATACATGTGCTGAAAATGCAGGTTTGTTATGTAGGTATACATGTGCTATGGTGGTTTGCTGCACCTATTAAACCGTCATCTAGGTTTTAAGCTCCTCATGCATTAGGTATTTGTCCTAATGCTTTCCCTCCCCTTTCCCCCAACCCACAATAGGCCCCGGTGTGTGATGTTCCCCTCCCTGTGTCTATGTGTTCTCATTGTTCAGCTCCCACTTATGAGTGAGAACATGCAGTGTTTGGTTTTCTGTTCCTGTGTTAATTTGCTGATGGTTTCCAGCTTCATCCATGTCCCTGCAAAGGACATGAACTCATTCTTTTTATGGCTGCATAGTATTCCATGGTGTATATGTGCCACATTTTCTTTATGCAGTCTATCATTGATGGGCATTGGGGTTGGTTCCAAGTCTTTGCTATTGCAAATTGTGCTGCAATAAACATATGTGTGCATGTGTCTTTATAGCAGAATAATTTATAATCCTTTGGGTATATACCAATAATGGGATTGCTGGGTCAAATGGTCTAAATTCTAATTTTTTTATACTTACTTTGCATTATCATATATCCATGCCTATACCCATTTCATTCCTCCTCCCTGGAATGCATTTTCTTACTTGAATTGAAATCCTACCCAACCTTCAAGGACCAAATCATATTTTTTTCGATAAACAGGCTTGCTTTACTTCATCCCAAGCAAAGTTAATATGTAAATAATTCTCTTTTTAATACTAGCATATTATTTCTTGTCAATTAAAATACAGATAGCAACAGCAACAATCATAGTGATAGCAAACACATCGTTCTTAGTGTCAAGTGCTGTTCTAAGTTCTTTGCATATTATCAGTTCATTTAACATTTACAGTAGCCGTATTTAAATCATAGATGATTTTGTTTCCCCCATATCGTGCATGAGCAACAGAGGCAATGAAAGATCAAATAATTTGTTCTAGGTCACTCAGATAACTCAGATTCTAAGAGAGCCGAGCCACATTTTCTGGGTTCTGAGTCCAGCCCGTTTCTTAGCTCCCACACTGTGACACAATGTCAACTTGCAGGGTACTTAAAAGCATGAGAGAAAATCTAAAGGGACTAGCATAGGGCCTCAAACATAGCTCTAGAAGTTGTGGTTATTTTATTAGTATGTACAATACAATTATTTTAAAACAAATTATAAGTAATGATTAATCAATGTAATAGGATATCATTGGTATTCTTATCAAATGTCAGTCTATCATTTGAAGTTGATACCCTGTAAGTCAGCAATCACAACTGTTATGCATGAGTCTACAGCTGACATACATGACTGTGGTGCAAAATAAGCATTCAATAAATGTTAAGTAAATGAATGGATGAAATGAATGAGCAAACTAATCCAAGAAGCTTCTAGATGGGCTCTTTTACCTTTCCTCCATGGTTCTCTGAGGAACAGTGCTAAATCCTTCAAAAATCAGACAAATATTAAGCATGGATTAAATCTACTTTTCCACTTCCATTTCAATGAGTTATTATTTAAAATAAAACTCGCAAGGCAATATTTTTAAAAGTCTACATCCCGAAGTAAAACATGGAAATTATCTGATTAATGCAGATAGCCACTCACCAATTTATATTCTTGAACTCAAGAGAATCATTTAGCTAATTGTATAGGTGATTATTATGCTTTTCACAGAAGTGTGTATCATGCATTTAGAATTTTTAAATTGCATCTCCAAAAGAATCCTCTTAAATCTAATTATTAATACTTAGAATGTTCCATAATCAGCTAAAAGATTTATTATTTCTTTATAGAAAAAATGCTTTTAAATATGTGAAAATCCTCTCGTGAGAAGGTGAACTAAACATTTTAAAAATAATTAAGTAGACTTTTTGACTTTTATTTTTAAGTAGGCTAGAAACATATTAAAATAACTGGTCAATGAACAAATAAAAACAAAAACAAAAGAACAACAACAAAAACTTCCTCCTTATGTGTTTCTTGCCAAGTATATAAAGTTAAGTGTGTGATCTTAAGAAAAGACTGGGCCGGGCGCTGTGACTCACGCCTGTAATCCCAGTGCTTTGGGAGGCCGAGGCGGGTGGATCACGAGGTCAGGAGATCGAGACCATCCTGGCTAAAACGGTGAAACCCCGTCTCTACTAAAAATACAAAAAATTAGCTGGGCGTGGTGGCAGGCGCCTGTAGTCCCAGCTACTAGGGAGGCTGAGGCAGGAGAATGGCGTGAACCCGGGAGGCGGAGCTTGCAGTGAGCCGAGATAGCGCCATTGCACTCCATCCTGGGCGACAGAGCGAGACTCCGTCTCAAAAAAAAAAAAAAAAAAAAAAAAAAAAAGACTGTACTGATCATAGCCAGATTCCTTGTATTTAGGGAAATTAGGATGATATTTCAGAGAATGTTTTGAGACAAAGTGGCAATACAGCTATTGAGTTTGGCTAATGGCTGAAATGCTTATTTACTATTGTGACTGGTGATTGGTTTAACTTTGTAAGTGGTACCTTTCTGAGTTTAGTTTATTGAAAATGCAGATACACCCCTGGAAAACATTCTCAGGAAGAATAAAAAAGAAAAGAAAGAAAAAGAAAAAAGAAAGGTGGGCAGGAGAGAGACAGGGAGAGAAGGAAAAAACAAACTGTGGTTTGCTACTCTCAGTAGTCTTACGTAGATACAATAGAAAAATTAGTTTTCAGAACTCTATCAGTAGTCTGAAACTTATATGTATTCATATCCATTTGTAAAGGCACAAACCCACATTATCTGTATACTTATTTGTAAATTATATATCTCTGTATATAGATTATATACACATATTATTATTGCATGTGCTATTAAAAGTACACAACATTTTACAAGGATGTGATAAATGAAAAGTTCAATAGCTCCTTCCTGCACCACATTTGAGAACCACTGCTCTAGATAATGGCAAAGTCAATATTTAAGCCTGTAGGGGTACCCAGTTGAGACTTCAACATGCTAGGATCTCATAACGTTCTGATGATCTACCAAAAACTTAACCATGGACCCATCAACTGAAAATCAATGCTTAAATTTTTAGTTATGTTCATGAATACTTATTTTCATGAAATTATCCCTGAATGTCCTCTAAAACCTTTCCTCTCCAATTCCACTCATCTCTATGATTGTAGCCATAAAAAAAGTAAAGAAAAGGTTTTTGAGGACAAATGAATGACTGCTCTGGGTAGACTGAAGGTTTGTTTAACAGTTTCACCCTGGCTGAGTAAGCTAGGGAACTAAGGGGATTCAGATGGGATTGCTTAAGCTTAAGTACGTGGTTAAAAAAAAAAAAGAAGCTTTATTTACAGAGCCATCAATTTTCTTTATGGAGCTGGTACTGCAGAGAGAACATTGGACTATGAATCAAAAATGTGAGTCCTAGCACCAGCAGTGGTTTCTGCATCTAAGTAGTTGAATGACCTTGATTGAGTCATTTAACTTTTCTGAGTCTCTCTCTCAAAAAAAAAAAAAAAATCAGTTAAGTTCTTCAGATATTTATGGAGCACCTTCTTTGTGCTTGATATAACAAGAAATACTAACGTAAATAACTGCAATTCTTTTAAGTACACCCTAAAACTACAAATAGAGAATTCCTAACTTTCTAGAACTCTTCTCTAACCTTATGGAATTTTACAATTGAACTTACTTGCAAATTCTATGCCAAATATCAGAAGAATTCCTTGCTTGTGATTGCAAACTGGACATGCTTCCTGGGGCTATATTGGAATGCAGTCACTGGCCAAACAGTCATTACAAAACTGTTTCTTAAAAACAGAAACAAAAGCCATGGTTTTTAAGTTCATTGAATCATGAGCATCACTTGTTGAGATTTTTTGAATCCCTTGTCCCAACCCTGCAGTTTATGATTCAGTACATCTTAGCCGCAAATTTGTTCCCAAGCCCAAGTTTTCCACAACTAATTTAAAGAGGAAGCACACACAGTTACAACACCCATGGTATTCATAATACAGAAACAAACCAGTTGCTCAGGAAACGCCCAACCATTCCTGATAACAGAAGGAAATTTCTCTCTTGGGTTTGAACCAATGAACCAAAGCAAAATGGCTGTTGGTAATAAAAAATACTGCCCTTCACATAGGGACTGCAAAGTAATCTGCTACATTCTTTAAGATATATTTCCAGGCACAGTTTTCTATTGATTAATTTCTTTTGTAGAATTGCACCTATATAGGAGGGTATAGTGCCTGGGTCACATAAGGTGATTAGTCAATATTATTATAAAGATGGAAGGAAAAAAAGAAAAGAGGGAGAAAGGGAGGAAGGGAAAAGAGGGCTACAACTAATCTGTTAGGTTGATTGCTTCCACCAATTCAGTTCTGCTTTAGAAAGATCCCTTAAGCTAACACTTGGAGAGCTTTAGATGAAACTCTACCTGATATTATGAAGTAAAATTAGCTTGGATTAAATCCAGCATTTGCCATGTGTTTTCAAGAATATTTTGACTGATTTGCTCCAATTATCCCTGAATGTCTTCTGAAAATTTTCCTCTCCAAATTCCACTCCGTTTTCAAGGGCTAATTCAAGTCTTAATTTTTTTTTTCTGGAAGCCTGTGGCAACTATTCTAACCTTAATCATTTATTCTTCTCAAAACTTTGAACTTGCAAGTGTTGACAAGTATATCTTGTCAACCTGAAAGGAATGTAAACTCCTTGAACAGAGGGGCCATGTCTGATAAATCTATGTGCCTCTGAGTTACTTAGCGAACCTCCTCAGGTTCTGCATTGTTAGCTTCGCTGTGGCTGTATTTACTACCAACTCCTGGATCTCAAATATTTAACTCTATCTTCTAACTTAAGCCACTGCCTCCCAGACATCTCCATATAGATATATCAGCAATACTTCAAACTCAAAACATCCAAAATTAAACTTTCTCATAGATTTGCTCTTTCACTGATGTTGTTTAGTACAAAATCTAGGAGTCTTGCAAGTGTTCTCAATTTCTCCCTCTGCTACTCCTTACTCATAACATATCAACTCTGTTCATTTTACTTCAGAAAATGATACGAAATCATGACAGAGAAACCACACTTTAAAGCAATAAAACATGTTTGCCAAGTCATCTAAACTTATGTTTGTTTGTTTGTGTTTTATTTTTGGCAGTGTGATCGAGAGCAGGGCATTTCCTTTCATGGAGTATTTTTTTTAAGATATGTTGAATAAAAATAGCTACATAGTGCCTACTTTGTGCCAGGTACTGTGCTGGGTACTAAAGCTACCTCACACACACACATGTTCCATGTATGTGCATGGTGTGTGTGCGTGAATTTTCCTAGTGTGTATACCAGTCACCTATACTGGTGTGCTCCAAATGAAGTCCAAAGTAAAGCAACAAAATAAACAAACTGCTTTGAAATTAACGGGTAAAAAACTTAATCGCTGTGGGATTCACAATTGACTTATGTCTCTCAACTGGGTAGATTTAAATATGGCGGCAATGGCTGCCTTAGAAATATGTATTAAAGAGCTGATTTAATATGTAGTGCTGAGTAGAATTATTGATTTTTCCAGTGTCACTTTGGCATTTTATTATATTTATATGTATTCACATATTTTGTAATAGACTAATTTATTCCCAAGGCATGTAGAACAATTTTCTCTAAGAACTTCCTTTTTCTTGAGGGGTAACCTGATATATTTGGATCCAAGATGCTTTGCTCCATAGACACTATCATGGCCCATGATAACTTGTAATACTTATGGGACAGACTTTCCATGTCAAGCCCAACTCAACAGGAAGCCTCTACAGCCCTCTCAGGTGGGCCCTACTGGGTCGCTGAGAGGCTGGGTAAAAAGCAACATCTACAGGGACTGTTTAAAACCCCCACAGGATTGCTGCAGATGTGAGATGGCAGAATCAGACCCACTGACATTCACTTTCTTGGGGCAGTGAACATACCACCAGGATCAAGAAGTTTGGTATTTGCTGACTAGGTTCTAGGTGCCAGGCATCATGGCAGGGGCTGAGAGAATAACAGCGACCAAAACTGACCCAATTCCTGACCTCACAGTGCTCACAATCAAGAGAGAGGGGCAAATAAATAATCAAAGACATAATCATAATCCACAATCTGGGCTATGATTAAAAAGGGTAAAGTATTTATGAGAGTGTGTGGCAGGTGTCCTAGCCTTGCCTGAGGGTGGGGAGTCGAGGGGTCAGGGAGGGCTTTTCTAAGGAAGTGAAGTTTAAAGCAACATTTGCAAAATAAATAGAATAGGCAAAGCCCAGGGGGGTGAGGTCTAGTGAGAGCATGCTTAGAGGAAGTGAGGTGAGTCTTGTGTGGAACAGTAGTAGGAATATGGTACATGCTCAGCGACAGCTCATTTCTGTGCTTTTAAGAACTCCACATTGGAGGAGCAGTCATGAGTTCGCTCACATTCCATGCTAAGGCCTGCACGACTTACATAAGCTGGCCCCTGCCTGCACCAGCTACTCTACCCACTGCTCCTTACTCCCTATGCTTCAGCCACATCCAACTTCTATTTCTGGACACGCCCAACAGGTTCTATACTAAGACCTTCATTGTAGCTATTTTCTCTGCCGAGAACACTCCAGGTCTTTATATGGCTGGCACCAAGTTCAAGCCTTGGCTCAAATGTCACACTCTCAGTGAGTGTGCTGTACCCAGACCATCTGCCGTGAAATAGCCCCATTTGCCTGCCTCTCTTCGTTTTATTATTTCATTATCTTTTTTTATCACAGCTCAAATCACTAGCTGAAGTAATTGTGTTTACTTATCGCCAAGCTTACTGACTTTTTTTTTCTCAACTGTAATGCAAGCGACAAGAGGGCAGGGATCTCATCTTTCTTAAATCTTAAACTGCCACGAGTTCGATTCCAGATTCAGCTGTGGCAGGCCCAAAGGCACAAGCATATCGCACACGGTAGACACTCAATGTATAACTGCCAAATGAATGAATGGATATATATAACAACCATATATCCTACAATAGAGGAACAATCTCTGCCAGTGGTCCAAAACCCGGTTGGGTACATGAGGATACTGGGGAGCTCTTTCCTAGGTGGACTGAAAATAAATCAATCTTCTGTATAATTTTGCCTCAGGTGACAATTTCCCACTCTGGGGCTTTCCCAGGAGAGAAAAGCTATGCACAGATATAGCTCCAAGTATCTCTCCTGTGTTAATTTCCCTTCTGAGTAGTGACACTCTTAGATGTTATATTCCTAGATTACTGATCCAGTTTGGCTTTAAATATATTATAAATGGTTATTGCATTTTAAAGAATAAATGCTTTGAGAAATATGGGAGTTCCACTGGAGACTTTTTTGAGATCAACAGTCATAAAAATCACCATATATTGCCCAGACCCTCAAAATCCCTCAAAGGAGTGTATATAACTCCCCCCTTATTTGCGGCAATTTCACTTCGTGCAGTTTCAGTTACCTGTGCTCAATAGTGGTCTGAAAATACTAAATGAAAAATTCGAAAAATAAGCAGTTTATAAGCTTTAAATTGTGTAACATTATTATGAATCCTGTGATAAAATCCCATGCTGTCCTGCCTCATCCCACTGCAGAGGTGGGTCATCCCTTCATCCAGCATATCCAAGCTGCTAATGCTTTCCACCCATCTGTCAGGTAGTAGCCATCTCAGTTACCAGATCCACTGTAGGGTGTCACAGTGCTTGTGTTCAGGTAACCCTATTCTACCTGATAATGGCCCCAAAGCACAAGAGTTGTGATGCTGGTAATTCGGATATGCCAAAAGAAGCCATAAAGTGTTTCTTCTAAGTAAAAAAGTAAAAGTGCTCCACTTAATAACGGAAAAAAAAAAAAGGATGCTGAGGCTGCTAAGACGTAAGGTAAGAATAATTCTATCCATAAAATTATGAAGAAGAAAAAAGAAATATGTGCATTGTACATATAGGGTTTGGTACTGTCCATTTCCCGCACCCACTGGAAGTCTTGAAACGTATTTCCTGAGGGTAAGGGAGGACTGCTCTACTTGGATTTCCCACAGCATTGTTCCATTTCCCCTCTTCCTCTTTCTCCTCCTCTTCCTCCTCTTTCCCCCCTCCTCCTCCTCCTTCTCCTTCTTTCTACTAGATAATGAATCACGCAACAAGATACAACAAGCAGTGCCTTTCTGGGTGATTATAACACACTCTGGGTGGTGTCATAAGGCACAAGAAGTGCAATAATTTCCTCAAATCCCAGGGAGGTGTATTACTTTAATGTAGTTGACTCTCTCTATAACACTGAGAAAACCAAACATATGTATTTACTGGACACTACAAGGTGAGTATGGAATGTTATTATCACTCCATCAGTAAGCCTTGAAAGTGTTCAGAGTTTGAAAACACTATCTTGCTTTATGTTCTAGTGTGAAGTCAATTCATGTACCTGCTCAGTCCTGGATTTTCTATGAATTATTTCAACTGTTTTGGTCCAGAGAGACAGTGATATAAAAATAATCAATTGGAAAATATGTACCAACATGGCATTGTGCATGAGATTTAAGTGTACAAGTTTTATAGACATAATAAATAAGTATTAATGAATAGCATTTACAGAGCCTTTCAAACATGCCAAGTAGTTTATCATGGATTATCTCATTTAATCTTCAGAAAAACCCTAGGAAGTAAGCACTATTAATAGCCTCATTTTACAGAAAAGAAAACCGAGGCATGTAGACATTAAGAAATTCACCTAATGTCACAGATCTAGAAAGTAGTAAACCAGGATTTGAACCTAGGTCTCTCTTTTTCTTCTAGAAGTCAAAATGTTAACACTAAACCTTTTGACCTGGTTCAACGTCTTGTTCTACCACACATATGCTATGAAACCTTGGATTTCTAAGCCCAACTTTTCTAATGTGGAAAATGGTGATGATAACAGAATTCACTTCAAAGATTGTTTGGGGGTTAATATAGCTTAGTACCTGACTTACAGTAAGCACTTAATAAATTATGATAATTATCATTAATTTATGTAAGGCTCTATTCCAGATTTGACTGTGGCCAAAGGGACAAGCTTCTTTTAGGTGGTTGCCAATGTATTCGGAAAACAATGCAAGCAATACACAGCTAAAAAGTCAATGAGTAATAAAGAAAGTAAGAATGAATGGTCAACTGCAGAATATTAGCAATAGTAACACTGTGCTAAAGTCTTTCTTTATCCTCAACTGCAAGGTATTCTTAAAAGGCAGGTATTACCTTATGCTTACAAATGAAACGGAAGACAGAGAGGTTATTTGTCCAAAAGTATAAAATTATCAAGTATTACAGGCAGGATTTGGATCAGGCCAGCTCATCCTAAGTCCCACATTCTCTATACCACCTTGTACTGTGTCATCCTGATTTCCACTACCATAGGAACTCAGAGGTGGAGGGAATCAGTGGCTATGACAGGAGAGAAAGGAAGAGGTACTGACAGGGGCCTGTAATATAGTTTTAGGAGGTAGAACACTATCACAGTAAGAGAAATCCCTGATCATGAAGAAGGAGGAGTCAACATACAAAGCATAATACCACGAGGGAAGAGAATGGAACCGAATGTTGAAAATGTGAGGAAAACTAGACAACAGAGGACCTTCAACGTTATGCTGTGGCCTCTGGGTCACACCTATCAGGAATTGAAATAACTGGAGATTTTTGAATAGGGCAGGGAGAATATGACCACAATGTCTTTGGAATGATCCACATAACAGGAACGTGCAAAACAGAGACGTCACTGACCAGCTTTAGGAAGAAAAAAGCAACGACGACAGAAGAGGGCTGAAGACCTGAATACAGTGCCAGGAGTAAGAACTGGAAGATAAATGCACATGAGCTCTTAGAACTCAGGTTTCAAGTTGGTGACAGCAACCTTCTGAGGACTAAGGCTTGGTGTTAAACTCCTTCTGATGCCTGGACACAGAGATTTGCTATGTGAAGCATAATCCGGAAAGACACTGCCGTTCTACCGTAAAGTTCTTTACAAACACAAAATATACTTGTGATTATCCTTACTTTATGTAATACCCATTGAGGCTTTCCTTTTAGCAGTTTATTCAAAATAATGTGGATCTCTCTGTATGTAACTAGGATAATTTAAATTCATAAGAAGTAGAGTCGGACCAGGCGTGGTGGCTCACGCCTGTAATCCCAACACATTGGGAGGCTGAGGCAGGTGGATGACTGGAGGCCAGGAGTTCGAGCCCAGCCTGGCCAACATGATGAAACCCCATCTCTATTAAAATACAAAAATTAGCCTGGCATGGCGGTGGGCACCTATAGTCCCAGCTACTTGGGAGACTGAGGCAGGAGAATCACTTGAACCTGGGAGGTGGAGGTTGCAGTGAACCGAGATTGCACCACTGCACTCCAGCCTGGGTGACAGAGTGAGACCCCGTTTCAAAAAAAAAAAAAGAAGTAGAGTCAAAACAAAAATGAGCTTCCTGTCTTAAGGAATCAAAGCCTTGTATTTATAAAGACTTACTGGGGTGTATCAAATATACATCCTAGATATCTTGAGGTTATTGGGAAAATGGTTGTCAGAATTATCATCTTATGGTCTTTTTCTGCAGTTTAATATCAGCAGGTGAACTCTAGTATCTGGTAGCTACATTGATAATAGGACCTCACATTCTCTCTTTTCAAAGGGAACTCATATACTGAATTATCAGAGCCCAGATGAAATCCAGTTAATAGCTGAAATTGCTGTTTTCTTTAGTGTGTTGCCTTATCTCTTTTTAACAAGCCTTACTTACTAGGGTAATTGCACTGAATTCAATCCATTATCTATGGATTAATTCATTAGAGTGGTTTAAACTTTTGGAAAATGGATGGGTTTTAACAGTCCTCCCCTCCATTCCACAAATTGACACTGTAAAACATGTCTTTGCCATTTTTATAGAGGCTCCAATTCATGAAATAAAAATCAATGAAGACATTTCCTTTCCAAGCCCTCATGTCATTGTTATGCTCCCTTGGTTGCATGGAAAGCCTCTGGGTAAAAGGGAGGACAACTCTAATCAGAAAGAGAGTCATTGTCTTCGGGAAAGCGTGAACAAATGCATTTCTGGGCCAGTGAGCTTACCACTGTGGCGGCCCCGGTGTTACTGCCTTTGGGGATGCAGCTACAGAACCAGACTGTCCTTGTCAGTTGGGGCTGGTGTGGGAAAGTGCCTAGAAACCCAGACCCAGCCTTTTCTGAAAGCAAAATAATGTTGATTATCATGAGAGTGCCAATGATTTCCCTTTTGCTTGGTGTTGTCCTTTTCGAGTGCTTTTTAGATTTCGTTGTGTATAGCAGTTGTTCCAACTTTTCTAACTGGCTATATCAGAATCACCCCGAACTTAAAAAAGCACACAATTCCCAGGGATCCATTCCCTAGAACTCATGATTGAGTACATCTGGGCTAGTGCCCAGAAATGTTTGTTTTTAAAAAAGCTCCAGGTGAGTCATATGCAAAATTCATGTTTATAAGCTACTGACCTAGTCATGTTTCTGCTTTCTTTTTAAAAACGACCACTTACCCAAATGAATAAGGAAGACTGGAATTGTTTTATGTATGACACCAATCAATCAATGGTTTTAGTTCTATTAAGTATAACAGCCAATTTGGGAAGCTAGGACAGAAACACACAGCATGAAAATCCAGATAATATCGTCCAACCTGAGACCATTTTATGTAACTGAGGAACCTTGCCTCTCTCGGTGGCCTTCTGATCACATTTTGAGAATGGTAAAGACAAACATTGACAATCCACCTCAATTTGTGGAAGATATGGATATCATAAAACTTAGCCATTACAGAAATATGGTGTAGTAGTTTTTAAATATGCTCACAAATTCTTTGGCACTTCCTCCTTCCAAAGGCAGAGCCTAATCTTTCTCTGCTTTAATGTGGGCTGGGCTTAGTGAATCACTTTTAAAGAGCAGAATGTGGAAGAAATATTGGTGGGTCTAAGGATGGGTCCCAAGGTTGGGTCATAGAAGAGATGTCTTCTTCTTTTCTCTTGACTCCGCTGCTTTGGTGGATGCAAGCTATGTCATAAGGACATTCAAACAACCCATGGAGGGACTCCAGCAGGGAAAACCTTAAGCTGCCTGCCAACAGCCAACATCAACTTGCCAGTCATTTTAATTAAGCTACCCAGAAAAATGATTCTCCCTGCCACAGTCAAGCCTTCAGATGACCTCAGCTGGGGCAGATGTCTTGACTGCCACCTCATGAAAGGCCCTGAGCCAGATCTGCCCCATTAATGCACTCCCAAATTTCTGACCCACAGGACTGTCAGAATTATTAAATGTTTATTGTTTTAAACCATGAAGTTTTGGGGTAATTTGTTACAGAACAATAGATAACTGATACATCTGAGCAGACTTTCCTTATCTAACTTATAGTGGTTTTTACCTCTACCTTTGTTTATTCCTTATCTGGGATATACAGACACATAAAAAATGATCACACATACACTTCAGCAAATATTTCATAATTTATAAGCATTGTTTTAAATAAAGTCCCTAAAAATCTTGATAAGTAATGGTTTATTAATAATAACATTTTGGATGGCTTCAGTGAGGTGGTATGTGATAATAAAATAATTAAGGTAAACATGAACTGAAAAAAAATCTGAATAGTAGGGGAGAGACTGTAGCCAGGGAATGGTCTTCTTATATTTTACAATGCCACACGATCACACATAAAATTAAACGTATTGGTAATACCAGATAGCTGTTGTAGGCAGTATGCAAAAAGTCATCTTAGTCTAGCTTTGCAAACATTGTTCAAAGAGCAAATTCAGAAGAGGAGTTGCTACGATGAGAATATATCTGATGATGATGAGCCCTCAAAGTCTAAACATGTCTCCCTGTGAAAAGGTGAAGTGACAGCTCTCTGCTTGGGGGTAAAACAGCCATGATTTAAGGAAGTGATTTGCTAAATGAGGCCTCAAGGAATGGAATACTGAAAATCAGCCAATAACTCAGAACTAGGTGATTAAAGAAGAGGAAGTGGACTTAGTTAAGAGGGTGAATAGTTTCTTAATGAAACAGAATGGGTATCAATGCAACTAGTACCTTGTTTATAGCTCTCTATATTACATATCTACAGATAAACACTTCACCTAAGTGTTTACTAAACATATTATAGATTATATTTTGTCATTCCCAACAACTCTTCTTGTTATGAAGCCTTAAGTTAAAAGAACAAAATTAGTTCTTGTTAAGGAAAAGTTCTTGAATCCTGAAGTTATAACTGGCAGAGCCAAAATATCAAGAGCTCAGAACACAGCTTTTAAGTGGATGAGAAACTTGTTATATGTCAGGATTTTTGTCTTTGGGAGGATAAGATGTAGTACATAAGTTAGATGGTAAATATTGGCAAATAAAACATGAAAACCACCTAACTTTCTTTTCAACTTTTGTTTTTGATTCAGGTACGTGTGCAGGTTTGTTATAAGGGTATACTGTGTGATGCTGAGATATGGGGTATAATGGAATGGGTCACCCATGTTGTGAGCATAATATCCAATAGGTAGTTTTTCAAGGCTTCCTCCCTCCCTACTCTTGTAGCCCTAAGTGTCTATTGTTCTCATCTTTATGTCCATGACTAGCCAATGTTTAGCTCTCAATTATCAATAAGAACATGCAATATTTGGTTTTCTATTTCTGCATTAGTTCACTTAGAATAATGATCTGCAGCTGCATCCACGTTGCTGCAAAAGGCATAATTTTGTTCTTTTTCATGGCTGTGTACTATTCCATGGTATATATGTTCCACAGTTTCTTTACCCAATCCGCCATTGATGGGAACCTAGGCTGATTCCATGTGTTTGCTATTGTATTACTGCAATAAATATATGAGTGCAGGTATTCTTATTGGTAGAATGATTTATTTTCCTATGGGTATAAACTTAGTAATGTTTACAGGTGAGTCAAATAGTAGTTCTATTTTTAGTTCTTTGAGAAATCCCCAAATTGCTTTCCACAGTGGATAAACTAATTTACATGCTCACCAACAGCGTATAAGAGTTCTCTTTTCTCCACAGCCCCATCATCATCTGGTATTTTTTGACTTTTTAATAATAGCCATTCTGACTGGTGTGAGATGGTATCTTACCATGGAAAAACACCTAACTTTTAAATACATTGTTCAAATCTCCCAAAAGGGATAGATTTCATTTTACTATAATGGGAAAAAAATTTAAAAAGGAAACAAAACCAAAACAATCAGCATCTCCACTAGTATTCCACACACTCTCTTTTGCAGTTGTGCAAACAGAACAACAACAAAAAAGATCAATACAAGAGTTGTTCTTGCTAGATTCCTTCTTACTGCCAGGATTCCTTCCGAGAACAATGTGAAGCAGCCAGGTGTGAGGTAGTTGTACATAGTGGGGAGCTTGCTCATCTAAAACCATTCAAATTCAGTAATAAAAAATCACTGTGCAGGCTAAACAAAATCCTGTTGGCTGCGATGTAGCATTCAGACAGCAAGATTGTAAGAATGACTGGTTTGGTGGTAAGCTTAAAAAAGAAAGTGAAATTGCACTGGATAAATCGACTGGGAGTGGGGAATCTGAAAGAAGGTAAAAAAAATTATTATGTGTTTTTTGAAATAATAAAGAGAAACACAACAAATTGGGAAAAGAGAATTCGGTCTTCCCTGGTAATTCTCTGTCAAAATCATGTTGCTGAACAGAACAGGACAACGGAAATAATAATAGATAGAACCTAGTATTAGAAAATAAAACAAATGCAGTCTCCTTTTTATTTCAGAGGAGGGGGACTTATTCAATGATCTACATTCAAAGCAGTTGGCCTTGAAACAAAAAATAGCAGCCCTATTTCTTGAGCTAAGAGCCTAAAAAGCAAATATCACTCTTTTGCTATCTTATACAATGTCTTACTGCAACATTTTATTTGGGGGTGAGGGAACAAGATTTTAAGAGATGTTTTAAAGAAATGCTTAAAACAACAAAAGTGCCTTTTCTCTTTTCCCTGCCACAAGTACAGACAACTATACATTGTTAGGAAACAGGTCAAGCAGCAGCAAGAACAAACTGATAATAACACAATGCAGCTTTGACAAGACCGTGGAAGAAGGAATTATCAGAAAGAAGCAAACAAAACAAAAACTCTAAAGGTGAGATGAAGGAATCCCCACCCTCCTGGTCTCCTCTTTGGATGTTTGAATTCCAATATGCACACAGCAAAATAGCTCTCAAGACTTATCCCTCTTTCTGGCTGCGTGTTTGTCATTTTCATCCCTGGAAATGCTACTTAAAGCAATTGTCATGTCTACAGTGTATGATGGATTTTCAAAAACACAATGTACCTGGAGCTGGAATAATACTCACCCCTGAACCTTGTGGAATGGCTTAATGTTGATTCTTTTCCTCTGCTCTATATTATGGAAGAAATAATGGTGGGTCTAAGGATGGGTCCCAAGGCTCATTTAATATTCTATGTATTCTTTCTTCTTTCTAAAATTTGAATCAGTGAGTGAGGAATCTATACCTTTGCCAGTATTTGGAAATAACTTGGCCAGAAGTAGTTTACCCTGAATCTCAATTCATTGTTTCATCTGAGGCTTCTTCTTTTAAAAAAGTTGGTTTATGCGGGCAACATGAGCTTTTAAAGCATGGCATGCTTTATATTGCTACGCTTTTATGCAAAATTTTCAGTCCTCAGCTCTTGGATTTCAGAGGTTTGATGGTATGAATAGCCCAGAGGGGTGCTTCTCATCATGTCTCCCTCAGCCAAGCTGCTGTTTACTTTTTGATAATAAAATCAAATAAACCAAATAGAACAAAAGTCAAAATATAATTAATTTCCTAATTTCACTCACTTTGCTTGCATTAATAAAGATAAATTGCAAGTATGTAAAAAATTGAAACACTTATGTAATCTTATTAAGATCCAGTATATAAAATAGTGTAAACACATGCAGCTGTCAGCAGGAGTCTCTCATGAATATACACACATATTAGCCTAAACATGTTTGCCTTTAAGATTTTTATAATGTAGTACGAACTTCTTGTGAGAAGTAAAAATGAGGCCAAGTCTCAAATTTCCTGTGTCTTAGAATTTGTTGAAAATGCATGTTAACAACTCTACTCTCAGAAATTCCAAATTCATAAGCCTGCAAGTGAAGCCTTGGAATCTCCATTTTAAATAATTGTCCCTAAATGACTGTGATGCAGGTGGGCCATGGCCACACTTTGACACAACCCAGCTCAGTTTATCCAATATACTTGTTAATTGCTTACCTATGTTAGGTATCCTAGGGGTTCAGGGATGTGATAATGAATGAGGTAGTGTCTTCCTGAGCTCACAGTGCAGTGGTAGTTGCATGAGTCTACTTGTGTCTATATGGCCTTTCTCCATTCCTACACCCAATCAGGGGGAAGTTCTTATCCCCTTAGAAATAGTGCAGGCAGTGAAGTAATGGTTCTGAATTATCTTTACCACAGCATAGAAGGTCCTAAATGACCTGGCCCCTCCCTACCTTTCCCTGGATCCTGCTACTCTTCCCTCTCCACGGTCTTCTCATCTTAGCGTCTTTGAATTTGACAGGCTCTCCCCAGACCACACTATGGCCTCTGTAAGGTCATTTAGATTTCAGCTCAAATGTCCCTACCCCTGTACAGCTTTCTCTGACAACTCTATCTGAAGTAACAACAGTAGATTCTCTGCAAAGACATTATCTTGTTTTATGTTCTTCACAGCAAGTTATCATTATCTGAAATGTTCTTATTCATTCATTTAGGTAATTAATGCCTGGTCCTTCCAACAAAATGCATGGAGACCTTGTCTTTCTTTTTCATGTTGTAGACTTTGCTCCGAGTATAATATCTGGCCCACATCATCACTTATTAAATACTTGCTGAATGGATAAGTAAATCAAAGGATAAATAAATGTTCAAAGTATTTTCCATCCTGTCTCTCTCCTTACTTCTTAGTGTTGATATTGGGATCTGCAAGAAAATGGATGTAAAAGGGACTTGAAAATCTAAAGCAGCCATAAATGCAAAATATTCTCACATCATTACCATCATTAATTATTCAGAGCTGGTTGTAAATTGAAACATTATCTTTTTAAAGGAGAGAAACCAAGGAACTGGGTTTGTTATTTAGGGGTTTGGGAAAATCGGGGATGGGGAAGACCAAAAAATAACCTGAGACATGAAAGGAGACCAGAGCTCTAAACCTCTTTCAAAATCAAAGATGAGTCAAAACATTTCTCCTCCCAAGATTGCTTCTCTGGAGCATTGAAAGAGGAGAGGATTGTAAGTCTAGAGTGGGAGCTCTGTCATTTACAAATATCAACATTTCAAGTGAGGCAAAGCTGAATTGATATATGTTCTCAAAAGACAGCTTTTGTATAGCACATTTTGAGCTCAGTTCTTGAAAAAAAAAAAAAAAAAAAAAAGCCAAAAAGCAAAGTTTTAGCCAACAGGGTTTAAGTTAGATATTTAAATCCACAATAGCCTTATTAAAAAGGAAGACATATAATCCCAACCTATTCACAAGTTAAAAATAAAAAGGAGCCAAGAACAGTCTTTAAGAGTCATGCACTTATTTTTAAAATGCTTTTCAGTAAATTATGATCAAGAGCAAATTGAAAGGTACTGCAGACTTCTACTGAAAAGGGATAGCTTGAGGCTTGCTTCTTGGGAATGTATCAATTGTTCTGATTTCCCCCTCCAAGTGCTCCCCGCAGCTGTGCCCTGTCCTCTTGGTTTACACCGATTACCATTATTAGGGAGACATTTTCCTAATTGCATGTACCATTGTCAGATCTAAGGGCAGGTCTGAATTAGACTGCAGATGCTCAGGCTGCCCTGCATAACTAACCACACGGCCGACTATTGACCTCTCAGAAGGTTAACAGGCATTTATTGACTCTTCACATTTAACACAACCCTACTCTTAAAATACATACATATATTCATTATTAATCACACTTTGCTTCTAATCATCCCAAAGAGATTTTCTCTGGTTCTACAGCATAACCTCCAGATCAGTATGGACCACATTAGTGGTGGTAGAAACGAGTTATGCAACTTGAATTTTTGTCCACCTACCATGAAGCTGTCAGTCCTATTAATTTTTTTAAAAGGGGGAGGAACAGAGAGAGGTCTTGAAATGCCAATGAAAGAAGTAGCAAAGTCAGAGTGAGCAAGTTTACCCAATGCTTAAGGCTAACAAGAGCCACAGGACAAAGTCATAGGCAATGGTTTGCCTGACTGCAGTCTATTAAAAACATTGCATGCATTAAGTATATCTTTTATTAGCAGGAGGGCCAGTGCTTTTACTAGGTCTAAGCACTTTAATGCACAATTTATTTTAATCCTCAAGACAACTGTGAGAGTCAATGTCTCAGGTCCCCATTTTACAGATGAGGGAATGTAGGGGATGCTAAATAACTTTCTTAAAAGAACAGAGCTGGTAAGTAGTAGCAAGAGGATCCCATCCACACCAGTCTTACTCCAGAGACCATGACTTTAATGTGCCCTGTAATTCCATAATGCCCTCCTCTAGGTTCAATTTCACAGATGAGGAAACAGCATCCACCAAATTTTATGCCTTGTTTAGAGTCAGAATGCCAATCTCTGACAAAGACTGGAACCTGGTGCACTTGGTAGTTAGTAAAGAAAGATCAACTCTTTATTTAAAAATGTGAAAAGGTAGCAGAATAAAGCTGCTACTTCCTTTCAGTTATACATGTCTTTTCACATTGTTACTGATGACACAATATTGACCTATACAGTGATGAGAAAACAAATGGAACTATCTTGCAAGCCAGTTCACAATAGAAAACCAAAACAAAAACCAAGCAAAAGAAATGGAAAATTATATTTCTGTAGTCTCCAGA
The DNA here is from genome assembly GCF_000001405.40 of Homo sapiens. Taxonomy (NCBI): domain Eukaryota; kingdom Metazoa; phylum Chordata; class Mammalia; order Primates; family Hominidae; genus Homo; species Homo sapiens. The sequence continues at coordinate 167,619,103 of NC_000005.10, read as the reverse complement.
AAAACTGGAAGATCTAGAACACTGGGCAGTGTTTCCACGTGGCTATGTCATGGGCTTTGAGTAGTGAGTGCTCCTAGAAATGAAATATACACTCCCCAGTTTGCCTCAGTGACAACCACCCCAATTGTCTTTCTAAAAGGGGGTACTCACTACTCAAAGACCTGTCTTCTTCACTCATTTACCTGAACTGCCTAAACTCCCTAACTAGGTAAATTTTTAGGACTCCTAGTATAGAAACTCTTTTTGCGGGGAGAGGGAGTGGAGAAAATAAGACACATTTATACAGGTAAAATGGTACTCAAATGAACATCGGTGACAGATGGTGGGGGATAGAGATGGAAAGCCTCTAGCTGAGAATACAAAAAACAGGTTGCTTGACAAAACGTGAGGAAATTTATTGCAAAGAAGGTTGATGGCCTCCCAGCTTCATCTCCCCAAACACAGGTGGCTGGGACAACTATTCTGCTTTGCAATAGTTATACACAGACTTAATGAACTTATAAGTAGAATAAGTAGCTTTCACTGTTCACAGACATTGAGTGAGCGCTGACATGCAGCTAAGCGAATGATGTTCACCATGTCTGCACATTAGAGTCACTCTGGAAGTTTAACATGTCCGGTGAAGACAAAATGAATAAGTGTATATGGAAGCAGGTCCAGGAAGAAGCCCCCAGAGGATTTGATTCTAATGCATCTCCGGTGTTGATAACTACTCACCATTTAACAGAATAAGGGCACAAGCCTGAATGGGAGGGGAGAGCTTACAGGGGGTGGTAAGAGCATATCCTCTGGAGTCAGGCTTCCTGGGTTCAGCTTCAGCTCTGCCACCCACCCACAAGCCAACTATGAGTGACCCTGGACAAGTGGTTCTGCTCAACTCTAAGCTAGCAATGGAGTAAAATTAAAGCGAGGGAATACCTGCAAAGTGCTTAGAATACTAATCACTCGATAAATGATAACCATTATTATCACCATCGTATGTTGCTGATGGCTTTGATTCCCATTTGAGGGGCAGGTAATTAGTGATAAATTTTGTCACAGTCCTCCGAAATTAGGTATCACTTCAAGACCTCCAATCCCAAGCACGGCACCATACTGAAGCAATGACAATTAATGAGCAATTTCAGAATCCAAGTCCATCACAAAGTACTTAAAAGAACAGATGGCTCAGCCATCACTGGGTCCCATCTTGCTAAGGTACAAAATTCATATGTGAGCAAAATTAATTAATTAACTTATTCCTTCATTCTGAATATAGGCAGAGAGTTTACTGTGTAGCAAGCATTGTGCTAGCACAGTGATTCTTTTTTTACTTAACCATTCGTCCATGACTTTTCTTTCCATTTGAATATTCACCAGTTAAATGCCCGTGAAGACAATGTTTAAAGCATAGCATTAGGCTCGCTGGCTACAAAGACTGTTCAAACACGAAGCCTCTACTAGGGGATATTAGAGTTGAGTGGGTAGGAAATGCTTGCAAAATACACAGAGGTAGAACGACAGAATATGAGTCTGCAAAAGGCTGGTGACATCTGAATGTCAGTTACTAAAACAGAATTAATTTAATGTAGATCAAATAGAGATCAATATTTTCTGGTAGCAGTTTAGTAGTTAATGGACTAAAACAATACATTGAATTTTTTGACTTTTTGTTTTGAAGTAATTTAAGATACACAAGAGGTTGCAAAAACAGAGAGTTCTCATGTAGCCTTCCTTCAGTTTTCTCCAAGATCATTTTACGTAACTATAGTACGTTATCAAACCCAGAACATTGTCACTGGTGTAACACTATTAACTAAACCACAGACTTTACTGGAATTTCACCAGTTTTTACATGCACACATTTGTGTATGCATGTGTGTGTTCAGATGTGTAGCACTATGAATGACTATACAGTCATTTTAAAATGCAGAGAAAATACATTAAAAAGTTACATCTCAAGATGACACAATTTAAAGAAGGGAAAAAGCAACTCTTAAAACTAGGGCACCCACTGGAAAAAATAAAGCACCATAGTTTCCAACACAGAAGCTCTGCTCCAACTGGAGTTCTGAGCAATACTTGTGTAATGTTTACAGCAGATTATATCACAAAGCTTTAAACTGAAAGTTGCATGTGTATAGGCACAAGGGAGAGAGGTAGACATGCAAAATGCAAAACCAGATAATCATCATGGAAGGCCTCCCTACAGAACAAATGCTCAATCTAAGTCAGATGTAAGAGACACCTACATTTTCAAATACTTTAGCTGTGGAAGTGAATTAAAAAAAACAAATGTAACTGGAAAAATTATTGCCTCATATAAACATGCATTGCCCTTTTTATGTTTGAGTAAATCAAAAGAAGAAGAAAACAATTACACAATTACACTGTTTGTTTCCTCACATTCATCACAGCCAAAAGCAATGCAGCCCACCATCCCCTCCCTCTCTCCTTCTCTCTCTTCCTCCCTTCCCTTATTTCTTCAGAAATAATTCTGAAGAATATTGAAGATTTGATTTCCCTAATACCCTTACAGCCTTTTAAATGAATGCATACATGCTCATAATTACAAGTAAGGCATTTGCTATTTTGCATCAGTGGAATTTAAGAAATTAAAAACCAAAAGAGGGTTTTCAGGAACACAGCAGAATTGCCTTTTTAATAATAGATTTGGCTCCTTTAATCCATTCCTAATCTAATTAAGACAATGAAGAGGATTGGACTGCCATCTCTACAAATGGCAAGAATGCTATAAACAAAGTGCAATAAAGTGATCAGTTCACACCCCATCAAATTTACTCACAGTCTGAATAACTGCTCTTATTTCCTGTTACATTTTTACAGTTTAACAAATGTTTTCATTTGATTTCCACCACTTCATCTTTAGATCAAGCACAGGCTATAGGACTTCTAGTTCTGGAAAGTGCATCATATCTGGTGAAGCAACAACTAGGGTGTGATTATGGAACCCTACAAATTGATGCTAACATCTCCAATAAGCAAAGATAATAATTAAGTGGTAAACCTCCGGCATTAAAAACAGCAACGGTGTTATTAATACCCAAATGGGCACCAAAACAAACAGCATTGATGGAATTTAATTAAATGATTTTATGATTGTGTATTCTTCGCAAGCTCAGCTGATTACATGGTTATTCTTGAATGAGCATTTAAATCTGGAAGCTAAAATTCTATCTAATGGCCTTTTGTTCAAATATTTCTTAGGAGGAAAAAAGGTGGATTTTTTTTCTATCAAAAGTAGAAATGGATTAACAGAGGTAAAGAGGAGCTGGTTTTGGTCTCTATTTCCACCACCAGCAAAAGGAATATTAACATTCAAACTAATTGGTGATTGCTTGCCTTTCTTTTTTTTCTTAAGTGATGAGTGACTCTGGAGCAAAATGGGCTGTTGGTTGTCTCTCTTAATTATAACTAAGATATTCTGACTGTTTATTGAATGATGGTACTAAAGGTTCAAAAAAAATCTGTCTGCCATGTCAGAGGTCTAAGTCCCCCTCTGAATGCCCCACCTGAAATCTGTGCAATGCCAGCTAGAGCATTTATCATATTCTGAAATTACAACACAACTAAAGATATCTCACTTACTGTGTATTTTTGCAGAGGTAAAAAATACAATAAATAACAACTAACAAAGGGCAAATGAGTCAAGGAGTGTCAATCTCAGGTTCAAGGATCTACGACTTGCTAATTACTTTGTTAAACACAAAATGAAATAAAAACAACCAACCAACAACAGAAATAACACCTGCATTCTAAAAGACATCAACAGTCAATTTCCCCATCAGCAAGACTTAATAAGGGTAATATTTACTGCCCACCACTTCTTAAGGAAGAATCATCATGAACAAATATTTCTAAACATATAGAAAAAAAATTCACCCCACCCCATATTATTCACGGTAACAGGACAGTCCAGAATAGAAATATTGTTATAATAAAAATCCTTATTAGGTGACAAAAATGTATGTTTTGTTCTGAATCGAGATAAAGTTGTTTGGAATGTTTATGAATATTGTCAGGAGCTCCATGCAGTTCTCATAAATTATAATTTCACCCTTAGAGTCCTCGTTTACATAAACATAACTTATATGAAGAATGCCAAACCCCCACAGTGAGATAAAGTAAAGGCAGCATTTGCTTCCAGTCAGAGCCGTCAGTGACGATGAAGTGCACAGATAGGGGAGATCACCCTCTCTCACACTCTAGGAGGGTTTCCTGCTTGCCTTGTGGAAGAATGGGAGGAAAAGGGGATGCGGGATTGATGTGATTTAAGAAACTAACTGCCAGGGGACAGAGATCGCATGAAGCTGGAAGTGACTTGCCTTGATTCTCCCAGCAATCCCCATTTCTCCTTGTTTATTTACCCATCCCTTGGGGTAGGCCACACATTCTTGCTCATTTTGATGTGCTTCTCTCTTCCTCATGCAACCAGAAAAACACAGGCTGGAAAGCCTTCCTTTTATTTCACACAGTCCTTAGCCTATGAAGGTACCCTAAAAGCGTTTTCTACTTCCCAAATATAAAAGCAAAGAAAAAAAATTTCCTCTCTTGCTCTAGTTAACAGACCACACTACTTTACACTTGTCTTATAAGAAGTGAAAGTAGCAGAATAATGTAGTGAAACTAACCAAGGCACAGAAGCCTGGGGCCTGGGGCTGTCTTCGTATATTACTACCACCTCACTGAATGACCCCAAAGGAGCCAAAAGTTGACCTTGGCCTTCTCGCTGGGTGAAGGAGAGGATCCTATGCAAAACGTAGGGAAAGGGATGAGACTTAGGGTGACAAAATAATCCACTAGGGGCCAAAAATGGCTTGCAGACAGATATTGTTTATTCCGTTACCGTGTTCATACATTTTTTGAATTAAAGACATTCAAAAGATAGGAAATTTCTCATAAAAGTCAGGTACTATGTTTTAAATCAGAAGATTGGCATACCCTCAGGTATAATCAGTTGAGTAGCGGCGTGTACCCTCCAGCTAGGTCCAGTTATGTAATTTATTCATCCAGACAAAAGCAAGTAAATTTGGACAAGCTAGGAATGCAAGAACACTCTGGATGCTATGATTTCTAAAGATTCCTAAAATTTAAAATTCTGATTTATTATAAAAATCTGGTTGATTTTCAAATACCTTTCTATATACTAAAGCCAAGAAAAAGAAAACAAGCAATAAACATGAATAATTTTTTTAACTTAGAGAAATATAAGATTTTAAAATTAGTCATTTCTACATAAAATTTCTTCCACCGTTGCATTTTAAAAACATACTTAGCAGGTTATTTACCTATTGGTATTTTCTTTATAGCTGTGTTAAAATATGACACTAACACTCATACACACACATAAAGCCTGACTTATTTTCTTGAAAAGGGAGCAAACAGGAGGATGTATATGTTTTAAAAACCAACTGTCCTGTCCTGGTCGAGCATAAACTTGGCTTTCTGTGACCTGGGGCTTGGATTTATGTAGCTCATCTTTCTCAGTGGGTGACACTGGGCTGGTTCCTAGTGTCATTGCATCTAGTAATGGTTGATATCAGGGGACCTTTACGTTCAATTACCAACCTTTACAGATGAACAAACTGACCTACAAGATGTCCTCAGTTACCTGGATCCCAGCCTCTACCTCTTACCAGGTGGTTAATTCTGGACACAATAACCTTTGGAGTCTTCATTTCTTCACTGGTAAACGAGCAAGATACTGGTAATATACATCTCACAGCATAGTTGGAGAATTAAATGAGTATGTACAGAGCACCTAGTACAGCCCTGGTTTGTGATGATAACAGATTTATTGAATGCAGATTATCCTCATAGTAACCCCATGAGGTAAGTAATTTTATTATCGTGATTTTACACATTAGAAAATTAAGACATCTAGATGTTAAGTGACTTGCCCAGTGTTACAGAGTAAGTGGTGGAGCCAGTGTCTGAACCCACACGATCTGACACCAGAACATGGGTTTTTAAGCATTATGTTCTATGGATCATGCTCTTCATATAGCACTTGATAGTTGGTAGTTGCTATTAATTTGAATAATGATAGCATTTTTATAGTCAGATCTGACTCTTCCATGCGTGTCTTTACCTGCTGAGATCTGCCAACAGGAAATTTTTATTCACAACCCTGTTTCCTTAGCTGGAATCCAAATTGTGCAGTTTTGTACCTAAAGCAAATATGTCTATTTTTGTTACTGGAAACTCTCCAGTGGACACATCCATTTCTGAATAAGCCTCTTGAAGATTTTCCAAATGCCACCATTTGGAAAATCTTAGAGTTGAATGCTGCCACATTTGTCATTTGATGGTCTCATGTCATCTAGGAGGTCAAAGAGAAGTCATATATTAAAGTTTCCCTCAAAACATCCCGTACGTCAGGTCCTTGCTACATAAATGTAGCATGCTTGTAGTCAATGTATGATAACAGTTTGTCAAATCCAATTCACTGAGTCCAATTGAAATTAATGAAGGGTGTAAAAATGACAGCTATCTGACATATTTCAAATCTCAATTTGACATTTACAACCTTTTAAAGTTATTTTTAAATGCAGCAGTGTTTCAAATATATTGAATATATCATATGCCACCAAGCCACTGTTGGATGATTGGGTATGTAGCCATGGAAATTAACACAGGGTCACATTCCTGAGCCTTTTTTTTAAAAAAATCATGCAGTATGCCTAGATGTAAAGAAAATAAGGCAATGTAACTTACGAAAATTAAATAAATGCCACATTAACTTATCTTTGGGGGTTGGGTGAGTTCGTTTCCATGGAAATGCGTGTCTTGATGGAAACTGTCCTCGCTACAGGTAGATATGTGCTTCTATAAGGTTAGTAATGAAGGGGTGGGAGCAGAAAGCAATGGATGGCAAGGATCAGCTCTATTTAGGACACATTGTGCTGTTGTGAGCTGGGGGTTGTGGTGGGCAAAAGACGAGAACAGAGTCAGACACTGGAACTCCGATTCGAATCCTGGCTCAAATAGTAACTCGCTAAATTCTTACCTTGCACATGACTTTGTGAATTCATTTTTTATGTAAACTAAAATGAACAGCGAGACAGACTTGTAGGGTGGAAATACGGATCAAAGGAGTCAAATATATATGAAATCACTTCAGAGTATTTGGAACATGATATAAAATGTGACTTGTTATCATTTGCTATGGTCTGAATGTGTCTCGCCAAAATTCATATGTTAAAACCTAGTCCCAAATGTGATGGTTTCGGGAGGTGGGATTAGGTCATGAGGGAGAAGCCCTCATGAATGGAATTAGTGCCGTTATAGAAGAGGCCCCAGAGAACTGCTTTGCCCCTTTCACCATGTAAGACACAATGAGGAGGCGCCATCTATGAACCAGAAAGCAGACCCTCACCAGATACCAACTCCAACCTGATTTTGGACTTTCCAACCTCCAGAAATGTGAAAAACAAACATCTGTTGTTTATAAACTACTTAGTTTATGGCATTGTGTTATAGCAGCCAAAACAGACTAAGCCATCATTTAATCCACCTGTTAAATATCCTCTAACTACTTCCCTATCTGAACTTTCTTGAAAAACTCTCCCTTCCTGCTGGCATGAACATCTCAACCCCACCTTGCTCAAGTAGGTGTGTCCAAGCAGAGAGGGTTGGGGTCCACGGAGGGATGCAGCCTCCTTCTGTGGCACCTCCTGGATGCAACCTAGACCAAGGTTTTCCCCACCTTCTAGCAGGACTGTATATTCTAGGGAGGTTCCCAGGGGACCAGAGCCTGTGGGCACTGGGCACCTCACACCTCTGTTTCACCCATGGTTGCTCCTCTTTGATCTGTTTTATATATTGCAGCATGAAAGGAAACCTGGTATTAAAGAAAAAAAAGTAGAGATATTGATAATGTCAAATGCTAGTCTGATCTGAAAAGGGTACACTATAAGTGGTAGTTTATTGAGAATAAGAATGGGAAAAAGTAGAATCCGAAAAGTGAACCCCTGGGGAATAGTCAGAAGGTTATTATGAAGGTGAATATTTTGGGAAGGCCTACAGCTACTATAGTGGGCATGCCCAAAGTAGATGACCATTTCTACCTGTAAGATAATCTACATTAAAACAGCAGGAGATACAGATTTCCTTTGGTTTTCCCAGGGCTTAGTCTAGTGCTGGACACAGAGAAAGTATGTAATAAAATTTGACGAATGAATGCACTTATAAGGGACTGTCTCCTTTTGAATCAGAGGGCTTAATACATTGAGGCTTCCTGGCTTATGAATCTGAGAAGAATGTAATGAAGAGCCAATCACAGATCATATATTTTCCCCTGAAAAGAAAATTGATGTTAACTAAAATATCCCATGGAAATGAACCAGCCTGATCATCCAGAAACATTTATCTAAGACTTCTGTAATAAAACAAGAAAGGAATCAAACATTTAACAAGTTTTTTATTCAACCTAGCCCATCTCAAGCTTATCACTCTAGCTTATTATAGTACTTGGAAGAGTGAATTCAAAAGAAGCCTGTGATATGATATAAGAAGTAATATATATTTGCTTTCTGTTCTTGGTTCCTGGCACACAGCTCCTAAAACCTTTAGAATCTCTGGAGTGATGAGGGTCTTTTGTTTGCTAATGAGATGAATAGGGGGCCCCTAGATTGTTTCAGGATGGGGACTGTTCACCAGAAAGATCATGATTAGAGGGTTGAGACTTTTAGCCTCACCCCCAACCCCTGGAGAGAGGAGAAGGGCTGAAGGTTGAGTCGGTCAACAATGGCCAATGATGTAATCAATCACGCCTACATAATGAAGCCTCCAACAAAACTCAGAAGGACTAGGTTCAAGGAGTTTCTAGATAGATGTACACACGGGGGTTCCTGGAGGGTGGTGCTTCTGGGGAAGGCATGAAAGCTCCACACCCCTTTCCTCCTATACCTTGCCAATACCTTGTCCTATGCTTCTCTTCTGCCTGGCTGTTTGTCTGTATCCTTTGTAATACCCTTTACAATAAATGGGTAAATGTAATTAAAGTGTTTCCATGAGTTCTGTGAGTCACTCTAGCAAATTAATTGAATTTAAGAGAGGGGCTTGTAGAAATCCTGATTTATAGCCGATCAAAAGTGTACGTCACAACCTGGGGCTTGTGATTGGCATCTGAAGTGGGGACAGTCTTGTGGGACTGAGCCCTTAACCTGTGGGATCTAACACTATCTCCATGTAGATAGCATTGGAATTGAATTATAGAACTCCCAGCTGGGGTCTGCTGGAGAATTGATTGGTTGCTGGTAGGGAGAAATCTCCACACATTTTGGTGACCAGAAGTTAAGTATTCCGTGTTGAACATGTGAGAGTAGGAAAAACAGTTTGTTTTTTTCCTATCTCATCAAAGAGCCAAAGTGGCTTCTCATGGGCCTACAAAAGATAGAATAAAGTATAGCAAGGATCCTCAAATTCTAACGCAACAATCCCCTTCGTGTGCCCTACCGGAAGTTCACTCCCTCAAACCATGATTTAGTCTTCACTTGACCTTATAAAGGGCAGTCTGTTGGAAGTTCCAAACCCAGTACTCTTCTTTTCTTTCTCTAATTTCTAAAAAACCTTCTAGGTAAGGTTTTGTTTTTTTTTTTTTTTTTTTTTTTTGCATCATCAGGCAAAGAAAAAAGGCAGAAATCAAATTCATACTGACTGGTAAAGGAACTTAAGGAGAAGAGAAGAATGGCTTGGAAACAGAGTTATGAAGCAGCCATGCGTGGCCCACACAGGCCACATTTAAACAAGTTGTATACTTTTGATTGGATATCCAAGTACAATTGATATTGTGGACTTGAGTCAACAGGCATAGGCAAGAAATGCGACTCTACTTGTGTAATCCTGGGCAACAACCTTTCTCATTCTCAGTTTTGTTATCTGTACAATGGGTATGGTAGTGTGTGACTGGCCCACTCTGAAGGTTCTTATGGCCAGACTATGAAACAAAGTGTATGAATGACACATGAGGCACCTACATGCTAAAGGAAGTGATGATAGCAAGAAAAAAACCTATTCTTTACCTACTTCAAATGACTTCACACGATTTCAGCATGAGGATAGCATGCTTACTCATGAATAGCAAACAATCACTCCATTCATTTTTTTACATTATTTAATTAAAATGTGTAGGGTGTGGATTTCCTCAACTGAAAAACTTGCTATTGCCTTGTTTGGCCACAAGGAAATGACAGCAGTCACTAAAAAGCAAAATCACTTAAAAAATTAGAATCTGTTTCCCCTTCCAAGAGAAGGCGTTTGGGTGTCCCATCTGACAAGCTTTCAGTACCTCTCTCTATCAAAGCACAAAAGCATTTTCAGGAAACACTGGACAACCCTCCAAAAAAATCATGTTTTGTTTTTTTTGCAAATCTGTAGGCTCCTGTGAGACACGAAGCAACAAGCTCTAGTCCATTAGTATGACAGGTAGCGCTCTTACTAACAACTGCTTTTTACTCCCTGTGACAAATGTGCTTGGTGCCATGGTTGACGTCTGTGTGGTAATCAGGAGTGATGGAGAGGGGATGTCGGCGCTGCCGAAAGTGCCCCCCGATTTAATGTGAACGATTTGTCAAACGTGCTGTGATAGCAATGCTGTCAGACCTGGGAAGGGAAGCACTCTGTCATCTTTGCGCCAACCAAGGTCACTTTGGCAAGGAAAGGAGGGCTCTTGCCAACGAAATTTTCATGTTTATTGGTGGTGCACATGGCCTACTTTCACAACTTATTTTTCCTTCGATTAACAGATAACCATCTCAAAGTTTGGGAGACACTCCCCTGGAGAGATGCCTGCTACAAGAGACAGTCCCCAAGATGAGCCACTTGGCATCTCTGAGCACCAAAAACTAGAATAAGAAATATGAAAGCTAGGGCCTCATGTTGAACCAAATGCACCCAGTGGGCTTTGTTTCTGGCTGACAGTAGCTTTTTCATATTATGCATTATAAGTAAAATATTGACAATATTAAGCATTAGCGCGACATTGGGTGATATGACTTTTAGTTTTATAGCATGACCTTCTGGGCACCAAATATTTCCTAAACATCAAAAGAGCCAAAGGATGTGGCGTCACATGCTAGGATGTGGTCTTCACACACTAGGCTCAATACGTTGGCCAAGCGCTCTAAAACAAGAGGGAAAAAAAACTGGGTAAAAGAAAAAGAAGTACATTTTCTGTTATAATAAAAAGAACCAAAAGCAATGGGCTATGTAGGGGCGGGTGGGTTAGCTATCTTCATTCTGTATTCCACGATATTCTTTGAGGCCTCATTATTACACTGGGCATATCGCCTAGACTAGACTGGAAGCAACACAGGGCAGGGACTCTATCTTATTGCATTTTGCATTCTTATCTAGCACAGTATCTGCTCAGTAAATATTGATAGCATGAATGACTATCGTCCCTAGAAACAAATGCAAGACAATTCAGTAAAAGGAAATAAGGATCCACGCCAGAAATTGCCAACTGGGTGCCAGCACGGCAATGTATTTTGTTTGTGGATAAACAATATATGTGAGAAGCAATGCCTTAGTTGATGGGTGAGGTAGAGTATAAGGCCCGAAGTAATGGTCATCAACTGACAGTGTGCAGGCCAAATGGGGCACACAGGAAACATTCAAACTCCACATATGTGGTATTTATGCCAGTCAGTGTTAGCCTGTGAAATGCTCCCTGTTTTGTTTTTGTTTTGTTTATATTAGCTACTAACACTTAAGTATCAGGAGCTTTTACATAAAAGCCTGGATTTTGGATTCTCTGGGAGAACAAAACTCAATGATCGAGCAGCGCTGGGATGAGTGTAAACAGCTGCCCCTTTCAGTGGGGCATTCAGTCTCTGTTTTCCCAGTCCTGAGAGGCAAATGCCAGCTGCCATTTGTCACCATATTGGCACTATTACTTCTCTAATAGTAGAGAGACATTTCTCTCTACTGTATTGCAATTAGAAGTGACTCAGAGTGCCGAATGAAGCAGTGAATGATTTTTCTAGAGCCAGCCCTCTCTTTCCTCATTTATATGACCTGCCTGGGCCCTGTAGATATTTAAATTTGTGACCCTTAAGCTATGCCCTCTTGCTGGATTGCCTTCCTGATATATTCAGGAGAGCAGCAGTTCCAATTCAAGGCTACCAGAAAACCTGGTCTTTAAAGCGCTGATATATAAATCTTGAAATACTGATTTCACCTGAAGCTGCTCATCAAAGAAAGAAAGTGGGTTAATTAAGGTGAAAATGATATTTTTACAATACTTTAGAGATGAGCAACCCTTTTGATATCTGTAATCTCATGTAATCTTCAGCATAGTTTGTAACATCACTCCCATTTTGAAGACGAAAAAATTTAGGCTTTAAGTAAAATTACATCACTAACAGGATGAAGAGTTAGGCCTGGCAAGCATTAAATGCAAATCTCGTGGGCTAGGCCCAGAACATCAGTATATTATTAAAAGTTCCCAAATGACTCTAATGTGTAGTCGGGGTTGGGAACTACCCTCTTAGCATTACGGACTAAATGCTGGTGCTTTCCCCAAATTCATATGTTGAAGCCCTAGCCCTCCAATGTGATGGCATTTGGAGGTGTGGTTTTCTGAGGTGATCAGGTTTAGATGAGGTCATGATAGTGGGGTCCTGATGATGAGATTAGTGCCTTTGTAAGAAGGGACCAGAAAGAGTTGCCTCTTCCCATCCCTCCTTTTCCCCTCTGCCCCTCTCCTCCCTCCCCATGTCCCCTTCTCCCCCAGCTTCCTTGCCATTTGAGAATCAAGGGCATCAAAAACCTGACCATGCTGGCACCCTGATCTCAGACTTTCAGGCTCCAGAACTGTGTGATATAAGTGTCTGTTGTTTGAACCACCCAGTCTATGATCTTTTGTTATAGCAGCTGGAGCTGACAAGTGCACTTAGATTGCAGTTTTCCTCCTGCCATCACCATCCAGATGAAAGGAGTGCAAACACAGATGTCTTGGCTCAAGGTCCAGGGCAGCGTGGATGAACACAGGTAAAGATAATATAACAGAAATTGCTCTGGGCTGGGCCTCAGGGAACTGGAGTTTTAGTCCGGGCTCTAACAAGCTATGTCTTAGTTGTGTTGTAAGAGATATCTGATTAGAATTAGTGGTTTTCCAAGAGGGTAAATGCATGAGAAGCCCCCTAAGGAAGCTTTTAACACTACAAATTTCTCTCGGCTCTATCCCTAACCTGGGAACCAGACTCTTCTGGGCGACACCCAAATATGCATATTTTTTAAAAGCTCCTTTCATGATCCTGATGTGCATTCCCGGGAAAGAACCACTTCAGGAGATGATGAGGACTCTCTAGTGCCTATAATCTATGAGAAACAGTGAGGGGAGAAAACAGCCAATCAATTTACCTGGTACACGATCAGATGTAATTACAGCATGGGCTAAATGTATATATACCTGCAGTTCAAAATTGAGTTCCCATTACAGAGTAACACTGGATTTGATGTCGAAACTGGCCACCATGTGATATCTACTCTACCTGATGAAAATAAGGACTTGTATAACACATACTCCTCCAGTTTGCATGCAAGTGGCCTAACTATGCTCAGCAGCAGTGACTCCAGGGGAACACTTCTCACTGGGGACCTAAGACTATATTTAAACAGAGAACTTTGGGATGAACAGTTATTCACTGGCCCTTTTTGGATAAGGTGATATTTCATCTGATGTGTCTGAAGGTCATAGCGTGCTCAACATCGAATGTTTATTCCTGGTTCATATCCTTATACCATGCATGTAGACAAAGGCTGATTCATACTAGGTTCTTAATATTCAGTAATAAATAAATATAAAAAAGAATTTTTTAAATGACTACTGCTCTTTCCATGCTCTATTTTATCAAAATGGTCCTTAAAAATAAAAATGAACATAGAATCGTACGTTCTTCTGCTTAAAGCCCTTTAATGACTCCCCATGGCCTGCAGTCATGGGGAAAGTGGAAAATGCTCAGTATGTTTTAGGAGCATATGCGTGATGTGGCCTGGACAGCATCTTAGATTTCATCTTTCACTGCACTGACAAGGGATGACCTTGTCATTAATTGCAGTTCAAGAAACACACCTTGCCTCGTGCCTCCAAGTCTTTGATCAAACCATGTCCGTTTGCCTAGCATATCATCTTCCTATTTGTTTCCACAATATCTTTCAAAGTTTGGCTGTGTGAAATCTTTCTTAATCTGTCCAAGTAGAATCAATCATTCCATCTCTGTTTGCACTGTTGACAGACTCCATTCATGGTGCCTTTACCACCTTATACCACTTAATAGTTCTGCATTTTTCCCTCCTACTAGTCTGCAAACCACCAGATGCCTGATCCTAGGTTTGCTTATATCCCTGGCATCTGCCAAAAGACCTGGGTCACTGCACATGCTCACCAATGACAGTTTGAAGGAACACATTGATGTGTCTCATTTCTATCCTGATGACCTCCTGATGCTCCAGGTATCAGAAACATACTCTTTCTCAGACAGAGAAAATAGTAGGGAATTTTTAAATGAGAAGTCTTATAGAAACCCTAATCCAACATAAGAAATTATTTATAGACAAGGAGACCTACCAGATACTTAGATCACAAGAAAGTTACCCCAAAAGATTAACGGTGATTAAGCTACTTAAAATAAAGCCTCATGATGATGATCCAAACCCACATCAATCTTCTGCATAGATTTATAATACAAATGAAGAGATTGAAAAAAATGCCCCACTGCCCCGTTTCATCAATGAAATGGTAATTCACTAATTAACTATTCAATTTGAGTTTCAAGGCTAAAAGTGAAGGCTTATGCTATTTTACGTGCTGCAGTTTTCATTGCAGAGAACAGACTCATTTCCTACCTACACCTTCTACCCTTCTTGATAAATATTTCTGATTATCTCCTATGTACCAGACATTATTTTAGTAGTAAACAAGATTGAAAGATCTTACTGTTGTTTCGTATTTTTATTTTTTTCTTTTCCTCTCATCTACCTCTTTTTATCTTTTTAAATTTAGTTAATTTTAAGAAAATCAGAAACAAGGCTAGTATATTGTTTTATTTCACTCCAATCAGGAGTCCCAGATACATGTGCCCCACTACAGCAGGCAGCTGTTTATTAAATGGGGAAATTTGTACCTTATCCCTAAAATAAACTCCAAAACACAGACATATGCTACCTGAAACTCCAGATCAATTAAATGAGGTGCTTAATGAAAAATCAGGTACTTACAACATTTTTCATTTTCACTCTATGTTGTAATCATTCCTTCTATGTCTTACCAGCAAGAACTCTGTTCTCAGCAGGGTTTCGAGATTCAGGTACTTCCTGTCTCCTCAACTTCATCACTGATGAGAAAGTTCAACTCTACTGCTATTCCTCAAACTGATTCTATGATCTTAAAGACTACTCTTATTTTATTTTGTTTTTGAGACAAGGTCTGACTCTGTTAGCCAGGCTGGAATGCAGTGGCACAATCACAACTCACTGCAGCCTGGAACTCTTGGGTTCAAGCAATCCTCCCACCCCTGCCTTCTGAGTAGCTGAGCCCACAGGTGTATGCCACTACACCCAGCTAATTTTATTGTTTTGTAGAGACGGGGTTTCACTATGTTGCCCAGGCTGGTCTCAAACTCCTGAGCTCAAATGATGCACCCACCTCGGCCTTTCGAAATGCTGGGATTACAGGTGTGAGCCACTGTGCCCAGCCAAGAATATTTTTAAACATCCTGTAAGTATCTCTTAACCTGGACACTATTTTTAACTCCCAGAAATGGTCTGTGATATCTGGAAGCCAACACGGATTTCCTCCCAAATAGATGACATTAAACAATTCAAGGAAACACCTCTGGCTTGAGTTTCACCAATGAAATCTCACCATATCTAATGGAATTTAGGAAACCCAGTGTCCTGTTAATTGATTACTAGCCCCTAACAAGAACAAATGACATTCCAGGTGCTTGAGGATCTAGTGATGGCTCAGTTTCTATAACCTTCTCTCACACCACTTTTTCTCTTCTTGTCATGTCAGCCAACTGGTCAACTGGTTACTTTTGTGTTTTTCTAACTGAGTGTCAGAATCATACCCATCTTACAATTCTTATTCTTGATGTTCCTTGGAAAGCTATTCCCATGGCAGGCTTCTTCCATTACCCACAGTAAGTTCAAATGCTCCTGTTTTTAAGAGAACTTTCATGACCATTCTCTTCCAGGAAGCCCTCCTCATGACCACTTACTACCATACTACTCTGTATTTATTTTTAGCCTTTATCTCTATGAAATTTTCTTTTGCCCCTTGTTTATGCACTTATTTTCAGTCTCCTTCCATGCTCCACTGCCTGACAAAATATAAGTTCCACTTATTGAAGTTTCCTTGTCTTTTTCTCCTTCTTTCTCTGTATCATCAGAATCTAGAAAAACCAAGGCATCATCTATATAACATTTATATCAATTGAAAGAATAGATGGATTTATGTGAGTTTAAATGCATTCACAAAGAAGTAGTTTCTTTTTCAATGGACTTGAGCAAGTCTTCTAAAATAGTCTCAACAATATCTACTCTCCAACCACCAAACCCCCAATGCTTACTGGACCTAACCGTGACCAAAAACACTCAATCTTCAGCAGAAATTGATAGAGAAATATTTTTTCTTTGCTCTGTCCTCATCAATAAAAAAATACAGATGATGAGACAATATGAAGGCGTGAACCCTGAGTGGAGAGGTGACACACACACGTCATCGTTCTGTCTTGCAGATGGCCAGCAGTGGGTTTCATATGAGGCAGTGAGTTAAAAGGTCCTCGATACCAATTGGAAAGGGGAAGGAGCAGAAAATTGTTTGGCTCATTTTTCCTTCTTTGGCGAGAAATAGATGAGAAACAAACAAGAAGCAGCTGAGGAATGTAGGGTCTGAAAACGCTCTATTATTCTCAGTACTACAAACCTGCAGGGGAAAGGAATCCGGAGATTTAAATGCTAGAGAAGAGAAATACGACAGCAACTTTAATGATCATAGCAGTATTCATGGCCAAAACCTTCCCACGTTTCCTGGCAAGAAAAGCTACCTTCTCTGTGTTTTTTTTTTTTCTATCCAATAATACCCTATCTTCTTCCCCTTTCTTCTCTCTCCCTTTCCTTCCTTTCCCCTTCCCTCTTCCTCCTGCCATCCTTCACCATCCCCAGTTCCTTTCCTCTTTTCCCATTATTAAGCAATAGATGTACTCTAGGAAATGAGAATTAGAAATTGGTTGCAGTGGAATGATATTGAATACAACTCCGGGGAAAATGTGTTTGCAATTTTTACTAAGCACTAGCATAAGCAAAAGGGGAAGATTTATAGCAATAAATTATATTAATCAACTAAGTTAATACATTATCTCAGTGATTCATAGGGTAACAATAACGAATAAGAAATTGGACTTTTAAAATATCCCAACCAGGTACAGTATTCCAGACATAAATTAAAGATTAGTTTGTAATCTATGAACACACTAAAATCAAGGACATTATTTCACATTTCTTAGCAGATATCCAAAAACACAGTTACTCTCTCATGGATCTTCTTGCTCCTTGAAGCTCACGGAGTAAATGTTAAATTAAACTTGTGTATACTCTGTCCTGTTTTTATGCTGCCCAAGTGCTGTTTTCAGGTGTAAAATATATGCAAGGAATAAGATGATACATTGTAGACCAGCATTGTCCCATATGGTAATCCCTCTTGCCACTTGTGGCAGTTTAAATTAGTTGAAATTAAAGAAAATTATAAATTCAAGTCCTCAGTCACACTACCACATTTAAAGTTCTCAATAGCTAAATGTGGCTAGTGCCTACTGTCTTAGAAATGTGAGTTTAGAATGTTTTCGTCACTGTGCGACAGGACGTTCTATTGAACACTCTCCAATGGCAAGCAAGCATCTATTATACCAGGAGTAAAGAACAAGTACCAGTAGCATGCAAATTATCTAGTGGGGTTTTACATTTTTCTGTTAATTAGGTATATTGGTGCAATTACTGCCCAAATGGATTGAAAACTTCACACGGGCAGGGCTTTTCTGCTTTGCTCTTGCTGTAACCTCAGAGCCTGGCAAAAGGTCCTGCATAAAGCTGGCACTTGATAAATATTTGATGAGTGAATAAATTATGCCATGAATGTCAAATGGCGATGCCAAATAATTTGAACAAAAGTATGTTTAAGGACTAATGAAAAAGAGACAAAATGCCGTTTAGTTATATATAAAGATAAATGTCTATTTTCCACAGTCTCATCTGTCTAGGAAAAACCCAGAAATCAATTCTACCCTTAACATATGTGGATCTTCTTGCCCAGATGAGCAAATGAACCCTAACTGTATCAGTTGAGGAAACTGTGAAATTAATTGTGTTGACATCTACTTGGGCAGAAAACAGTTAACCCAGCGTGACAGGGTTATGATAGTGACTGAAAATGCCTCTGAGGCCCTAGAGAAAGAGTTGTTTTCATTTCATTATGTCTGCCTTGATAATTATAACCAACTCATCAGTCCTGAGTTGAACACCACATATAATCACTTTCCTGCATATTTTTTGAAGGAGGAAGCATAATAAGGTAAAATCTGCAGACTAATTTATGACATTTGTGGATCTATTTTCAGGAAAAGAAAAACTACAAGGCAATGGGGGATGTTAAAACTCTCTTTTAAGTAGCATAGATTTTATTTAGAACTGTCCTTAAAATTAAGAAAAACATTATTTTTTATATAGAAAAGAGCAAGTACATCACACTAAATGCTTTCTCTATTAACAAAAAAAGGTTCTAATTTGCTGCCCAAATCAATCTTCTTTAATTTCATAAACATATTTTTTTAATGTAAAAATCCAATATTCAGTTAAATGCATAGAATAAAACAGGAAATACAGGAACATACCATTAGGGAGAACATATAAGGAAAAAGTTATCAGCCTAGTCTGAACATTAACATATTTTTGCAATAAAATAGCCTTGGGAAGACTTTTTCTCCTCTGAGTTCCACGTATCCTATAAATGAAGCAAACTCCGCCTCCTGGGTTCAAGCAATTCTCCCGCCTCAGCCTCTCGAGTAGCTGGGATTACAGGTACCCACC
This sequence comes from Homo sapiens, assembly GCF_000001405.40. NCBI lineage: Eukaryota > Metazoa > Chordata > Mammalia > Primates > Hominidae > Homo > Homo sapiens. The sequence goes on along the minus strand of NC_000005.10, from coordinate 167,600,011 downwards.
ACCACGTCTGGCTAATTTTTGTGTTTTTAGTAGAGATGGGGTTTCACCATGTTGGCCAGACTGGTCTTGAACTCCTGACATCAAGTGATCTGCCCACCTTAATCTCCCAAAGTGGGAGACTGCAGGTGTGAGCCACCGCGCCCAGCCATGAAACCTTTAACGATATTCTCAGCCACTTCACTGTGCTTTTATACTCCACAAGTCATCTGTCAGCTATCACAGAATATTTCACTAATCAAAAAGCAGTGAACAATTTTCTAAAAAATCACCAAATCTCTGTGCTAAACACAACACAAAATCAATCAAATAAACAAATAAAAAAACCCAACAAAACCATCTGGCTATTCCACTTCAGGTCATACCAGCTAAAAATGGCATTAAATAAGATTATGAGCAACATGGTAAGGGCTCTTACCCAGAGGGATTCAAAACAAGAAAACAGGTTTCTAAGTTTTGCCACGGGGACCGCCAAACTATTTTTGCTGGCAGTATTTTCCCAATGGAATCAAACTGATCCATAGAAAATTCTTCACTTCCAGTTGGTGATTTGTTCAGATATAATCAGATTTGAATTATGTGGAAGAAACAGCACTTGAGAGTTATATGGTTTATTTTTAACTCTGAAACATTAGGTTGTAGGTGGTTTTGTAAAAAAAAAATCAATTAAAATGCCCATCTGCAAATTGGGAATCTGCATTTGTTTGTGAAGTTCCTAATTTAAGAGGATTGTTCTACCCTTTCTCTTTCTCTGTCGTTGAAGATTTCATACCCTACCTAATAAGACAACACACACTCAGCCCAAAAAATTTCCCAAGCCCTACCTTAAACTGCTGATCATTTTCCGCTATAAATTCTATATACAAAGCTATGCACAAAGATACAAGAAAGCACTCTCTTTCCACTAGCCTGGGTTTCTCTCCCATACATTGTTTTGCCTTTTAATGTCTGCTTCCATGTTCCTCTACTCCAAGCATTCATTTTATAGCTCAAAAGAATGCCTAAAAAAATTTCAACTGTCTTCTCAAGTGAAACAAAGCCCTTTAATCTTTGAGGCTTTGCTAGGAGAGCGCAGTTGCTCAAATGAAGTTCAAAAGAACCCTTAATGTAAGAACTTTCGTGATGGAGGGAGTGATTAACCTGCGGTATAAATTATGCTTGTCTAACTTAATTTCCAGTTTAAGAGAATCACTTTTTTCCCCTTTACTTTGATAACTGCCAACATTTACATTATTACTCATTGCCTCCGACATTAAAAAAAAAACAAAAACAAACTCTGATCATCATACCTTTAAGTTAAAATACTAGTGACTCCAAGAGAGTAGCTGTTTGTAGGAAGGTTGTGATTAGATGTAGTTTAAATTTCACAGTAGGTTTCTGAATTGCCATAAATACTCCACACATAACTTTCATGACGGTTTTCATTTTCCAACACGGGGTCACCCACGTAATAAAGCACAGTAATACCCTTCTTCTCTAGACATCACTTGCTATCCATATTTACCCAAGCTGGCAAAATGTAGAAAGATTATTCTTTGCAGCCTTTTTAATTACCAAAATTCAAGTTGCTTTTAAAATATCATAGTCCCCCTTGAGATTTCAGGAGAGCTGGAGATCACCATGGCAATAGGAAAATGGTGCCAGCCTCATGTTGGCACCGACTTGCTACACATCTCAGGAGACTTGCACATGAGGGAGAATTGAACTTGTGTAAAAAGCAGGCACTATCCCTTCAATCCTTTATTTTGGGAACAAAATGACAAATTTCATGTTCCAGAAGGTAAATAAGAGAATGTTGTAACCATATGCCTTCCTCTAATATACACAATTAAAATGCAATATCAATCTGCTCTCCTGGTACGTAAAGTAAAAATGGAAAGTTAACAGACAGTGGCTCACATATGATGTCCATGTGCCAGATTTGCCTCACTCCTTCATGCTTCACTGGTCTCCCGTGGACCAATCTCTCTGACTCCAAGAAGGGTTAATGCAGCTAAACTCATGGAATGTGGGTGTGATGGTGTTGTATTCTGTTATTCACAGGTTTGTTCATTCATTCTTTCAGTCAACATTGCCTGTCTACTCAGAATATGCCAGGCAGTAAAGAACTATAGGTGAATAACACAGCCCAGTGGAAGCAGTATATATGTGTGCACATGCATGCACATGTGTGTATGTATATGGGTAATTATGAGAGAATGAGGTTAGTGTGGTGGGAGAGATTTGTACAGAATACTATGAAAATATGGAAATATGACATGCATATATAAGTTTGAAAGTAAGATAGCATTCAGATATTAAAGTGTGACAAAACAAATCTTAATTATAATGTAATAACATAAAATTACACATATATATTAGTAGCACTGGAATTATCATTTGTCTCTCTGCTGTCCTCTCACCTGCTCCCCACCACCCTGACTCCTTATGGTGTCAAATGCCTATTTTATCTGTTCTGTTTAAAGTGAACCACTCCCAGTATCCAAGGAAAATTTTACATGTTCTCAAAAGCTTCGTGAAAGTTACATATGGGGATGGGGCATGGTGGCTCACGCCTGTAATCCCAGCCCTTTGGGAGGCTGAGGCAGGCAGATCACTTGAGGCCGGATTGCCTGAGGTCCAGAGTTTGAGACCAGCCTGGCCAACATGGTGAAACCCTGTCTCTACTAAAAATACAAAAAATGAGCCAGGCGTGGTTGTGCATGCCTTGTAGTCCCAGCTACTCAGGAGGCTGAGGCAGGAGAATCACTTGAAACTAGGAGGTGGAGATTGCAGTGAGCTCAGATTGTGCCACTGCACTCTAGCCTGGGCAACTGAGAAAAACTTTGTCTCAAAAAAAAAAAAAAAAAGAAAAGAAAAGAAAAGAAAAGAAATATGTATGGGTGTTTATGGCAAATTTGCCCCAGCAACTCTTGTCCTAGTGTCAGTATTTGGGCCAGGAGAAATCATCATAACTCCATGTGTGTGAGGACTGAAAACTGAAGGACTGAGCTCATGAACTTTTCGCATAAGCAGCCGGATTTAGAAAAGCCAGGCTCTGAACTGTCCCCTACAGGTGCTCTTGGGACCTCCAGTTCTATCCACGTTTTGTGTCCCCCGAAGGTGAACTGATTGCTGGAGAAAACCTTTCTTCCAAACCGAATGCAGAAGTCCTAATGGAAGAAGAGTTATCTCTTGATGCCTCTGCATTTTTTTCTTTTCTTCTTTTTTTTTTTTTTTGAGGCAGAATCTAGCTCTGTCGCCCAGGTTGGAGTGCAGTGGCAAGATCTCGGCTCACTGCAAGCTCCGCCTCCCGGGTTCACAGCACTCTCCTGCCTCAGCCTCCCGAGTAGCTGGGACTACAGGCGCCTGCCACCACGCCCAGCTAATTTTTTGTGTTTTTAGTACAGACGGGGGTGTTTCACCACGTTAGCCAGGATGGTCTTGATCTCCTAACCTCGTGATCCGCCTGCCTCGGCCTCCCAAAGTGCTGGGATTACAGGCGTGAGCCACCGCGCCCGGCCTGCATTTTTATTTTTTATTTTTTACCATTAACACAGAAAATTCACTGATGAAACAATAGAAACTAGCTCAATGTGATTAATGGGAATTGGCTCAAGACATTCTTGGAACTGAGGGTTTGTAGGGAGGTCCTTGGGGGGGACAGTCCAGTAGGATGGAGAGAACAGGGTTAGACAGAGTCAAAGCCAGGCCTCCTGCTTCCGACTGTGGGGCACCGTAGACAGTATTCAGGCTTTCGGGGCCTCTGTTCCTTCATCTAGAAAATAGGGACAATATTTACTTTTCAGAGTTGTTGATGTTTACTTCAGATAATGACAGTAAACGGTCTGACACCTAATTAGCACTAATCAGTGTTGCTATTCCTGTCGCACCCCCAATAGTTGTTGAACCATCTAACATAGAACTTGCCATCATATGAAGAGGACTGGGGCATGCTGAACAAAATAGCGTTAGGAGAAAAATTCAAGTCTGAAGGGCAAAATCAAATAAGGGGGGTTAGGTTTTGCTTCCATTAACAATATCCTTAGGTAGATGTGAACATTTACACACTGAAATTACATTTAAACCAAACAGTCACTCTGTCTTTCCAGTAATCCCCATGCTTAGTGACTGCAATGAAGTTTTTCTTCCTTTATTTTATGGGGGAGGAGAGGGAAGGGAAACACGGTGGATAAAGCTTTACACAAGGCTGTTCTTGCTGAGGATTTAAACAAGGATCTATTTGTACATTACAAACAGTAAGTGCAAATACTCTTACCAACCCTAGATCTGAAGTTCAATGTCAAAACCAGCTGTTAGTTTGTGTGTCATGTTTTGATATAAGAGGCTTCCTTCCTCAGACACAAATAAGTCTGAAATTGCTAAAGGAATACTAAACAACTAACGAAATCCAAATGGCTCTCTATTTATTCTCCTCAATGAGAACAGCAATACAAGACGTATCTCATGAATACTTGAGGGCTAGTATTTTTTGAGAAAGTAATTGGATTGAAAATTAATCTTTTGTTTCAGAATAGGTCTGTTTGCTGTGAATCTTGCTGAGGTTAGACTTCATGTCAAAAACCTTGATCATGGGACAAAATCCAGTCAGTTTCATCTCCTCCATCATCCCAATTTGCTGAGTAAGTCATTTTCTTTCTCTGGGCCTCGGTTTCCTCTTATTTCAAAAGCCAGCTTTGGGCTCGATATTTCTTGGCACCTTAAGAGTTTCTGTGGTTCTAAATGACTAACAAAGGTAAAAAGTAATTTTACATCTTATAGTCTTTTGATTCCATTTTACTGACATTTCTTCTGATTGTCTCTTTCCCTGGTAGCTTTTCCCTCCTTTTCCCTTTTTAATAAGTGAGAGGCTGTCTTGAGAGACAGTAGCTGCTCATGTAAAAGAAGATTTATCTGATAATAAGGTGAGATGATTATCTTAAAACCTTGAAACTGATGTTCTCCAAATGAAGAACCCAGAAAGGGCTGCTTGATTTTGCACTGATCAGTCCTGGCAGTTTCAAATGAGTAATTTTAGTTGCAGGACCATTAGAAGATTTGGAAACATTCTATTTTCATTTGAGCTGGGGTCAGGACAAACATAATGCATTTCAAACTGCCAGAAACAATCAACCTTTCACTTCCTAATCTGTGTTTGTAAGTAAAATTGCAAGGGCTTTGGTGTATCAAAAATAGTGTGGCATAAGTGAACGGATCAGATTTTCCTCTTAGTCATCTGGGATAACATATGATCGAAGACAGACAATCCCCGCTTGAGGTTAGTTCTTTCTATTTGAAAAGACACCAAAGTGCACAATCCTCTCTCCTTTGCTATCTGAATCCCTGACCCTATAAAGATAAATGACAAAGAATGCCTCAAAATTGCGATTACATTACAAACATTCAATTCTGATTCTAGGCTTTAAAGATTGCTCTTTTTAACAAATAAAAACATTGTAATTTACATTAAACAAAACATGGAAATTACATATCTGTACAGAAGGACAGTTGGATGCAAACACTATTTCTAAATTGAATGTCCTGATAGAATCTGATTTCCAATATCTAGAAGAGAGATTTGTTTCATGACAACCCACATTTCTAGAGCCATATTCAGCTACTACATTGCCATGTGGGTTAGACTAAGCATTATATTTTTGTAGATTATATGTTTTAAAGATTAAAATAAAATACCATGTGCTTTCTCAAATTTGCATCTCACATATTGCATTTAGGTGCAAAGTCTGATGTTATCTATCAATGGGGAATACAACTTCTATGGCTAAAGACAGAAGGAACAGAAAGCTGACACCTGGCATTGTATCATATGATCTTAATACAGTTTAATTTTAGTAGTGGGTGCATCAAGCCAGATTTCCAATCCACTGACATATTTAAGGAATTTGAGTTTTTCTTAAATACTGTATATTTTTAAATTGCTTCAATTTTATACAATGTTCATTTCCATCAAGCAGGGAACATACAACTTAAAGAATGTTCATGAAAAGAGTCTAAGTATGCATGAGGAACATCACATTTCAGCAAAGACAGGTACCTCAGTCATCTCTAAATCTACATGTGGTTGTCACCCAATGACAGCTGCATGATATTACTAGCATGTTTTGCCCACAACATGGATATTTCACTGAGGCGAGGGAGAAGTACCAAGCACTCTTGCTTTATGAGGACCCATGCCAGGAATGCTTGTGAAAAGAAATGCAAAGATCCACAATGGTGGTTTATCTCCGACACCAGGAAGAAGTGCTTGTAACCAGAGAGATTCTTTCCAATTTCAGGAGTATTTCTATTAACACAGTGGACAGACCCAAAGAATGGAGTATTTGCATTATCATCGAAAGGCAAATCCAGAGCTTATAGTGAAGATAAGGATAAATATTTGCAACTTTAATTTAGCTCTCAATTCCTAACTTCTCTTACCGGATAGGTAGAAGCCTAGAGCAATGGACACAGATTCTGCGGTCTTGGGCTAAGCTGGTGGCTAAATGCAATTTGGCAAAGGGCCAAGGTTTATAGGGCCTAAATTCTCCAGATGCAGTTCAAAGAAAGTTTTATTTTACATGGAACAAGGGGAAAGGCAGAATTTATGTTCATAAGAAAATGACCAAGCCAGGGTACATGATCAGAAGAAGAAGGTCTACAAAAGAGGGCAGAACATGGAAAGCTTTTCCAAGGTGATTACCCTTTTAGAAAAACAATTGTTTTCTTAGCACAAATGAACAGAGAGGGTCAGATCAAATATTCTTCGTGATTCGATTAAAACTCAAAGTCATCTTTTTTGTAATAATACTCTAAAGTGAAGGGAGAGCCAATATCCAACATTACAGAATTAATTCCACAGAAAGTGAGCTGTATCTATCTTTATCTGTTACTATACCTTCAGAAGCTATGGGCAGGACCATGCAAAGTGAGAGCACTTGATAAATCTTACTTAAGGAATAATTTCCAAATGAATTAAATGAATCACAGAGTTTCTAAGAGAAAATATTAGGCAATTATTAAAATAAAGTTTTTAAAACAAAGAAAAAGACCACAATAACATCAATGTTAAAAGTAGGCTACTAAATAATAAGTATGATATACATCTCATTGTATTAAACATTTTATATGATATGCCTAGAAAAATACTGGAATCTATATTGGAATCACATTGGATATGATGTGTATAACAGAAAAAAAACAAAAAATCAAATGTATGTTTTTCTTATGGGTAAAGAATATGTATTTTATTTAAGTAAATAAGAGCTTATCTGTAAAAATACAATGAAACCTAAAACTAGTCCACATAACTTTGAATATGCCCACCTCAAGCTCATAGCACAATACCAAAAGCTTTCAAATTTAAGTCTTTAAAAGGGACCAGGGTTGGGCAAAAGAAAAATCAGTGAGACAGGCAGAATGAAATCGCATCTTGGAGGCACCATTTGTGTAAGTAAAACAACTTCACAATCAATGTAAAATTTTATGGGTAACCAATATAAGGATTGAGTTGATGGTTTTAAATATGCTGAAGGGACAAAATGTCAGGAAGGCTCTGGGCTGCCTTGTTCTCTTAAGTTGCATCCTATAAATAACCCAGTTTAGAAGGCCCACAAATGGAGAATTACAGTAGTCTAGACTCAAAGTAATAAAGGGGTTTACCAACATTTCCACACCGCTCTTGCTGAGCTGGGGCTTCTCTTCCAGGAGGATAAAACAGAGCTCCAGTAACAATAGCAGAATGTTTGCCCACTGATGAATCAGATGTCAACACGACACAAAGGTACTTACAACTTTGGGATGCTTTTAAAATCACATTCCATAAGAGGGTTACCAGAGAAGAAGCCGAACTCAGCAAGCACTTGGAGCTGAGGAACTGAACTTTGATATCGTTTTAATTCAGTTCCATCCAACTGTGTGACAGCCTTTGGTGCCCAACCTAGGTAAAGTCCTCATTAGAAGGAATGAACGCTTGTCCTCATTCTGTATTGGTGTATACTGTGGCATGGAATACCCACCTCCTGGCAAATGCTGTATCACTTGATCTCAGCTCCCTCACTGTATTTTCCAGTTCTCCTATTTTATTTTGATGCTTACACTCTCAACAGCGTACATAAAAATATGTGTAAATTGCAAAGCATTATGAAATTGTTACTTCTTATTGCACCATTGTTTAGATGGATCAGAGCAGGGGATATATCCTGCTAACTTTTCTTGTCAATGATTATTGAGAATGCCAACTATCATTCTGTGAGTGGCTGTTCTATGCAGAAATAGGGTTAGGGCTTTATATACGCATCCTTTCTGTGGTACACAAGCCCCTGCAGGATACTGTTCCCATTTTACAAAAAATAAAAACTGATATATAAAGAGTTTAATTTATTTGCAAGATGTTATAGAGCTACTATGTATGATAATTGTATAATACTGCCGCCTACTTCAACTACAACCACTACTAATCATCAAATAAATGGCCAATGAGTGACATGCCTTGAGAATTGTCTCTTAAGATCTGATTAGAGTTATCTTCCATTGTACACTGAAAAGAAACAAGACTCACTGGAAACTGAAATTAATTGGAAGAAAGCCTGCCCGATTTGAGTATTCAATGTAAGTTCCTAGGTTGAGTAATAGATTATATATTTACCCCTCAATAAAATACAAACCATCAAACCAAATAATATTCTCTGTCTTCAAAAAATAGCAAATGTTTATGTCATACATTAAATCTGGGAGAAGATGGGTTCAAACAAACCAAACAAGTCTTTATTGTTGAACTTGTCAGAGCTTTTAATATGATAACAGTTATTCTAAACTGGTAAAATATGGCTATTGTATGAATTAATTCTCAAATTCACTCCACCAAGGAACCCTTTCTTTGCAGAGCTTTGCACTAGGCTGGTGTTCTATGGGTTACATCTTACAAAATTTTATCGTGGGGAAGCTAGAGCAATGAGAACTCTCTTGCTTGCTTAGTGCAATTATTACTGACATAAATGTATAAAGACCAACCATATTAGATCAGCATTGTACTTTGTGCAGTTACATTTCAAAAGATGAACTTGGCCCATGATAGATGAATATCATGAACATTTTGTTAACAGATATGCATTGTTTTCTCAAGAAGAGAAGAAAGTAGATGTGGGAGAAATTTCTTACATCATTGTATGCAAATACATAGGTATTTAAAGTACAATTCCAGGAAGAAATGCCTGATTAAGACAAATCTAAGAGAAGTGGGTCAAAACACAAAACCCACATATTCAAAATGGAAAACATGTTTTATTGGAGAGCAAAGAAACAAAAATGAGACTAAAAAAATACCTTACCAAATTAAAGAGACTCAAGTTAAAGAGGAAAAAAATACTACTGAGGCATGGCACCATTTTTCTGCTTTTCTACATACACATACAGATACAACTGAATAATCAAGATGAAAGTTAAGCAAGACATGCCTGGGAGAAAAAAAATAAAAAGGAGTGGTTCTTCTATTACATTAAGCTTACTATAAACTTGCAATAACAAAACAGTATAGTAACAGTGCAAATATCTAGTAATGGATTAACCATTTAAGAAACTAGATCCTCATGTCACACACACACATACATACATGCATTTCTAAAGTAACTTAGCAAGTTAATGTCATTATAACATTATTTTTTAATTGCTAGGAGAAAATATAGTACGCATTTATTGAACCTTATAATGGGGATTTTTTTTAAAGCTGAGAAACAATTCAAGATATCTGAAATAGTAGAAGAAGACCTTAGACCTTACTACATCAAGATTTGAAATATCTTCATATGAAAACAAAACTGATTTTCATATGAAAAACAAAAAACACTATTTGGAAAAAATATTGGCTATGAATACAACAAGCAGAAGTTTCTTATATCCTAAAAATATTGCAATCTGACTTTTTTAAGAAAAATGTAATCAAGCAGAGAATTCAGTGGTAAGTAAATCAAGAGATAAGCATAAAACTGTAGAATAACTAAAATATAAATCAAACAAAGTAATTACTATTATTACTTATTACATAGACAAAGATGGTAAAATGATACATCAAATTATTCAAGCTTTTACCTTTTCACGGTAGCATTTCAAAATAATTTTACTTTTGTTTGTATATTGTTTCCAAATTCTTTTAAATAAATATATTATTATAGTTTTATAAATAAAATGTTAAAGAAAGTTATTTTTAAGTATCATGGAATTTGTAAGGCATACACATTGATAGAACATTAATGTAAAGTTTTTGAGTGCTATTTAATGCATAAGAGAATTTCCACTGTATAAGAATGAATGCAAGAAACAATCTTTATTTTTTAAATATTCACCTGTTTAAGTGGGTTAAAAACAAACAAACAAACAAACTTGGATGGGATTATGAATAATTTTTATTCTCTTCAATTTTTTTTCTAAATTTTCCAAATTTTCTGAAAGAGCAATTCTACTTTTATAGTTTAAAATATATATTTTTAAAATATGCTAATTTCTATTGCTATCATAAACTTATTGGGGAATATTTCCACAAAAGCATTGGATGCAATATGGTACAAAATGTGGCACTCAGCATTCCTGTGTGCTCTACACAGTTCACACTTATATTTGAATTCTGACACATGTTTAAAAAATAAAACTATTAGTGTTATGCAGAGTCCAATTTCTTTACTACTAGTTTGATAATATTCAACTATTGTTAAATAATTTGTGTATCATGCATTAAGGGAACACTGAACAGAGACAACACATGAAAGGTTGTGTGGCTTTGTGACAATGGTAAATATATCATTCTCTAATGGAAACCTAAGTATCATTAATTTTTTTTTTTTTTTTGAGACAGCCTCCCTCTGTCGCCCAGGCTGGCATGCAATGGCACAATCTCAGTTCACTGCAACCTCCACCTCCCATGTACAAGTGATTCTCATGCCTCAGCATCCCAAGTAGCTGGGATTATAGGTGTGTGCCAATAGACCCAGCTAATTTTTCGTATTTTTAGTAGACACAGGGTTTTGCCATGTTGCCCAGGCTGGTCTCGAACTCCTGACCTTAAGGGATCCGCCCACCTCAGCCTCTCAAAATGCTGGGATTATAGGCGTGAGCCACCATGCCTGGCCTGTCATCTGATTTTTATATTTCTTGGAGATCTGAAGGGAAGTTCCAAGAATAAACAGACAAGATGAATTAAATGGGTTCCAATCATAAATGAAAAACAGAAAGCCACATTCCACTTGTTGAGTAACCAGAATCCCTCATATTGTCCTTTGCAAACCAGTAATTCTACATAGGTTCTATCTACATGTCATTTCCATGAGTTCAGTAATTTTCTGCTAATGGTCTTTTGTATATGTGCTGTTTTTAAAAGATTATTACTTCAGTATATACTTACAGTAGATTTTATTTCTTTTGTTGTTGTTTTGTTTTAGCTTCCCAAGTGATTGTGGGAACAGAAATGGATTTAAAAAGTAGTCTGTAACTAAGTAACTAAGTATCAAAAGAAAACAATATCCCTTAACAATGCTTATTCATATCAATTCATTTGGATGAAAGCTAATTGTATTGGTCACTACATAATTACATTCTAAAATGAATTTCACACAATACACCCATTGATGGAGAGAAAGAAATGCTCTCACAGTCTGTGTAGAAATATAAGTGATACCTCAAATTAAGGAGAAATGTGATGCACGAATATTCAATGCAGATACACAAACTACTATTATATATAGACCTAAGCACTGTCACCAGGCTTAGCCTATTAGCCATAACCAGGTGGACAATCAAGATATTTTGAATACGGAGACAAGGAGAATTCCTCTCCAATCCAGTTTTCTATTACGTTATCCAGTGGACATTTGCATATTGCAGTTATGTTGCACGTTCATGTCATTTATGATGAAACATATGGAAACTTAATTCTCTGAGAAGGTGAACAGTGAGCCCTGGGAATATCACTCACTTTCAACAGATTGAAATGGTCTGATCACCTCCTGCCATTCCCAGTCTTTTCTGAGTGTGGTTGCCTCTTTGGATCTCAGCATGTGATTCCCACTAATGGCAGCAGAGGGAGGTGCTGGAGCTCTAGGTGAACATGCTTGTGAATTAAAGCAGACCTTTGCAAACCACATGGCTCACGGGCTAAGGGGGGAAAAAGAGGAATTTCCCAGTCCCAGTAATGCTTTCTGACATATAAAAAGGGAAAATAGTTACACCTTTCACTGCATCACTGTGGGAAACTAATTTGTTTTGACATACTGAGAAGTAATCTGATGTTCGTATTTATTCCGAAAAAAGCTGTATTAGCTAAAAACAAATTTCATGAATAAAACCACGGATACATAATCAGACATGAACATCTACTGAGCATGTTGGAGATGTAGGGAATTAACTATTGCTCATAAACTTCTCTTTAAAGGAATCTAATTTCTATCACTTTGAAATCTTTTCCAATTCTTCTCTCTAGCACCACCAGCACCCAGGACACAGCTGTCTCCAGGAACACATGGAAACATTATACCCAGAACACTAGTGTGCATTGATCCGACCCACTGGTATCATGCTTCTCCTTCCAAAAGGCCTTATAAATGATCTTGAATGAAGAGCCATTTCAATACTATTCTTGGCACAATGACAGTCACTGAAAACCTTTCTGAGTGACAGGCTGTTTCACAACAAGCGGACATACTACCTTATTTGTTTATCTTCAGTTTATGAAAGGCTAATATTGAAAATTCTATTTAAACCCAAGAATCATCGAAATACTCCCCAAACTATTCTGGCTGGGAGAAGCATAGAGAAATATATTGGGCCTTAAAGATATAGAAAGAAAGGGGAAAAACCCAATGAAACCTCAGTGAGTGATAAGGGAGTTGGAGTTACAAGTATTAAAAGAGATGAATTGCATTAACCCCTGCCCTTCCCCATTATATTCACTGCCCACTGGAAACAACAACAGAATTACTAAAATCCCACACTCTCTAATGGGATGGTAATAGGATTCAGAGGCCATTAGGGTAAAGGCAATCCATATTTTACACTGTAATAAGCTCAGACTGAAGATGCTGCACCCCCTCAGAGCCCAACAATTACTAATTAACATTAACAAACTTACATGCACTTTCCAAATTGAAAAATAAACCCAAGTTAAAAGTCAAAGGTCTATTTTTTCAACAACTTAGATATTTTTGTGAATAAAAATCATCTAACTAAATTGAAGAAAAATTCTTTCTTTACTCTGGTATTGATTATTACTCATTCCAGAACGCTTTGGAAATGAGGGATACTGTGATTGTTATAAGGTGGTTATAATTCTCTACTAATAGAATACATTTGCTCATTGGCAAGTACGTTCCATTTTTTAAATTACCTCTTTCCCTAAAATATTTTCTTATTCAAGAATAAATATAATAAACTATCCTGGGTATTATGAGTTTGCACATAAGACATAGGAGTGGATTCAACAGGACACCCTGGAGAAGGAAAGGGAGAGTGAGACAGAAATGAACAGTCTGCTACCATCCTCAGGGAACCAAAGATTAAAGGAAGGAGGATATGTCCCAAATTAAAAGAGAAATTACAGTTATACATTGAAATCATTTAACATGCATATTGTCAGAGGAACAGTTAACTGACCAGCCTTTCATGTTTATTACTACAGTAGTCCCTCCGTATCTGTGGGGCTTGGTTCCAGGACCCCCATAGATGCCAAAATCCACAGATGCTCAAGTCCCTCAAATAAACTGGTGCAGTATTTGCGTATAACCTACATACTTCCTCCCATATACTTTAAATCATCTCTAGATTACTTGTAATACCTAATATAATGTAAATGCTATGTAAATAGTTGTTATATCACCTGTTTTTTTATTTGTATTATTTTTATTATCGTACTCTTACTTTGTATTTTTTTGTTTTGTTTTGTTTGAGACAGTCTCGCTCTGTCACCCAGGCTGGAGTGTAGTGGTGCTCACTGCAACCTTGACCTTCTGGGCTCAAGCAATCTTGTGACCTCAGCCTCCCGAGTACTGGGACTACAGGTGTATGTCACCATGCCCAGCTTATTTCTTTATTTTTTGTAGAGATGCGGTTTCGCCATGTTGCCCAGGCTGGTCTCAAACCCCTAAACTCAAGTGATCCACCCGCCTTGGCCTCCCAAAATGCTGGAATTACAGGGTGAGCCACCGTGCCTGGCCTGCTTTTTTATTATTCTTATTTTCAGTATTGTCAATCTATGGTTGGTTGAATCCATAAAGGTAGAACTCAAAGATACAAAGGGCTGACTATAATTAAAATAAAAATTTTATTATTTGATTAACATTTTTATTCTATTATTATATAAATAACTTCTAGCATGACTCTAAGGTTGTTTATGTCTTTGTGTAACATAGAAATACAATGTTTTTAGGAAAATATCTTGATTGATAAGTTCTTAGAATTTCACCAGAGGTGTGGAAAAGAAGCAGAGAAATTTGGGAGTACAATATCCTCACATAAAGTGACATGGTCCCATAGGCCTAATTAAAAATAAATCAATATATATTTATTCTGCATCATCATTTCTGACTCTCCAGTTCCTAGCAAAATGCCTGATATTCAACAGACAATCTGTATTCATGATCACAATGCTCAGAGTCCATGGTCTATTTAAACAGTTCTGATATCCAAGGTTCAAAATCTTGTAAACATCACTAGAGTGGAGAGAGGTAGTCACCACTTTTAGACTACCCTCCAAACAAGTGTACTTTTCATCATAAATTACATGATCAGAGACTAAGAAGAAAACATCTAAAGAGTGTACATCTTCCTCCAACTAAAATAACGATTCTATTCTGGGGATTAAGGATCCGGATCTACTTCAGGGTGGAAAATAGAGAGAGAAGAAGGATGATGCCCTAGGACACTTTGAATCTGCCCTAGACTAAGACTTGGGAACAAACACAGAGGTTAATGATTTGTGGTCTTTTGGAGGTGGATATCTTCTTTTAATCCATACATTGTGAGTATTTATATATTTGCACATTCATTCAAGAGTTATTGATGAAATTAACATTATGCTGCCAGATATTTTTCTAAGCATCAGTGATACAGCAGCAGATAAGCTAGACACACATGGCTCCTGTCCTCACTGAGTTTAAAAGCTTAGGTGTAGCCCCAAATCTACTAAAAATATAAAAATTAGCCGGGCGTGGTGGCGGGCGCCTGTAGTCCCAGCTACTTGGGAGGCTGAGACAGGAGAATGGCGTGAACCCAGGAGGCAGAGCTTGCAGTGAGCCGAGATTGTGCCACTGCACTCCAGCCTGGGCGACAGAGCGAGACTCCGTCTGAAAAAAAAAAAAAAGAAAAGTAAAGAAAGCTTAGGTGTGAGGCGGGAGAATACGGTCTGGAGGGGTAGGGAATCTAAGGCCGATTGATGCTGACTTCCTAGAACTGAATGAAAAGGAAAACCCCACCTCTTCATGCCCAGATAACAAAAGGATCAGCCTCAGCCGGCTTCTCCCTTTGCAACTCCCCTTTCCATGCCTCACAGATGAAAAATGGAAAATGCTTCTGACTGGTTACCTCCCCCAACCAATCAGACTGGTCATGGGCCAAGTCTTCATTTGCAGAGAGTGTAACTTTGTAACTTCACTTCAGCATCTGACTGGTCACCTCCTCCAACCAATCAGACTGGTTGTTGGCCAAGTCTTCATTTACATAGGATGTAACCAAGTAACCAATGGGAAACCTCTAGAGAGTATTTAGATCCCAGAAAATTCTGGAACCAGTGCTCTTGAGCCACTTGCTTGAGCCTGCTCCCACTCTATGGAGTGCACTTTTGTCTCAATAAATCTATGCTTTCATTGCTTCATTCTTTCACTGCTTTGTTTGTGCATTTTATCCAATTATTTGTTTAAAACGCCAAGAACATGAATGACTTGTAGTCAGGACCCTCCGCCAGTAACAGGTGGACTATGAACAATTAAACCAGCAGTTATATATAGTGAGGACACTGTTACAATAAGGTGAGTGCATTGTTACAGTATCACAGAGTGGGAGCTCCTAATTTAAACTTAAGGAGGAGTAGTCGAGAAAAACTTCTTGGAGGAGGTGACATTTAATGTTCGGCCTAAAGATGAATAGTATTTAGCCAGGGACAAACTGGAGTGTTAAAGCAGACAAAAAAGATGAGCATCTGCAAAGCCACAGTTAGGAAAGCAGGAAAGACTGGAAGGAATCCTGGAGAGATGGAATGGAAAATGTAGAAGATTGGGAGAGCAGAGGTAGAGGCTCAGAGGCAGGGGAGATGCTGTATGGGGAGCATCCAGTTAACACTGTGAACCCCTTGAGGACAGGAAACACAGCATATCTTCTTGATTTAATAATTGCTAGATTATGCGTTGTAAGTGCTCCATTAATTTTTATGGAATATCTACTGGGAATCTTGTGGTACTATAAACCTAAAGTTCTTCTAAATTCTCCATATGGTTATTCTCTAAAAATGTTCAGTAGGTTTTTTGTTTTGTTTTGTTTTAAGATAGGTTTGGGGTGTGTGTGTGTGTGTGTGTGTGTGTGTGTGTGTGTGTACATATACTCATAATGCCTTTTCACAGCTCCACAGGCCCCTATCACCTCCTATTGTTTTATTTCTGACTATTCACCTTTAGGCACTTCTGCTGCAATACATGGTTTAGGATTTATCCTGGAGGAAACTGAACTAAGAATGCAATCCACGCTAGTGTAAGTAAACAAATATGGGAATAGCTTATTGATAGATTAGTTCCAAGTGTGAGCGATATTAATGTGTGCAAGGCATATTAAGTTCTAAGCCAAGGCATGCGATCTCCACTTAAAAGATAATCATTTATCCCCGAATTCGAATGAAATCTGAATCCCTGCTGTGCTGTTTTTTCTTGCATAAAATGGTGTGTAAGAGTCACGGACAACTCCACTATCAAATAGTTCATGGCTACATTATGTCATTTCCTACACTTTTTGTGCATGAATGTTCCAGAGAAAAACTTGGCAAACATGCTCAACTGTGCAGCAAGTGCTGGACTGTCAACAATTTTAGCTTAATATATAAAATAAATCACAATTTTCTAATACATTTTCCAACATCAGGGACACTTAGTTCATAAGAACAAATAAAATTACAACGTATAAATCATGAAATGATTCATTTCTAAGAGTCAAGGGGACTGAATTGGCAGCTAAAAGAGAAATAGTGTTTTGGATGTAATAGTCAAGTGTTTAAAAACAAATTACCTTTTTGTTCTGGTAACATTTAAAAAAAAATCCTCAAAAAAGCTTCTGGAGAATCACAGCCTGTTATAATAAACTATAATAAAGTAATTACAGCTTGGTTTCTGTAAAGGTTCGTGCCATGTAAATGTTCATTTATCTGAAATTTGCTTAAAACAAATAGATTAGATTCATTTCAGGAACAAGAATGACATGACTTTTTTGTTAACACTGATTAATGATTTCAGTTCCTAATGTCATTAGTCGACTATCATCATTTCACCATTTGAAAAATGGTCTCCAGGATCTCTGGGTCTCATCTAGACATGAATTTTTGCCCATTTCTTATATTCTACTGACCTCTAGAGACTATATGTGTGTGTATATAAATCACATAGGATAGGTGATTATAAACACATAAAACATATACATCATAAATGCCATATAGATCAAGAATAAAATGATTTTTGTCACATAAGCCTATTTCATTTAAAAACATATGCTCAATTACATATCTTTTCAAACAAAACATTATTTGTGCATGTTTAATACTAAGCAGGTTGACAACACTTTCCCTCACATTCTTTGCTTGATTGAATGCTGTATAGAACTCAGAGAAGAGTGAAAATCAGACAAACTAATCCTATCTTTGGTCTGTGGCCTGCATCAACAGTAAGTGGTAACAGAGAATTCAGAAACCCTAGCCTGGTTTTTCCATAAAGCCAGATTTATGTTTAGTTGGGACAAGATTATATTATATGAGAATCTTCTTCCCCAAATCATACCTGCCTATATTTATTTTCCAACTCTCCTCCTGATGAGGCAAGACATGTAAAATGTAGAGATACCTAGTGTGGGCTCCAATGGCTTTGTAACGCTTGATTTTTTTTTTTTCTCTCTCAATGTTTTTGATTACTAAATATATCTACAACTGAAAATTCAACATGAAAATAATATCTAATTTCAGATTAGATCATAAACTCCTTAAGAATTGTGTCTTTTTCATTTTGGCATCCTTGGTACATAGCACACTGTGCGTCAGATTGTGGGAAATTAATAATGTCAGCTGGAAAAACCACAATATTTTATCGGGAATGTACTCATACTGTATCTTATTAGGAATTCACCCCTTTATTCTCTCTGTCTCTCTCACTCTGGAAATAGATATAGATAAAGATATATGCACATACATATATTCTCTATAATACATGTGTGTACATACATGTATGTATATAAATGTAACACAAATACGAATACTAAGAGGAATCCTCTACATACAGAACATGTGACTAGATTTGTCAATGATTTTTCTAACAGTTGTTTTACATTTTCAGTTTATGTACTATATTACTGCTTAAATTCTCATTTAAAATATGGGTTGAAAACTATTGTTCATTATACTACATCATCGACTGCACCTGAACATTTAACAACTTCAAGTATGTTTCTTTCTAACAGACTCAGTTTTAATCTAGTGATAAAAGGATATTTTTTAAAGTACCACTGAGGCAACACCACTTTTTGCCTTTTAGCATATTTTGTCAATTATATTATATAGCATATGTTTTATTGCTTATATTATGTTATACATTTAGAAACAGAAACAGCTTGTGAATTTGTATTAAGCACCTCAAACTGCTACCGATTATTAATAAGTATGTTTGTCAAATAGAGATGACAGAAGAGTACACTATTTGATGAGAGACATTGGTACAAAGTGCCAGATATAACCACAGGATTATGAAAGTGTCCAAGCCACAACTGATGTACGTGAATATGAGAGGAAATCAAGGTTTTCTTTTTTGGTTCCCGTTTTTTTGATTTTTTGAGACAAGGTTTCGCTCTGTTTCCCAGGCTGGAGTGCAGCGGCACGATCTCCGCTCACTACAACGTCCGCCTCCTGGGTTCAAGCAATTCTGGTGCCTCAGCCTCCTGAGTACCTGGTATTACAAGCTTGCGCCACCACGCCCGGCTAATTTTTGTATTTGTTGTAGAGATGAGATTTCACCATGTTGGCCAGGCTGGTCTCAATTCCTGGCCTCAAGCAATCCGCCCACCTCGGCCTCCCGAAGTGCTGGGATTATAGGCATGAGCCACTGAGCCCAGCCTCAAGTTTTGATTCTGTAGTAATATTCAGTAGACAGAAATCTGCTCCCTGTTCTGCAGACTTGGAAGGTGGTCTGGTGACTCCTGTCCTATTCTGCAGTAACAGCGTTTCTGGCAAGGCCAGCTCCACTTCCTATTCTTTCACCATTTCAGCCTCCTTGTGGTATCTAAGAGGCTTTCAGTGTGTGGGTCAAATCCTAAAAATAAATAACTTATCAAGGACTGATTGGCACCCAGTTAATGACTAAAATGAGAATGGTGGAGAATAACTAACTGGGGTTTGGGTAGGAAACCCATATATGCTGTTCTCAACAGCATATATGCAGCTACAGTAAACATCATTTGTAAATAGAAAGATGTCCCCCCAAATTTAAATTTATCCAGTCGACTTTAGTGAATAGTTACAAAAACCAGATTTTTCTACATAATTCCCTCTTCTGAATGATAATTCGCTAGTTCGGATTTTCCTGCTCAAATTTGCCCTTGCATAGCATTAGCAGAGGTGCCAATGATTAGAGAAATGTTTCACGTCAGGTAGTTAGGAAAAAGACAGGGGAGTCAAGGAAGAAATCTGGATAATCCCCATGCTGGAAATTCAAACCCTGGATAATCAGGACCGTACTCTATAGGCAATTATGATTCTGTCCAGTTAAGAGAAATTTGTAATCCATTCAGTTTCAAGCCTATAAAGGCACATTTCTCAAAAACTTGTATTTTGGCCTCCGATGGCTTAAAAAGTTCTCCTTACTAGATTGTCTCCAATTACAGAAATCCTTCCCAAGTACAAGGCTGCAGAAGTATATTAAACCTGCAGGATATCATGTAGCTGGCTGTTTTACAAAGCTTTACAGCACACGCGATCGTGATGCATGATGTAATATGACTGAAGAAACTCACCACAATCTAATGCTATTTATTCAGGTCACAAGTGTTGTCTTATATATGGGGGCAGAGAGGTAAACTGTCTTTGACCATCAGGCTCGGAATAGGAAGAAAAGGGAGGTACAGAGAAATTTATACTAACTTTAAGAATTCTCCACACTCACACACACAAAAATTAGAGCTACTGTGGATTTCAGTAAATCTCTGGCTTGCCCAGCAATAGTAAAGGAACTGCAGTGACCACAGATCTGTGAGTCAGGACAACGCTTGGCTACGACTGTCGAACCGTCAGAAGAACTGAAGTCAATGATGAGAAGGTAGC